>NC_000016.10:69107954-69410985 GCF_000001405.40 Homo sapiens | reverse complement strand
TAATTTCTGTATTTTTTGTAGAGACAGGGTTTCATCATGTTGGCCAGGCTGGTCTCAAACTCCTGACCTAAAGTGATCCTCCCACTTGGACCTCCCAAAATGCTGGGATTATATAAGCCACTGTGCCCAGCCTACATGACATTTTCTGATTTGTGTGTTGATTGATCTGTATGCTCTTTGTGTCCTCTGTCCAACGTCATGCATTGCACACAGTAGGTGCTTGGTAACTATCTGCTAAATAGATAAATGCTCAGCTTCTGGGATAAGGAAAAAGGGGTAAAGTTTCTAAACAGAGTTTTTTTGAAATCGGAGTGTGGGAAAGGAATTTGGCCTTGCCGCTGGGTTGAGAATGCCTACAGGCAGCTCCAAACCTCGATGCTTTCTTCTTAAAGCATTTTAACTTTGTGCTAACTTGAGCAGTGGACGTGACACCCACCCCCGGTTAAGTTCAGGTTAGGTTTGGGACACTGGGATATTTTCTTTCATCCATAATCACTGGATCAAGTCCTATAAATCAAACAGTTGAGACACAAAACACAAACAAGGTTGTAATTTGTTTCTTCCTGCCCTCTGTTTTTCTTGGCATGGAAAAACTCAAGCTTTTCCTGACTAAGGATGGGTAATGACATTGAGGGGTGATTCATTAAAAGTGGCCTAAGTAACTGGCCTTTTATTTCTTCTCATTCTTTCCCCATATTGTCCCAAGTTCTGTAAGGAAACACATTGAATAAAATAATTCTTCTGTTGATAAAGAACTTTCCCTTGACTCTTTGTTCACTTGCAGCTATACGTTCCCAGAATCAAATTCTTGGAACTGGAGAGGCCAGTGTGAGTACGGGTAAATGTGATGGGTATTTCTGGTAGAGAAAGAAAGGCCAAGAGCCCTGGCTTATGGAAGCCACTTCTCTTACCACCTTTTCTTTCTTTTTTTCTTTTTTTTTTTTTTTTTTTTTGAGATGGAGTCTTGCTCTGTCGCCAGGCTGGAGGAGTGCAGTGGCATGATCTCGGCTCACTGCAACCTTCAGCTCCCTGGTTCAAGTGATTATCCTGCCTCAGTCTCCTGTGTAGCTGGGATTACAGGCACGCGCCACCATGCCCAGCTAATTTTTGTATTTTTAGTAGAGACGGGGTATCACCATGTTGGCCAGGATGGTCTCGATCTCCTGACCTCGTGATCCACCCGCCTCGGCCTCCCAAAGTGCTGGGATTACAGGCATGAGCCACTGTGTCCAGCCTCTTACCACCTTTTCTTAACCAAGCTGCCTATTAAGTAAGGAAATTTTTCCTGTCCCCAGGGATCCTGGCCACCCAACCAAGAGTGGGGTGTTGCTGTGGGTGAGTCTGGGAGCCTCAGTTCCTCAACTCTACAACGGATGTCATAATACGAGTACCTTCTTCTCACATGAGTGCCCTTTCTTTCTTTCTTTCTTTCTTTTCTTTCTTTCTTTTTTTTTTTTTGACAGAGGGTCTGGCTCTGTCTCCCAGGCTGGAGTGGGAGTGCAGTGGCATGATCTCGACTCACGGCAACCTCCACCTCCCAGGCTGAAGCCATTCTCCTACCTCAGGCTCCCAAATAGCTGGGACTACAGACGCGCACCCGCACACCTGGCTAATTTTTTGTATTTTTTGTAGTGATGGGGTTTCACTGTGCTGCTGAGGCTAGTCTTGAACTCCTGAGCTCAAGCACCTCCCACCTCCGCCTCCCAAAGTGCTGGGATTACAGGTATACGCCGCCTCGCCCAGCCGTGTGTGCCAGTATTTCAACCATTCCTGAGACCAGGAAAGAGAAAAGGACGCAGTGACGACAACAAAAATTCCATGTAATAATACAACTACATCATAATAGTAGGATAAATAGCAGAATAAACCATTTTTATCTTCTACATCATGCACTTCTATATTATTTGAACTGCTTTTATAAAATTTTTAAAGGAATATGAAGAAATTTTAAAATATGTATAGAAAAAAGGCTGAACACTTAATAAACTAAAAGGTTAACAATAGCTATCTCGAGTTGATGGCTTTGAGCTGACTAGCTTTCATCTTTATACTTTTCCATGCTTCTCTATATCTTTGTTTAGTTATTTCAAAGATTGTATACTACTTTTGTAATTAAAAACTAATAATAATAAAATACTATGTTATTTAAGCTGGTGTGTATGCACCAAATTCCTGCTCCTCTCTGTGAAAGTGGAACAATCTATTTTCCAAGAAGTGGGCGTAAAAGGATACAAGTGGGTTGGGCGAGGTGGAGGACAGATGTGACTGTGGTCCCGGTCAGGGTGAGGCTGTGGAAAAATACCAGGGATGCCACACCCTGCACGTGGTTCTGGTGAAGTCCATTATTAAATCACTGCTCCATTGTTCCCCGCCCCGCTCCATGTGATATAATCCATTTCCTCTCACCTGCTGTTGTAAGTAAATCTAACTTTTCTGCCTTTCTTGTAATTTCCCTCCAAAGCTACTTCTATCACTCCACTATCTCTATGGATTCCCAAGGAGAACAGCTTCTTCTCCTGGGGCTGGGAATACAGCAAGGAAGGGGACAGGTGAGAGGATGAATCTATGGGTCCTTGATGCTCTAAGTTGGTGGTTCTTGATAACTTTTGAGAAGGGATTCAATAAATAGCAGACTCAGCCTGGCCAACATGGCAAAACCCCATCTCTACTAAAAATACAAAAATTAGCCAGGCATGGTAGCGCACACCTGTAGTCCCAGCTACTTGGGAGGCTGAAGCAGGAGGATTGCTTGAACCCGGGAGGTGGAGGTTACAGTGAGCCGAGATGGCTCCACTTTACTCCAGCCTGGGTGACAGACTCAGATGCTGTCTCAAAAAATATATAAATAAATAAATAAATAAATAAATAAATAAATAAATAACACACTTCCTCCCTACTCAGGCTCTAAATCAATTGAGGGGGGAAAAAAGTCAGAAGATGGATTATCTTCTGATGAAGGCTATAGGCTGTAGAATGTGGCTGAGTGTGTCCTTGTATCCTAATAAGACAGACTGTCCCATCAGTCACAAGCAGCGGTGGACCGGAGCACCCTCCCATGTGGAGGGAGAGAATTTGTGCTCCCTTCTTGATCCTCAGATACCAGGAAGAGGAAGACACGGCAACTCATGCCCAGTTTCTCCTGGGGCTGGGAATATGCTAATGCTCTCCTTTCCCTATGTGCAGGAGTAAGGGCTGAAGAGGAGGCTGGAGCGTTATAGTAGTTGATGGCCCTTCACACCAAAGGAAATATCTGGAGTAGGAGGAAGCATTTTCTTCTCCAAAAATTCTTTTTTTTTTTTTTTTTTTTTTTTTAAGAAAACAGCCTTGCTTTGTCACCCAGGCTGGAGTGCAGTGCAGTGGTGCAGTCTCAGCTTACTGTAACCTCCGCCTCCCATGTTCAAGCAATTCTCCTGCCTCAACCTTCCGAGTAGCTGGGATCACAGGCGCCCGCCACCATGCTCGGCTAATTTTTGTATTTTTAGAAGAGCCAGGGTTTCACCATGTTGGCCAGGCTGGTCGCGAACTCCTGACCTCAAATGATCCACCCGCCTCGGCCTCCCAAAGTGCTGGGATTACAGGCATGAGCCACCGTGCCTGGCCCCAAAAGTCTTACTATTTCTTGGATTATACAATAACTTTGAGGATGTGAAGCAAGCTATGAACCACCATCCAAGGAAAATGCACGTAGGTCTTGTCATGGACTTTTGTATCCCTTTCCCTGTCTTCTGGTTTCTGTAGCTCCAATTTTTCTTTTAGGAACTGTTCCTCTTCCATTCTGTGTGAAGTAGTGGTGCTGCCAATCAGTATGCTCCGCCTTCCCTTGGTGACAAGGGTTGGGCATGTGATCCACTCTGTCCAATCAGAGAAGCCTGTTCTCCTAGCCCTATTGTTTCAGGAATAGGCATGTGATTTAAAGCAGCCAATCAGGGAAAGACAACTCAGGGAGGCGTGACATACTTTCCTTAAGAATACTGACCAGTTTGGGCAGGGTGGCTCATGCCTGTAATCCCAGCACTTTGGGAGTCCCAGGCGGGCAGATCACGAGACCAGGAGTTTGAGACCAGCCTGGCCAACATGGTGAAACCTCATCTCTACTAAAAATACAAAGTTAGCCGGGTGTGGTGGCACACACCTGTAGCCCTAACTCGGGAGGCTGAGGCAGGAAAATTGGTTGTACCCGGGAGGCGGAGGTTACAGTGAGCAGAGATCATGCCACTGCACTCCAGCCTGGGCAATCAAGAGAGGCTTCATCTCAAAAAAAAAAAAACAAAAAAAAAAACAGGGCTGGGCACAGTGGCTCAAGCCTGTAATCCCAGCACTTTGGGAGGCCGAGGCAGGTGGATCACCTGAGTTCGGGAGTTCGAGACCAGCCTGACCAAAGTGGAGAAACCCCATCTCTACTAAAAATATAAAATTAGCTGGGCGTGGTGGCGCATGCCTGTAATCCCAGCTACTCAGGAGGCTGAGACAGGAGAATCACTTGAACCCGGGAGGTGGAGGTTGCCGTGAGCCGAGATCACACCATTGCACTCCAGCCTGGGCAACAAGAGCAAAAACTTTGTCTCAAAAAAAAAAAAAAAAACTAACCTGGAGAAAAAGTAAAGGTTAGACTCTCTGTAGATGTTTTTTTTTCTGCCAAGTAGAAAGAATCAGTCTGAAGAATGGAGCCCAACAAAGCAGAAATGTGTCTAATTAGTGAACACTTGAATCTAGTCATCAATGAAATCTGGTCTTCTGGTTACTTGAGCCACTAAATTCACCTTTGCTTTTGCCCAAGCTGCTGGAGGTAGGCTCCTGTTCTTTGGTATGTGCACACACAGAACTCGGCCTCCACTTTCCAGAAGTGCTAACTATGAGCCCAGACCTGCCTTGTATGTTAAGAGCCCCCTCTGTGAGCGGTGCCCATTATGAATTTGAAAAATGATCATCTATTCTAAAACATTCAAACACATCTTGCTGCTGCATTTGGGGCAGCAATACTTGCTTCTTCATGTTGGCACCGTTTCTGCCTGTCAGCAACTTGGAAACCATACTGAAAATACAGGCCGGAGGGCATGTAGCTTAAGAGAAAACAAGTCTCATGGGTGTGTTACAATGTAGGAAATGCTAGCGAAAGTGTCTACCAGAGGATAGAGAGGTTAAAGTTCGGCCACCCTCTTTTTCTTTATATATAATGGGTGAGAGTTGGAGGTGGGAAAGGGAGAAAGAGAATCCCACCCAAACCAAAGAGGATGTTTGGACAAGTTAATCTGCGGAAAGCTCTAGAAATTTGATGCAGGGTGATGAAAAAGCTGTGGCATGATAACATCTAGTGTTTGATTAAGCCTTTCCTCTAGGCTGGATGTCATACTTAGCACTTTACATACATTGTAGCAATTCTAGTGGGTACTATTGTTATTCCCATCTTACAGATGATGAAACTAACACTGAGAGGAGTTAGAAACTTGCCCAAGGGTCCTGCTGGTAGAGCCAGGATTTGACATCAGGGCATTCTGAACCCTATATTTGCTAACCACTATGCCCTTCCTTTCTAGCTAAAGACCTGGGTTTGAATCTAGCTCTGTTACTTGCTGGTTGAGTGACCTTGAGCAAATCAACCTCTTTGAGCCTGTTGCCTCATGTAGAAAATTCAGGGAGTAGGCCGGGCGTGGTGGCTCACACCTGTAATCCCAGCACTTGGGAGGCCGAGGCAGGCAGATCACAGGGTCAAGAGATCGAGACCATCCTGGCTAACCAACATGGTGAAACCCCATCTCTACTAAAAATACAAAAATTAGGTGGGCGCAGTGGTGCATGCCTGTAGTCCCAGCTACTCAGGAGGCTGAGGCAGGAGAATCACTTGAACCCGGGAGGCAGAGGTTGCAGTGAGCCAAGATCGAGCCACTGCACTCCAGCCCAGGCAACAGAGCAAGACTCTGTCTCAAAAAAAAAAAAAAAAAAGAAGAAGACAGAAAGAAAGAAGGAAGGAAGGAAGGAAGGGAAAATTCAGGGATTATACTAAATAATTTGTTTTCTCTCTTTCAACTCTAACATTTCAAAAATTATAATATCCCCAATCCCCCAAACTAGGATTTGTATTCCTGGCTTGAACTTTTTTCGCTCAAGACCCTATAGATTGGTTTTCCCATGGATTTCGGATCAAAAGCTTCCTTTGAATTATGTATTCCTTTGAAACGGATTCAAATGCAGGGGGATCTGAAAAGACTTCATCCTTGCTGAGTGAATCAGCATCCCGTGAACACAGGTGACAAGTTCTGACCCATCCCTTCACTGTCTGATAAGCCCAAAGGTCATGCTCTGGACTCAAACCTACTCTTCCTTCTTCCTGCCCATTTTGTGGGTTTTCTGATAAGGTGCCCTAAGGCAGCTGTAACACTGTTTTCTCTCCCTACAAACACAGTCCCCAGGGCGTGCACTCTGCCTGCAAACTTCCCAGCTGCTTCCAGCTCTCCCTCTGCCCACAGCCCTTTATTGCTGCATTCCAACAAATTAGCCATGTGACAGATTATTTTTAACTTCAATAGAGCAGCTCCCTCTCTTTTAATATATCATGCTTGGCCCACATTCCCTCGGTGAAAAGGGCACCATCGGCTACTTCTGAGAACTTTTAATTACTCCAATTGTTTGCAAAACTCTCTTAGAAGCTTGGGAAAAAAATATTGCAAGCTACAGTTCTGATTACAAGAAGAAAAGAAAATACATTTCTTTCTCCGTTCCTCTCCAGTCCCCTTACTCTCCAGTTTTCTTATTTAGTGGAGACCTGGGAATTTTCCAGGTCTTCTCAAATCCCCTCTACCCCCCTGCCACCCATTATCTAAGAGCAGGTTTTTTTAAGTATAAGTCCATCTCGAAAAAAGCTAAAGAAAAAAAGTAATAAAGTGCAAATCTAATTGGGAGGAAGGGAGGGCAGTTTCCTGAGTAACAGAGACCCCCACCCCGATCCCACACAGAACCCTAGCAGGTGAAGGATGGCAGCTCCCAAAGCACTGAATGCCCAGCCATCCTAGGTCTTGGAAGTCTCCAAGAGGGTCCTGGAGGTTGAGCTTGACACTGAGGTTGAACCTTCTATCTTGAAGTCAACTGCACGTAAACAATGAGCATCTCAGTAACCACCGCATGGGCCAAAGGCCCTTCTCCAAGTTTTCTGAACTTTCTAAATCCCAGATACTTCTCTAATTTCTTTTTCTTTCTTTCTTTTTTTTCTTTTCTTTTTTTTTTTTTTTTTTTTTTGAGATAGAGATGGAGTTTCGCTTTTTCGCCCAGGCTGGAGTGCAATGGCGCCATCTCAGCTCACTGCAACCTCTGCCTCCCGGGTTCAATCGATTCTCCTGCCTCAGCCTCCCGAGTAGCTGTGATTACAGGCGCCCACCATCACGCTCAGCTAATTTTTGTATTTTTAATAGAGACGAGGTTTCACTATGTTGGCCAGGCTGGTCTTGAACTCCTGACATCAGGTGATCCACCCACCTCGGCCCACAGGCATGAGCCACTGCACCTGGCCCATATAGTGTTCTATTGCTAATGTAAAATAAAAAAATAAAAGGAGGGGAGAAAATATAAATGTGTTATTTTATTTTTAAAATTTTTTTGGAGACAGAGTCTCATCCTGTCATCCAAGCTGGAGTGCACTGGCACGATCTCAACTCACTGCACTTTCCACCTCCCGGGTTCAAGAGATTCTCATGCTTCAGCCTCCCAAGTAGCTGGGACTACAGGCATGCGCCACCACACCTGGGTAATTTTTTGTATTTTAGTAGAGACGGAGTTTCACTACATTGGCCAGGCTGGTCTTGAACTCCTGAGCTCAGGCAATCTACCCGCCTCTGCCTCCCAAAGTGCTAGCATTATAGGCGTGAGCCACCATGCTGGGCCTGTAAAGACAAGCCTGGCCAACATGATGAAACCCTGTCTCTACTAAAAATATTTAAAACATGTTATTTTAAACATGTACAAAATATCTATCTAGGGGAAGGTATTCTAGGAACTGGTAGAACTGGGGAAGGGAACTGGGCAACTGGACAACATAGATGGGGAAACAAATTTCACTTTATACTCTTTGTATCCTCAGAATTTTTAAATTATGTGAATGCATAACCTAATCCAGTATAATTACATTTTTTTTAAGTTGAAAGGAATATTTGGCAGTATTTCCAAGCACCTGGGCCCTCGAGATATGAGAAACGCCCACCATTTATGAATTGGGGCAGGAGGAAAGGGCCAGATCCCAGCTGTCACTCACTGTAGTCATGAACCGAAGCCATAGCATCACTATAGTAAGATAAAAGAGGTACCAAGAGGACAGGAGGAAACAAAATCAGTCTTGAGTCACATATGGGCATCATGGGTATTTATAAAAGGCTTAGACGGTTCCTTCCTAAATTTGAATTTATGTCAAGAGATAATCATTTCAGGAAGTGTGAGTTCCTCTCTTCAAACTGTTTTGGACAATCCCATTCTGATATGAGCTGCATAGAGCCAAGCTCATTTATAGGGAACATCTGTGTGGGAGGAAGGGGGGGAGTGGAAGAGCATAGAAAAGAGACCTCCTGAAGCTGAACTTGGACACCTCTTGTGTCTTTTCCTGGTTTCCTTTGAGTTGTACATTTGCTTGGTTGTGTGACAAGGAAGGTCTATGAAACTTTTATGGTCCATTATGTGGGTTTATGTATATAACATGAAAAAGTGACACGTGGAAGAGGAGTTTCACTGAAATCTGCACTCTTTTTGTGAATGTCTGTGTTCCAGAAGGTTCCTAGAGTTGTTGGATGATGGCTCTGATTACTGACTCCTTTTGACCACTAGTCAGGCAAAAAAAAAAAAAAAAAATTTGGCTTTGAATAACAAATTTATAATTATTCATCTTATTTCACAGTAAGCTACCCCTTTAAAAGTCTACCATTATTTTTTTTGTATTTTTATTAGCATTTAATTACTAGTGAATATATGGTAATACATTCTTCCCTTTTGAAAAAAATTAGAGCATTGCAGACAAAGTTTTGGTTCTCTTTAATCACTCCCCACAACGCCAGTTCCTTTCTCCCTTCCTCTAAAAAAATCACTTCTAGGAGTTTTGAGGCTATCCTCACTGACTTTTCAGTATACTTTTGCATACATATAAATGTACTCATAGAAAATAAACATGTAGTATTTTTACATGCATGTTTTTAAGAAAACAAATTATATTCTATATATTATTCTGCAGTTTGATTCTTTTCACTCAATAATATAATATTGAACACTTTATACGATTATTATAGATAGTCATTCTTTTTTTTTTTTTTTTTTTTTTGAGACAGGGTCTCCCTCTGTCACTCAGGCTGGAGTGCAGTGGCATGGTGTTGGCTCACTGCAACCTCCACCTCCAGGGCACAAGTGACCCTCCTGCCTCAGCCTCCCAAGCAGCTGGTACCACAGTCACATGCCACCATGCCCTGCTAATTTTTGTATTTTTTGCAGAGACAGGGTTTTGTCATGTTCCTCAAACTGGTCTCAAACTCCTGGGCTCAAGCAATCTGCCTGCCTTGGCCTCCCAAAGTGGTGAGGTTATAGGTGTGAGCCACTGTGCCCGGCCCTTTTTAACTTTTATACAATATTCCATTGTGCTTGGCTATTTCTCTTTTGATAGGCATTTAGATTAATTCCAACCTTTGTCTACTATAGACAATGCTTCAGTAAACTTTTTTTTAATTATACTTTAAGTTTTAGGGTACATGTGCACAACGTGCAGGTTTGTTACATATGTATACATGTGCCATGTTGGTGTGCTGCACCCATTAAGTCGTCATTTAACATTAGGTATATCTCCTAATGCTATCCCCCTCCCCCCACCCCACAACAGGTCCTGGTGTGTAATGTTCCCCTTCCTGTGTCCACGTGTTCTCATTGTTCAATTCCCACCTATGAGTGAGAACATGCGGTGTTTGGTTTTTCAGTAAACATTCTTGTACAGTTCTCATTATACACACATACAAGTACCTTATAGTCAATAAACATTCGGTCGTGCAAATAAAAAGTCAATATGCAATCTTAGAATGAGGTTTAGGTACAATGAAACTCTAAATTTACCGTTTAAAAATTGTCATCATCGTGGGCATTTTGCACCTCTGTAGATTATTATGGTGTGGCCCTGAGACTGGGGCTTGTGGAAGAACTGACTGAAGATGTTTCCTTGGCCAGGGAGAGAGAGAGAGAGCTGTAAAACACCCTTGTGAAAGGTAGGGCTGGGATACTCAAGACTGTGCTATCTAACACAGTAGCCACTAGCCACAAGTGGCTATTTAATTTTAAACTTAAGTGTGTTAAAGTTAAATCAAATTAAAAATTCAGTTCCTCAGTTATAGAAGCCACATTTTAAGTGCTCAAAAGCCACATATAATCAGTGGCTACCATATTGAGTGCGAATACAGAACATGTCCATCATTAAAGAAAGTTCTGGCCAGGCGCAGTGGCTTACGCCTGTAACCCCAACACTTTGGGAGGCTGAGACAGGTGGATCACCTGAGGTCAGGAGTTCAAGACCAGCCTGGCCAACATGGTGAAACCCTGTCACTACTAAAAATACAAAAATCAGCCGAGCGTGTTGGCAGGCACCTGTAATCCCAGCTACTCAGGAGGCTGAGGCTGGAGAATCGCTTGAACCTGGGTGGTGGAGGTTGCAGTGAGCCGATATTGTGAATTCAAGTCAGGCTCAGTAGCTCACGTCTGTAACCCCAGAACTTTGGGAGGCCATTTGGAAGATTGAGGCAGGAAGATCACTTGAGCCCAGGAGTTCAAGTCTGCATTGAGCTATGATGGCACCACTGCACTCCAGCTTGGGTGACAGAGTGAGACTGTCTCAAAAAGAAAAAGAAAAAGCAAGTTCTGTGGGACAGTACTACTCCAGAAGTTATTTTATATAGTCCTATCTAGTAGCCAATTTAAAATTTCCTTTCCTGAAATGTAATTACTTCCATTATTACTAAACCTTTGATGAAGTATTTTAAATAATAGTAAGAGCTAACATTTATTGAATGTATGTATTGGTTAGTTTTCTTTGTTGCAGAAAACAGATTTCACTCTTGCTAATTTAAACATAAAAGGATTTATTAAGGGGTATGGATAGCTCATGGACTCATTAGGGAAGTTGAAGAAATAGACACTAGGATAAATATCCAGGAATGACTTTCAAAATTACACTGTGGTTGGGCACAGTGGCTCATGCTTGTAAACCTAGCACTTTGGGGGGCCAAAGCAGGAAGAGCGTTTGAAGCCACTAGTTTGAGGCTGCAGTGAGCTACGATTGCACCACTGCACTCCAGCCTGGGTGACAGAATGAGACCCTGACTCAAAAAAGAAAAGAAAAGAATTGCTAAGCAGCCACCACAGCTGTTGGCTCCAGAATAGCATTGCCTCTGCCCTGACCAGTGCCAGCAAAATGGATGCTTCCTGCTCTGTCTCCCCCTCCACGTGACTCATAGTTATCAAGTCTCACACAGTACAATCCAAATCATAAACAGAACCAGAGCTGCAAGGGTGTTTGAGAAATGTCATATTTAGCTTTCCATCCTCTACAGTCCAGGAAGCAAATCTAGAAAGGGGTTGGGATGGGTTTTGAGTGACCCAGTCCAAAGCATCTGCCACAACTTGCCAGGTGCCAAGTCTTGGAAACATGCCTGATCTCATTTCATTCTTACAAGAATTCAGTGAGGCAGGGACTATAATCATCCCCATTTGACAGATGAGGACACGACAGTCATGGTGGGGTGCATGGTATAACCTTAGTTGTGCATTGGAGAATTAAAAGAGGACCGGCTGGGCGCAGTGGCTCACACCTGCAATCCCAGCACTTTGGGAAACTGAGGTGAGAGGATCACTTGAAGCCAGGAGTTCAAGACCAGCAGCATAGCAAGACTCTGTCTCTATTTTACTTAAAAAGAAATAGACCGGGTGCGATGGCTCATACCTGAAATCCTAGCACTTTGGAAGGCAGAGGTGGGCGGATCACCTGAGGTCAGGAGTTCAAGACCAGCCTGGCCAACATGGTGAAACCCCATCTCTACTAAAAATACAAAACTTAGCTGGGCGTGGTGGCAGATGCCTGTAATCCCAGCTACTCGGGAGGCTGAGGCAGGAGAATCGCTTGAACCCAGGAGGTGGAGGTTGCAATGAGCCGAGATCGCGCCACTGCACTCCAGCCTGGGCGACAGAGTGAGACTCTGTCTCAAAAAAAAAGAAAAGAAAAGAAATAAAGATGGGCAACATAGCAAGATTCTGTCTCTATTTTATTTAAAAAAGAAAAAAAAGAGAAGGGCTTCTTGTCTACTCTTGGAGAGAAGTAACATAAAGAGGAGAAGAGAAAGCTGCCTGGAGAAATTGGGATGACCCATGAGAAGAAAGCATCAATCCCAACGTGTCAAAGGACAGCCAGGATGAATCTGAGAGCTCATGAGTAGTGCTGTTGAATGCGTTCATGCCAGATTCCAGAGTCCCTGCTCTCTCCCTAAAACCATGCTGCCCCCAATGGAAAGAACCAGAACTTACCCACCCATAGCAAAGACAGAAGGACACGGCCCTGGTTGTATTCCCACAACTCCACTTGCATCTGTGGCACAGAACACAGTGAGAAAGTGAAAAAACTCAACAGGGAAGGCTTCCAGAAGCAGGTGAGTTGTCAGTCGCTTTTAGAAGAGAAGCGAAGTGTTAGGCTGTGAGAAAGCAGATGATTTCAGATGGAAGAATTCACACGCCCTCATGCCAAGACTCAGAAGCTGAGAGGGGCAGCCACTAGAGCAAATCAAAGCAATGCCCTTGACTGAGGATAAAGGAAGTGAGTCAGTGTTTGGGAGAAAACAATAAATAAACTGGTGGGGAACCGGGGTGTGCGGCAGAATAAGATCATGTGAAACCCTTCCTGTGATTATAGTTTTATGAAAATATTAAACTATCTATTGAAATTCATTTTGGAACAGAATGAAAATCTTGGAGACTGGATCCTGGAAACTTTTTAACAAATGCCCCCACATGATTGATTGCCTGTCTTGGCTGTCTTGATTTGCCTGTTCTGAGGTCTAGCCTCCATCTCATCTCTCCTTCCCTGGAACCTTGCCCCAGCTTTTGGGACTTGGGGGCTGGGGCCTGTTTGCATCATTCTTTCCTGAAGACATTCTAATATGATCAAAAGATAACTATGGGCTGGGTGGGATGGCTCACACCTGTAGTCCCAGCTACTTGGGAGGCTGAGGTGGGAGGATATCTTCAGCCTGGGAAGTCCAAGTCTGCAGTGAGCCATGACCGAGCCACTGCACTCCAGCCTGGGCAGCAGAGCAAGCTCTTGTCTCAAAGAAGATAACCAGCCAGGCGCGGGGGCTCACACCTGTAATCCCAACACTTTGGGAGGTTGAGTCGGGCGGATCATGAGGTCAGGAGATCAAGACCATCCTGGCTAACACGGTGAAACCCCATCTCTACTAAAAATACAAAAAATTAGCCAGGCATGGTGGCAGACGCCTGTAGTCCCAGCTACTCAGGAGGCTGAGGCAGGAGAATGACGTGAACCTGGGAGGCAGAGCTTGCATTGAGCCGAGATCACGCCTGCACTCCAGCCTGGGTGACAGAGCGAGACTCCGTCTCAAAAAAAAAAAAAAAAGACAACTATGTCAGGGGAAGAATACATTTCTTATAAAAATATAGGAAATGAATCTTTTGGTGCTGGGAGATTCTGAATAATTTGAGAAGGGGTGTCTACACCCCAGAAATGTGGCTGTATGTATGATTCTTATATTGCTTAAGCTTTATTAAACAATATTATTAACTCATATTTTAACAAGTCTTTCCAGTTGCCAGGTCCCATGCTAAGCAATTTGATAATGTATTATATCATTTAACCCTCACAGCAATTAACAGTCTTAGAGGTCTTTGGTATCCCCATCTTACAGATGAGGAATCCCAAAGTACTGGGATTACATGCATGAGCCACCACGCCCGGCCGATATATATATATTATAAAAGTAATAGATTAGTGCATTCTCAGAAGAGCCCTCTCGCTAGAATAGCCAGAGCTCTCTGACCTTCTCAAGGCTCCTCCTAGTGAGAAAGACTGAGCAGCAAGAACAGAGACTTGTTGTGGTTAAATGTTAACTTGTGTTTATTTCTCTACAACTGCCTGTTGTTTAATTTGGCCAACCCAGTGCAGATTCTTTCGTAAGCCTGTATGTAATTTCTGAACACCAGACCTACGACCTTTACACACATGCTAAACATTTATAGAGTGGGAGCGTTCTTTTTCTCCATCAGTGAGTTAAGTAAATACCAACATCCTCCCCCCTGAAAAAAAGTATTCTTTGATCTACACTAAAGATAAACTGGCAGTAATTCACTGACCAGCTGAGGGTTTTAAAGCAGATTCTTTGATAAGCCAGTTAATTTCAGAGGGCACTGGGGCTTGTTTCTTCCTGATACTGGGTTTTAAGTCATAAAGGCTTAGCATTACAGAAATGGAAAGAGAACTTTTAACATGATCTCATCAAACCCCCTCAATTTAATGGATGAGAAAACTGTGAGCTCCAGAGAGAGAAAAGGCAGTTTAACTCGCAGATGTGTTAACAAAGAGCCATACAGAAATGTTTTGTTACACAACAATTCCTGCGGCATTTTAAGCCTTCTGTGGTTATTGCGTTTTGTTTCCTTTATGATCTGGTGATGCAAGGACAGTATTTGGGCCTGGAAATGGAAACCTGGGGACGCTAATCCTCAGCTTTGTGCTGACGTCAGAGATATTTGAGAATCGTTGCTGCCCCCTGCTGGAAGTTTAAGATTTCATGGTCTCTCAAGATTATATGGAATTTTTGTAATGGTTTAAAAAATTGGAAAAGTAAGCTTTCCTTTGGTCAAAATTTTTAGGCCAGGTGTAGTGGCTCATGCCTGTAATCCCAACAGTTTGGGAGGCTGAGGTGGGAGGATCCATTGAGGCCAGGAGTTTGAGACCAGTCAGGGCAATATAGCAAGACCCCCTCTCTACAAAAAATACATAAAAATAAAATAAAATAAAATTTTGAACCAGCATGAAAGAGTATAAAGAGAAAAGAAAAATCTTCCCTTCCTAGTTCCATTTTCTAGTTCTATTGCTAGCAATTTTTTAACATTCTTTCACAATTTTTTCTATGAATGTATCTATATATATATATATCCATATGTATATAATTTTTATCCACAAGTAGGATAATACTGATACCCTGTTTTGAAACTTGCTTTTCTTTCTTTTTTCTTTTTTTTTGAGACAAAGTCTCGCTCTGTCGCCCAGGCTGGAGTGCAGTGGTGCAATCTCTGCTCACTGCAACCTTCTCCTGGGTTCAAGTGATTCTCCTGCCTCAGCCTCCTGAGTAGCTGGAATTACAGGCGTGTGCCACCACACCTAGCTAATTTCTGTAATTTTAGTAGAGACAAGGTTTCACCATGTTAGCCAGGCTGGTCTCGAACTCCTGGCCTCAAGTGATCTGCCTGCCTCGACCTCCCAAAGTGGTGGGATTGCAGGCACGAGCCACTGCACCTAGCCGAAACTTGCTTTTCTCTTTTTTATTTTCTTCATTTGGAAGAGGTAATACATTCAAAAGATTCCTAAGTTTAAAAAATTGTCTTTTACATCTTTTCAAAGCTGTATGTAGTGACAAACCTCATTCCTTCTGATGGAGGCATAATATTCCATTGCTTGAATGTATCATAAATTATTTATTCAGTCCTCTTTTGATGGATTAAAAAGTACATCTCGGTAAGAATAGGGACTTTATTATAGGTACTTTGTTTTTGCTGTTCCTGATAGTGGGAATATGTCAACAGAATGTGTCTAATGAATGAATAGACATTTGCCAACTCTCTAATATTTGTCCATTTCAAAAATGCTGCATTGTTGGGATCTCAAATCTAAGCAAAAGAAAAAAATTGCTGCCCTGAATATCTTTGTGCCTACATTGTTGGCATAGGATGGAGCTGGGAGAAACCATAGGTTCAAAATACATGTGAATTTTAAGTTTTGATAGATACTGCCAAATTGTTACTTTTGATGAGGAATATAATAATTTGATCATTTCCCTACTTGACAGGGCATCAAAACCAGAATCTCCCAGAGAGTTTAATTTAAAATAGCTCCTTTCTGCGCACCCCCTCCATGCTAATTCAGCAGGTAGGGGAGGAATCAGAATAGATTCCTAGTTCAGCAGTTAGGAGAAGAATCAGAAATATACAAAATTCCCATTGCTGGGGAATCTGTATATATAACGATGCTCCCTCAGGACTGGGAAGGGCCACATAATCTATCCATTTCTTGCCATGTAGTAGCAGATGGGAATGTGCTCATATAGCCTAATCTTAATAGGGTTACTCACATGTTACGCACTCCATGTTTACTGACTGCCTGCTGAGTGCAAGACCCTATGCTCCCTCTTCCAGAGGCAAGACAGAACTGGGGGTGTGGTGTGGATTTCTCCACTCCCACGGGTGGCAATGCTGGGGTGAGTGGGTGCGTTAGTTGCTGTACCTGCTGGCCCCTGGCTGGGGGTTGGGAAGAAAGCAGTGTGTGGGTGAAACTCAGGAATCCTGCAGCACTCCAGTGCCCAGAATTTTTAAAAGGCCCAGCCCTGCTCTCAGCAACATGTATCTATCTCTAGTAAAAACAAAGCTGGCGCTTCTGCTAGATCTTCTTGGGTGACTTCTACCAGGGTTTCCCCGAAAGCTGGTATGTGGGACAGGGCACAGACATCTCCCTCTGGGCCCTACTAAACCAGTTAAAATAAGCA
Organism: Homo sapiens; assembly: GCF_000001405.40. Classification (NCBI taxonomy): domain Eukaryota; kingdom Metazoa; phylum Chordata; class Mammalia; order Primates; family Hominidae; genus Homo; species Homo sapiens. Next base: position 69,394,219 of record NC_000016.10, on the reverse strand, counting down.
GATAAAACCCACATGCGAAATGCGCCATGGACAGTCAACAGATGACACTCATAAAAAGAGATGACAGATTTCACCATCATTCACGACCCACCCAAATGTCACGTCCTCTGGGCTCTTTCCAAGGCAGCTCCTGTCCCAAGTGGGTGTTGTTTCCATGCAGTGCATGGCACTGGAAATATAACAACAAAAGAAAAAAAGATACTACCTCTGCTCCCAGAGGCTATGTAAAATGTCTCCTATCTGCTTTACTGCATGATCCCATCTGATGCTCCCAACCAACAGTGCAGGAAATTCAGAGAAGTTAAATAACCAGATAAAAGCCACACAATTTGTTTAGTACAGTGGTCTTCACATTTTTTTGCTTGCATATTCCATCAAATAATTTTGAAAAACTGTATGTCCCTAGAAACAAGTCTACACATACATGGTTACTTAATTTATAACAAAGGTAGCCCTACAGAGAGTAGAGAAAAGAGATATTTTTAATAAATGGTGCTAGGATAGCTGGATACCTATATGGAAAAAAATGAAATTGGACCCTGCTTCATATCATTTGCAAGCATCAAATTCAGGTGGATAAAAGACTAATACGTGAAAGGCAAAAATCTACAACTTTTTAGAAGATAACATAAGCTAATATCTTCATGACTTCTGAATAAGGAAGGATTTATTAAACAAGCAACTAACAGCACTCACAATGAAAGAAAATGATAGATTCAGCCAGGTGCAGTGGCTCACGCCCATAATCCTAGCACTTCAGGAGGCTGAGGCAGGAGGATCCCTTGAGCCCGGGAGGTTGAGGCTGCAACAACCCAAATGTCTATCGATAAGAGAATGGGTAAATCAATTGTGGCTTTTTTTTTTTTTGAGATGGAGTTTCGCTCTTGTTGCCCAAGATGGTGTGCAATGGCACGATCTTGGCTCACTGCAACCTCCACCTCCCAGGTTCAAGCAACTCTCCTGCCTCAGCCTCCCGAGTAGCTTGCATTACAGGTGCACGCCACCATGCCCAGCTAATTTTTTTGTATTTTTAGTAGAAACACGATTTCACCATGTTAGCCAGGCTGGTCTCAAACTCCTGAACTCAGATGATCCGCCCGCCTCAGCCTCTCAAAATGCTGGGATTACAGGCATAAGCCACCACCCCCGGCCTAAATTGTGGATTTTTTATATAATGGAACGCTATTCAGCTATAAAAAGGAACAACATGGATGAATCTCAAAAACAGTTATGCAAAAGAAACCAGACGCAAAGAGTATCTAGTGTATGATTCTGTTTCTGTGAAGTTCAAGAACAGACAAAACTAACCTAATCTCTCATTCTATCTTGGTTAATATCAAACAGATCTGGATTTAAAATCTGATTCAGGCACGTTGGGCGAGTCACTTAACTTTCTAAAGCCTCAGTTTTTTCTTCTCTAAAACTGGCACAATGGCTGGGTGTGGTGGCTCACACCTACAATCCCAACACTTTCAGAGGCCCAGCCAGGTGGATCATTTAATTCCAGGAGTTCGAGACCAGCCTGGTTAACATGACGAAACCTCATCTCTACAATATATACCAAAATTAGCCGGGTGCAGTGGCACACACCTGTGGTCCCAGTTACTGGGGTTGGGGGGTGCTGAGGCAGGAGACTTGCTTGAGTCCAGGAGGTAGAGGCTACAGTGAATCGAGATCACGCCACTGCACTCCAGCCTGGGCAATAGAGGAAGACTCTGCCTCAAAACAAAACAAAAGCTGGCACAGAAATACCTCTTTATAGGATTTTAGTGCAGACTAAACGAAATAAAGGATGTAAGGCACCCCAGCACACAGTAAGTGATATATAATAAATGTTCTCTCTCTCTCTCCCCGCGTGTGCGTGTGTGTGTGTGTGTGTGTGTGTTTAAGGTAGAGTTTTGCTCTGTCACCCAGCCTGGAGTGCAGTGGCACAATCATAGCTCACTGTAACCTCAAACTCCTGGGCTCAAGCAATCCTCCTGCCTCAGCCTCTTAAGTAGCTAGGACTGCAGGCCACCACCATGCCTAGATAATTTTTTAATTATTTGTAGAGACAGGGTCTTGCTACGTTGTTTTGAACTCCTGGCCTCAAGGAATCCTCCTGCTTTGGCCTTCCAAAGTGCTGGGATTCTAGGTGTGAGTCACCACACCTGGCAAAAAATATATTGTATATAATCGTTATTCCCATAAATTTGTGGTTATACCGGCTGGGCGCAGTGGCTCACACCTGTAATCCCAGCACTTTGGGAGGCCGAGATGGGTGGATCACAAGGTCAGGGGATCGAGACCATCCTGGCTAACACGGTGAAACCCTATCTCTATTAAAAAATACAAAAAATTAGCAGGGTGTGGTGGCGGGTGCCTATAGTCCCAGCTACTCCAGAGGCTGAGGCAGGAGAATGGCGTGAACCCAGGAGACGGAGCTTGCGGTGAGCCGAGATTGCGCCACTGCACTCCAGACTGGGAGAGAGAGCAAGACTCCGTCTTAAAAAAAAATTGTGGTTATACCATTATGTTTCTATCTTTTTTCTCCTCTGATCATATCTTAAGCACAGAATAATCTTGGGGTACATAGTTAGATATTTGTTCTTATTGAGAGGAGAAAATCTTTATTTTATTTTTATTTTTATTTTTGAGACAGAGTCTCCCTCTGTTGCCCAGGCTGGAGTGCAGTGGCACAATCTTGGCTCACTGCAGCCTCCACATCCCAGGTTCAAGCGATTCTCGTGCCTCAGCCTCCTGAGTAGCTGGGATTACAGGTGTGCACCACCATGCCCAGATAATTTTTGTATTTTTCGTAGAGACGGGGTTTCGCCACGTTGGCCAGGCTGATCTCGAACTCCTGTCCTCACGTGATCCACCCGCCTTGGCCTCCCAAAGTGCTGGGCTTACAGGCATGAGGCACCACGCCTGGTCAGAAAACCTTCGTAACAGAATAAAATTCCTTAATATGAACAAACCATGATTTACTTAATAATTTTATTATCAGATCTTTTCAGTTCAAGTTTTTTCTACTTTATAAGTAATGAAGTGATAAAAATCCTTGTACTTACGACTTGTTACTTATCTGTGATTATTCCTGCACGATGACTTTCTCAACAATGGAATTTTTATGGCTGTTGCTGATTTTTTTCTGGGTTGCTCTTTAGAAAGGTTGTACTGATTTAACACTGCCACCAGCACTGGCTGAAAGGGTCTGCTTCACAGTACCTTCCCTGACAATGGGGATTATTAACTTTTTTTTTTTTTTTGAGACAGAGTCTCGCTCTGTCGCCCAGGCTGGAGTGCAGTGGCGTGATCTCAGCTCACTGCAAGCTCCGCCTCCCTGGTTCACACCATTCTCCTGCCTCAGCCTCCCGAGTAGCTGGGACTACAGGGGCCCACCACCACACCCGGCTAATTTTTTGTATTTTTAGTGGAGACAGGGTTTCACCGTGTTAGCCAGGATGGTCTTGATCTCCTGACCTTGTGATCCACCCGTCTCGGCCTCCCAAAGTGCTGGGATTACAGGCATGAGCCACCGCGCTTGGCCTTTTTTTTTTTTTTGAGACAGAGTCCTGCTTTGTCGCCCAGGCTGGAGTGCAGTGGCACAATCTCGGCTCACTGCAAGCTCTGCCCCCCGGGTTCACATGCCCGGCCGATTATTAACTTTTAAAACCTTTCTAGTGGAGGCTGGGCGTGGTGGCTCACGCCTATAATCCCAGCACTTTGGGAGGCCGAGGTGGGCAGATTGCCTGAGGTCAGGAGTTCGAGACCAGCCTGACCAACATGGGAAAACCCCATCTCTACTAAAAACACAAACAAATTAGCGGGTGTGGTGGTGGGCGCCTGTAATCCCAACTACTTGGGAGGCTGAGGCAGGAGAATCTCTTGAATACGGGAAACGGAGGTTGCAGTGAGCCGAGATCACACCATTGCACTCCAGCCTGGGCAACAGAGCGAGACTCTGCCTCAAAAAACAAAACAAAACAAAAAACCTTGCTAGTGACCAGGCGTGGTGGCTCACGCCTGTAATCCCAGCACTTTGGGAGGCCGAGGTGGGTGGATCACCTCAGGTCAGGAGTTCAAGACCAGCCTGACCAATATGGTGAAACCCCATCTCTGCTAAAAAATACAAAATTAGCTGGGTGCGGTGGTGCATGCCTGTAATCCCAGCTACTTAGGAGGCTGAGGCAGGAGAATCGCTTGAACCCAGGAGGTGGAGGTTGCAGTGAGCCGAGATCACACCGTTGCACTCCAGCCTGGGCAACAAGAGCGAAACTCCGTCTCAAAAACAAAAACAAAAACAAACAAAAAAAACCTTGCTAGGCCCAGCTTGGTGGCTCAGACCTGTAATCTCAGCACTTTGGGAGGCCTAGGCGGGAAGACTGCCTGAGCCCAGGAGTTTGAGACCAGCCTGGCCAACATGGCAAAACCCTGTCGCTACAAAAAAATAAAAAAATAATAATTGGCCAGATATGGTGGCATGTACCTGTAGTCCCGGCTACTCAGGAGGCTGAGGAAGGAGGATCACTGGAGCCCAGGAGGTCGAGGCTGCGGTGAGCCATGATCACACCACTGCACTCTGGCCTGGGTGACAGAGCAAGATCTTGTCTCAAAAAAAAAAACCTTGCTAGCTTGATTGGCATGTGTCAGGCAATTTTTTTTTTTTTTGAGACTGAGTTTCGCTCTTTTCGCCCAGGCTGGCATGCAATGGCATGTTCTCGGCTCACTGCAACCTCCACCTCCTTGGTTCAAGTGATTCTCCTGCCTCAGCCTCCCAAGTAGCTGGGATTACAGGTGCCCACCACCATGCCCGGTTAATTTTGTATTTTTAGTAGACATGGGGTTTCACCATGTTGGCCAGGCTGGTCTTGAACTCCTGAACTCAGGTGGTCCTCCCACCATGGCCTCCTAAAGTGCTGGGATTACAGGCGTGACCCACCGTGCCTGGCCAGTTATTATTATCATTATTATTATTACTATTGTTATTTTAAGACAGAGCTCACTCTATCCAGGCTGGAGTGTAGTGGTACCATCTCAGCTCACTGCAACCTCTGCCTCCCAAGCGATTCTCATGTCTTGGCTTCCCAAAGTGCTGGGATTACAGTCGTGAGCCACCGCACCCAGCATTGTCAGACATTATTTACAGGCCTTATTTCATCTTTATTTTTTAAGACGGAGTCTGGCTCTGTTGCCCAGGCTGGAGTGCGGTGGCGGGATCCTGGCTCACTGCAACCTCCGCCTCCCAGGATCAAGCAATTCTCCTGCCTCAGCCTCCCGAGTAGCTGGGATTACAGGCTTCAGCTACCACACCCAGTTAATTTTTGTATTTTTAGTACAGATGGGGTTTCACCATGTTGGCCAGGTTGGTCTCCAACTCCTGACCTCAGGTTATCCACCCACCTTGGCCTCCGAAAGTGCTGGGATTACAGGTGTCAGCCACAGCGCCCGGCCGGTATAAGCTGTTTTTATTAACTCATCCAGGACCTGCCTAGAAAGTCTCCTACTCTCCTCTATCAAAAAAAACTCATTTTTCTTTTATTTTTTCAAAATTAAGGTATGACTTACATAAAGTGCGCAAATCATAAGTGTCCTGCTTGATGGATTTTCTCCTCATTTTTCAAAGTCCCATCATCCTCTGGTTATCCCAAAATCATTCTCTTCTTTATCTACCACAAATACCCAACTGTCTCTTTAAGGGAACTTCTTTGAAAACCTTAAGTGCTTCCTGCTTTCCTGTAATCCCAGCTACTCGGGAGGCTGAGGCAGGAGAATCAATTGAACCTGGGAGATGGAGGTTGCAGTGAGCCGAGATTGCGCCATTACACTCAAGCCTGGGCGACAAGAGCAAAACTCTGTCTCAAAAAACAAACAAACAAACAAAAAACAGTTTACACTTACTGAGCCCTTACCACAAGCTGAGCCCTTCGCTAAAGGCATTAGAAATAGCAACTCATTGACTTTTCGTATAATTTCCAAGAGGTACCTTCATTATTTGTGCTTGACAGATGTGGAAACAGAGGCACAGAGACAGTTAAGGGATTTGTTCAAGGTTACACAGCTAGCAAGTAGAGGAGTTAGCACTGGCCAGGCGCAGTGGCTCACGCCTATAATCTCAGCACTTTGGGAGGCCACAATGGGTGGATCACTTGAGGCCAGGAGTTCGAGACAGCGTGGCCAACATGGTGAAACCCCGTCTCTACTAAAAATACAAAAATTAGCCAGGCGTGGTGGCACACGCCTGTAATCCCAGCTACTCGGGAGGCTGAGGCAGGAGAATCACTTGAACCCGGGAGGCGGAGGTTGCAGTGAGCCAAGATCGTGCCACTGCACTCCAGCCTGGGCAACAGAACAAGACTCTGTCTCAGAAAAAAAAAAAAAAAGTTAGAATTGAAAGGCAAGTGATTTGGCACCAGGCATAGTAGCTCAACCCTGAAATCCCCAGCACTTTAGGAGACCAGGGTGGGAGGAGTGCTTGAGGCCAGGAGTTCGAGACCAGCCTGGGCAACACGGCAAGACCCCTAATTCTACGAAAAAAAATTTCAAATTACCCAGGCATGGTGGCACACGCTGGTAGTCTTAGCTACTTGGGAGGTTGAGGCAGGAGGATCACTTGAGCCCAGGAGTTCAAGGCTGCAGTGAGCACGATTGTGCCACTGCACTCCAACCTGCATTACAGAGTGAAACTTTCTCAAAAAAACTAAAATAAAGGCAAGTGATTTGGTTCCTGGTTAAGGCAAGCAGGCTGGAATGGAAAAGCAGCCATGGGCCGGGCGCAGTGGCTCACGCCTGTAATCCCAGCACTTTGGGAGACCGAGGCGGGCGGATCACGAGGTCAGGAGATGGAGACCATCCTGGCTAACACAGTGAAACCCCGTCTCTACTAAAAATACAAAAAATTAGCTGGGCATGGTAGTGGGCGCCTGTAGTCCCAGCCACTCGGGAGGCTGAGGCAGGAGAATGGCATGAACCCAGAGGCGGAGCTTGCAGTGAGCCGAGATCGTGCCACTGCACTCCAGCTTGGGCGACAGAACGAGATTCCATCTCAAGAAAAACAAAGAAAAAAAAGAAAAGCAGCTATGATCACCAAAGATCAGTCAGACCTAGAGGCCTCTTCTCTCATCCCGGAACGTGTACCTCATAGAACTTTTGGCTTTCCAGGATACTATACATATTAAGGTCCTGATATTAATTCACAGGTCCAGCATGGGATTCACATCCTCAAGGACATGGCCACCTGCACTTCTGAGTTGTCTTTGAGTGGCCCCAAACTGGATCTTTGCAGGTTCCAGACTAGTGGGGCTGGTAGGACAATCTTTGAAGCTAGACCAGTTACTGGGCCTCTCAGGAAGAGGCACCCACAACCACCATCCTGAACTAAGGTCTGAGCTGGAGGTTCTCCATTTGGTCAAGTGCCAGTTGGTGAATTCCAAGAGTATCAGAGATATCTGAAAGTGACTCAGACCCTCTATGGGACTATGGGTGGTCCTTTTGCTTATTTTTCTAATTGTTCTACAACAAAATGTGTTATTTTTGTGATTACAAAGAGTATATGTCTAGCGGCTGGGTTGCCAGGTGCATTCTATTTATTGGTATCACACTGGTCTTTGCTTTATAATTACAGTATTTGTTAAAATACAAATTTGTTTAAAGACTTTCCTCTGTGTATGCTCTCTTCCACAATTTTCAAAGTGTTTAATAAGGTGCACATATTTGGTTTTCTTTTTTTTCTTTTCTTTTTTTTGAGACGGAGTTTCGCTCTTGTTGCCCAGACTGGAGTGCAATGGCGCGATCTCGGCTCACCGCAACCTCCGCCTCGCGGGTTCAAGCGAGTCTCCTGCCTCAGCCTCCTGAGTAGCTAGGATTACAGGCATGCGCCACCACGTCTGGCTAATTTTGTATTTTTAGTAGAGATGGGGTTTCTCCATGTTGGTCAGGCTGGTCTCGAACTCCCGACCTCAGGTGATCCACCCGCCTCAGCCTCCCAAAGTGCTGGGATTACAGGCGTAGAGCCACCGATCCCGGCCTGTTTTTCAGTCTCTAATACACTGTTCCGCGTCCCTAGCATAGTAGCTGTTTTCTGTAAATTCGGAGCGAAGTTGACTGCAAAACCCGCCGGGTTCACCGGCCTGGGCGGTGTGGACTTCAAGCCCCAGGAGGCATTGCGGCCGGCACATCGGGAACTACGGCGTCTGAGAAGGGGGCCGGGCCCTCCGGTCCTTTCCCTCCCAGAAGCCCGCGGGCGGCTCGGAACGCTGTTTCTATCATGGCCGCGGGAGCCGGGACGGCGGGCCCCGCTTCCGGCCCGGGCGTCGTGCGTGACCCAGCGGCGTCACAGCCGAGGAAGCGGCCCGGCCGGGAGGGCGGGGAGGGCGCGCGGCGATCGGACACGATGGCGGGAGGAGGCGGGAGTAGCGACGGCAGCGGGCGGGCAGCTGGCAGGCGGGCGTCCCGCAGTAGCGGGCGGGCCCGGCGGGGGCGCCACGAGCCGGGGCTGGGGGGCCCGGCGGAGCGCGGCGCGGGGGAGGCACGGCTGGAAGAGGCAGTCAATCGCTGGGTGCTCAAGTTCTACTTCCACGAGGCGCTGCGGGCCTTTCGGGGTAGCCGGTACGGGGACTTCAGACAGATCCGGGACATCATGCAGGGTGAGGGCCGGGCCGGGGGAGGGGGGTTGGAGCGCCGGGGAAGGGGGTCCGGGGGACCGGGAGTCGGGACTGGGGGTCGCCCAGCCAACGATGTCTTCTCTCCCAGCTTTGCTTGTCAGGCCCTTGGGGAAGGAGCACACCGTGTCCCGATTGCTGCGGGTTATGCAGTGTCTGTCGCGGATTGAAGAAGGGGAAAATTTAGGTATGGCTATTTTTGTGTTCTTCTCTGGGCTTACTTGCGTAGGGTTTTGTTTTAAAACTTATATCTAGAACTGAAGGATTCCAGGTTAAAGTGCGATAGTTTCCATCAGAGTGGTCTTTTTCATTCTACGATGGGTCTGTTTTCTGGCTCGACTGGCTCTAGTTTTCTCCGGTTAAGGTTGTCTTGGCTGCTTTTCTGTGTTTTTTTTAAATCTTCTCCCACCTGTTAATTGCTCACCCCAACTTTGCTCCTGTCTAAAGTGAGTTATGTTCATATGGACATCTTTTTTCCCCCATGGTAGAGAGTTTTTCAGAGTGGAAGTACTCTGACATTTTTCCCCTCTGAATTTAACTTGAAAGCTATTTAGCTGTTGTCAGTTTCTTGCCACTCGTATCTGAGGAGGATGGGTATATTCTGAATTTGAGAGGCAAATGCAGGTATTTAAAAATAATTTTTTTGCCTGTCTTGACAGGTGTTAAAAAATGGTCACGTTAAATTCATTGATTTGAATTTGGACCCTTATCGTGTATGTCAACCTGTAGCAAATATGTCAAAAAATTAAATGCAAATCTTACCATATTTGCATGCTCCATTTCCATAAATATATATATATAATTTTTGGACATAACTTTTTTACCCTTAGAAAAGAGCTTAAAAATGAAAACTGTGCTTTGTCCTAGACTGTTCCTTTGATATGGAGGCTGAGCTCACACCACTGGAATCAGCTATCAATGTGCTGGAGATGATTAAAACGGAATTTACACTGACAGAAGCAGTGGTCGAATCCAGTAGAAAACTGGTCAAGGAAGCTGTAAGGCTCTATTTTTATATCTTTTTTCTTTGACCAAAAATCAAGGGTCTTTGAGGATACAGCACTTACTCTTTACTGTGTGGGGCAGAGGAAAACAGCAATGGGGAGAGATTGAGCAAGCAAGAAAGCACACACACAGACGTTATTTCTTCAGGTGTCTCCTTTCCCACCCAGGCTTGGGAAGTAATGGCAGTTGCTCAGTTTTTGTGATTTGGGTGGTCTTCCTTGTGGCTTTGGCATTGAAGCTCTGACATTTTGGAGGTTACTGCACCATTCGGGAGCACTCTACAAGGGCCTTAAGTAACTCTGGCCTAGGGTTTGGTCACCCTTGTTTATAATAAACCAAGGAGATAAACTGGGGCCTTGGAAAATGTGGTACTGACTTTGAGTTCTTTCTGTCTGCAGAAAGAGGGGCTTAGAGAATATCCCTTTTGAACAGATAGATTAGAATCAGAGGTGCTGGGATAATGAGCCAGCTAGCAAAATAGTAATGGTAGAAGAATGATAGAAATCCGGCACAGGCAGTGTTCTTGAATTCAAGAAAAAAGCTAATGGAGTGTCTAGGAATTTGGGATTGTCACTGTGTTGTGGCTCAGGTAGCTTCAAACAGTAGAAATTATTTTAATTTAAAACATAGAAGTGGCTGTGGGAACCAGTTAGAAAAAGATTTTTCTTCCCCCAAAACCAAGGCTGGGGGGTGTGGAAGCAGATGCAGAGGTGAAGATGGAAAACATCAGCTAAGCATTGCCCTGGTGGTAGAAAATAGGGAAATGGTTAAGAAAAGAGCACCCCTAAAAGGATGGGATCCCAAAGATGGGGGTGGGGTAGAAAGAAAAACCTTGCTTCACAAGGAAAACCTGTCTCTTGGCTGTGTACATTGTACTTGGGTACCCTATTAAAAAACAACTAGTGTGCATGAGGTGCACATATTTTATTTATTTAATTAAGGACCTTGGGCAGATACTACTTTTGGTCTGGTAAAGAAATGCTTAAATATTAGTCATTTCCAAGGAAGAATAATTTCAAGAGTACATTTTTAGTATAGGAAAATCAGGTTTAGGTTGAGGGGAGGCATATGCCAGAATAGACATTATCAAGGGAGGAGAAATTCATGCCTACTTTCAGAACTGTTAAGGATCTTTTGAATGGGTACCAGTTTAGAATAATTCATTTAACTTCTATTAAGTACACATTGAGTATCCCTTATCCAAAATACTTGGGAACAGAAGCATTTTGGATTTCAGATTTTGGAATATTTGCATTAAATTTAGTTTGAGCATCCCAAATCCAAAAATCTGAAATCCCAAATGCCCTCAAATCTGAAACTTTTTGAGTGCCAACATGGCACTCAAAGGAAATGCTCATTGGAGCATTTCAGATTTCGGATTTTCAGATTTAGGATGCTCAACCTGTAGCAACTCCTTTAGAACACAAGGGCTATAGATTTGCCATCTGGCCCCTCTTCTGGAAGAGTCTTTGTGGGCTTTCATCTTTCAGCTGCGTATTTATTATTATTATTTAGGCTCATAGAGCTCCTTATTTGGGTGGTTCATTAGGAAAAATCTATTAGAAAAATCTAAGCTCTCAGAGTAGCCATTTTCTTACGTTGACTCTGTTCTCCTTTTCCAGTCTCCACCACGTACTAGATCTTATGCTTATTGTTACTGCAGTGTAACAAGTTACTCCAAGAATAAGCAGCTCAAAACAGTTAATATTATCTTTCAGTTTCCGAGGATCAGGAGTCTATTAGTGATTCTGGCTCAGGGTTTCTCATGAGGTTACAGTCAAGCTGTCAGCTAGGTTTGCAGTCATTTCAAGACTCAACTGCTTCCCTACTCACATAGTTGTTAACAAGACTCACTTTCCTACTGGCTGTTGGCTGGACACTTCAGCTCCTGGCCTCTTCACAGATAAGGCTGCTTGCAACATGGCAGCTTTGTTTTCCTACAGCAAATCATGCAAGAGAGCAAGAACCCAAGGCAGAAGTCTCATTCTTGTAGAGTCTAATCTTGGAAGTGACACATTATCACTTCCACCATATGCTCTTGGTCATACAGACTAGACTCACTCTGGTAGAGTGTGAATGGGACTCCGCAAGAGGTGAGGCGCATTGGGGGCTGCCTTTGAGGTTGGCAACCACAATTACCTTGATCTCCTAGTTGTTAAATGATATTATTTCATCCATCTCTTCAATTTACTTTGTAAAAGTTTCTCATTTACAGTCACGGAATCTGTTAATGATCGGGAAAATTCTACAGACGCCTAGGTTCAGTGAGCCTTGCTCATGCATTTAAGCTTTGTAAAGTGCCAAAACAATTTATTTAAAAGTATATTGAATCTTTCGCAAAGTTTATCAAGTAAGTTATTTGTTAAGTTAGAACCCTCAGTGCATGGTCTAGGGATCTCTGGAGGTCCCCAGGACCCTTTCAGAGAAGCCATGAGGTCAAAACTGTTTTCATAAGCAGAACCAAAACATTATTTGACTTTTTCAATGCATTGGCATTTGCATTGATGGTACAAAAGCAAGGATGAGTAAAATGGGTGATTCCTTAGCGTGATCAAGATGGTAGTAATTGTACTAGTAGTCATTGTATTCTTCACTGCCACAATTTTTTTTAAAACTACCAATTTTAATTAAGAATGTTAGTCACAGTTGTTTAAAAGCTCAGAACTCCCATTAAAAAAAAATTTAAAAAAGAATGTCTTTGGTAAAGCAGCAAAAACTGGATGAATTTTATTAACTCTAGAGCCTTGAGTAAACATCTTTTCAGGATTTTGTGTGTTGAAATAGAAAGTATGGGCCAGGTGCAGTAGCTCATACCTGTAATCCTAGCACTTTGGGAGGCTGACGTGAGTGGATCGCTTGAGCCTAGGAGTTCCAGACCAGCCTGGGTAACATAGTGAAACCCTGTCTCTACAAAAATACAAAAAATTAGCTGGGTGTGGTGGTGTGCACCTGTGGTGTCAGCTACTTGGGAGGCTGAGGCAGAAGGATCACCTGAGCCTGGGAGGTGGAGGTTGCAGTAAGCTGATATCATACCTCTGTACTCGAGCCTGGACGACAGAGTGAAGACCCTGTCAAAAAAGAAAAAAAAAAAAATAAGAGGAAGTATGACTAAAATGTTTCTGCTGCATACCAAAACATGATGGTTACCAGGAAAAGCACTTGTGTTATTATTAGAGTTGCATGCTGAACTAGCTGCTTTTTTATGGAATACTATTTTACCTGAAGAACAACTGACAAATTACAGTTGTTCACACTTGGGTATTTGGCAGTCATTTTCTTGAGAATGAGTAAAGCAAACCTGTCACATAAAACAAGTGACAGTATTTGTTGCCAGTGATAAAGTTTAAGCTTTCTAGTGAAAAACAGAATTTTGGAAAACTTGTATTCATGTGCTTGATAGCTTCCCAATACTTAGTCTTTTCTGAAGATTGGTAATATTAACAACTGACATTTAAAAAATATTTTTTAGGCTGGGCGCGGTGGCTCACGCCTGTAATCCCAGCACTTTGGGAGGCCAAGGCAGGTAGATCACCTGAGGTCAGGAGTTTGAGACCAGCCTGGCCAACATAGTGAAACCTCGTCTCTACTAAAAATACAAAAAAAATTAGCCAGGCGTGGTGGTGGGCACCTGTAATCCCAGCTACTCGGGAGACTGAGGCAGGAGAATTGCTTGAACCCGGGAGGAGGAGGTTGCCGTGAGCCGAGATCACACCACTGCACTCCAGCCTGGGAAACAGTGAGACTCCATCTCAGAAAAAAAAAAAAAAAAATTAATGAATGTGTCAATATTTGAAGATCTTCATAACTCAGTGAACCAGTATTTTCCAGATGACCAATGCATGATGTTATGAAGTCATCCATGGATGAAAGATCTATTTAAACTACAAGATAGACTGATGGATTTTTTTTTTTTTTTTAGACGTAGTCTCTCTCTGTCGCCCAGGCTGGAGTATAGTGGCGTGATCTCGGCTTACTGCAAGCTCCGCCTCCTGGGTTCAAGCAGTTCTACACCTCAGCCTCCCAAGTAGCTGTTATTACAGGCGCCCACCACCACCCCTGGCTAATTTTTGTATTATTATTAGAAATGGGTTTCACCATCTTGGCCAGGCTGGTCTTGCACTCCTGACCTCATGATCCACCCGCCTTGGCCTCCCAAAGTGCTGGGATTACAGGAGTGAGCCACTGCGCCCAGCTGACTGATGGATTTTAATGTGACAGATTAAGAAAAGTTTACTTACTGCAGTTTCGTGTAGAATCAAACAAGAATAGCCACAGTTTTCTGAAAAAGCTATTAAAATACTCCTCCATTTTCAGCTTCGTATGTGTATAAAGCCAGATTTTTAAAAATGCCTTAACCAAGGGTAGGGCATGGTGGCTCACACCTGTAATCTCAGCACTTTGGGAGGCTAAGACGGGTGGATCACTTGAGGTCAGAAGTTTGAGACTAGGCTGGCCAGTATGGTGAAACCCTGTCTCTACCAAAAATACAAAAATTAGCCGGGTGTGTGGCCCGAGCCTGTAATCCCAGCTACTCGGGAGGCTGAGGCATGAGAATCGCTTGAACCCAGGAGGCGAGGAGGCTGCAGTGAGCTGAGATCACATCACTGCACTCCAGCCTGGGTGACAGAGCAAAACTCTGTCTCAAAAAAAAACCCCACTCTACCAAAATAACACATCACAACAGATTAAATACAGAAGCAGTTATGAGCATCCAGCTATCGTCTATATTAAACCAGATATTAAAGAGATTTTCAAAATGAAAAACAAATGTCACCCTTCTCATTAAACTTTTATCTTAGTAAATGCCGTAATTTTTCATAAGGATGTTATTTATGTTACCTTGTAATTAGTTTATTGTTATTTTCTAATGAATTAATAAATATTTAAAATTTTCTGATTTATGTTTCTAATACAGTGAATATCAGCAAATATAACCTACATAAACAGAAAGCTCTTTGAGGGTCTGCAGTAACGTTTTAAGAAGAATATAAAAGAATCCTGAGACCAAAAATTTGAGACCTGCTTCTGCAAGCTGTTAATTATATCAAGACTATATTTGTTTTCTCCTCATAACTAAAGGAGAGATTGATCTGTTAGGTTTCTTTAGAGAACAAGGGGTAGCAACACGTATAGCATGTCCTTGAAGCATTTATATGTTGCTTTTTACTATGCGGCATTGTCCCCTGCAGCTTTGGCAACAGCAGCTTGATGTTCTTTGAGGGCCTTACCCCATTTGGGGTGCTTGTATATCAGATACACTCTGTTAGAACTTTACATTTGAAACAAAAATATTTGTTGAGGCTTTTTAAACATTGCTGCTTCCCAGAACAGCCTTGCTTCTTTTTGCATCTGCTTCTTTATTCTTCAGTTCTGTGAGTTTGGTCTTCTTCTCTTCCTTTGTTAATAAATGTGCTTTCTGGCATTTCTTCCCAACATAAACCTACCTTACCTATTTTGAAAATCTGTGCTTGGAATTTCCCTTTTATTTAACTTATCCAGAGACCATTGATATTGCTTATACCCTAGAAACCTTAACAAATACGTAAGAGAAGAAACTATACTTACTTCTGGGAACTGCCAAGTGAAAAAGCAGTGATTCATCTTTTTAATTTCCCCCCCCCCACAGGAAATTAATACATAGTTTTAAAAGATAAGCTCATAGCACAACCTTTGAAGCAGACTTCTTCATTTCAATTTGAAAGCATTCATATTTCCTTTCTTGCTTCACACATTAAATATAGAAGGATATGTGTTCCAATTCTGGAGAACATAGAGTAAACATACTCTCTTCTGTCTCTCCCTCTTAATGTAATTATAAGTCTTGGACAGAATGCATGGAGTAGCTATCTGAGGATTCTATCTGGAAATAGGCATATAGGGAAGGAGACCAGAATTTGAAGTTCCACCAAACCAGTGATGAATAGTTTACCATTTTTTCCTTCTCTGGTGTCACCCAGCCCAGACTCAAAGGCAGCCTGAAACCTGGAAGTGCACTCCAGGTGTGAACAGAAAGAGCACCAAGAGAAGCTTTCTCTTTCTGGTCTGAGGAGCAAGGAAGGATCTCTCAAGGGTCAGAGATGGTGAAAGAAATCCCAGTTTTTTCTCTTTTTTCGCTTCTTTCTTGCCCTGGCCCCCAGGCAATACTATCCTGGTGGCAGCAGCTGCCTAGCAATGACGGTGGCAACAGGGCAGACATCTAAAACTGAAGGAGGAGAACTCTTTTTCTCACCAAAGGAGCTGTGATCCCCAGAACATGGAACAAATTCCATAGCCTTCCACTGTCTGTCCTGCTGCTTGGCCCTGGGTGCAGATGCAGTTAGTGTGTGACAGAGTGGGGAAACCAAAGTCCAGGAATGCAAGGCTGCTTCAGTATTTGAAAATCAATCAGTGTAGTCCACCATATTAAGAGAAAAACCATATGATCATATAAATTGATGCTGAAATTCACAGAATTCAACATTAGTTCATGATAAAAACACTCAGCAAACTAGGAATGAAGGGAACTTCCTCAACCTGATAAAAGGTGTCTACAAAAAGCCCACAGCTAACATTCTTAATGGTAAAAATTGGAATGCTCACCACTTGTATTCAACATCATACCGGAAGACCTAACCAGTGCAATAAGGCAAGGGGGAAAAAGCATACAGAATGGAGAGGAAATAATAAAATTACTTCTTTTTGCAGATGGCAGGACTATGTAGAAATCTCATGAAGTATACAAAAAAAAAAATCCTGTAAGTTTAGCAAGATCAACACAAAAATCAGTCATACATCACATGAAAACAGCATTTTAAAGTAAAAAAAGAAAAGTCAGTCATATTTCCATATACTAGCAGTGAACAATTCAAAATGAAATTACCAACACAATGCCATTTACAATGGCTTCAGAACAGAAAGAAATACGTGTAAGTCTAGCAAAATGTGAAGGAACTGTATATGGAAAATTGTAAAATGCTGATGAAAGAGATTAAGGCCAGGCAGCACTTTGGGAGGCTGAGGCAGGCGGATTATGAGGTCAAGAGATCGAGACCATCCTGGCCAACACGGTGAAACCCCATCTCTACTAAAAATACAAAAATTAGCTGGGCATGGTGGCATGCGCCTGTAGTCCCAGCTACTTGGGAGGTTGAGGCAGGAGAATCTCTTGAACCTGCGAGGTGGAGGTTGCAGTGAGCTGAGATTGCAGCAGTGCACTCCAGTCTGGTGACAGAGCAAGACTCCATCTCAAAAAAGAAAAAAAATTAAGACTGAATGTTCATGTTCATGGATTGGAAGACATAAATTAAGTTGCCACTTAGCTCCCGTTGATCTATAGAGTTAATACAATTCCAGTCACAATCTCAACAGGATTTTTTCTTTTTTTTTTTTTTGAGATGGAGTCTTGCTCTGTTGCCCAGGCTGGAGTGCAGTGGCACAATCTCAGCTCACTGCAACCTCCGTCTCCTAGGTTTAAGCGATTCTCATGCCTCAGCCTCCTGAGGAGCTGAAATTACAGGCATGTGCCACCGCACCTGGCTAATTTTTGTGTGTTTTTAGTAGAGATAGGGTTTCACCATGTTGGCCAGACTGGTCTCAAACTCCCAACCTCAGGCAATCCGCCTGCGTCGGCCTCCCAGAGTGCTGGGATTACAGACGTGAGCCATCGCACCCAGCCTAGCGGGATTTTCTTTCTTTTCTTTGTCTTTTTCTCAGTTTTTTTTTTTTTTTTTCAATGTGACAAGGTCTCGCTCTGTCACCCGGGCTGGAATGCAGTGGCATAATCATGGCTCACTGCAGCCTTGACCTCCTGGGCTCAGGTGCTCTTCCCACTTTACCCTCTTGAATAGCTGGAACCACAAGCATGTGCCACCTTGCCTGGCTAATTTTTTTTTTTTTTTTTTTGGTAAAGATGGGGTCTCCCTGTGTTCCCATATTGCACAGTCTGGTCTTGAACTCCTGGGCTCAAGTGACGCTCCCACCTCAACCTTCCAAAGTGCTGAGATTGCAGATTTGAGCCACCCTATCTGGCCTCAGCAGGATTTTCTATAGATACAGACTGGCTAATTCTAAAACATATGGAAAAGCAAAGGAATTTAAATAACCAAAAAGTGTTATATTGAAAGAAAAATTTGGATTCATACTACCCAATTTTAAGAATTATGAGAAAGTTACAGTAATTACGACTATAGAGATTAGTAGAACAGAAGAGAGCATCTAAAAACAGACCCACACAAATATGACTGATTGATTTTTGACAAAGATGTGAAGGCTATTCAATGGGAAAAGGATGGTCTTTTCAACAAATGGTATTGAAACAATTGAATGTCCATATGCAGAAATGAACTTTGACCATAAGCTCACATCTTGTACAAAAATTAACTCAAAATTATAATCTAAATGTAAAATGTGAAACCATAAAACTTAGAGGAAACATGAAGGAATCTTTATGTCCTGGAGTTAGGCAAAAAAATCTTAGATAATAATTTAAAAACATCCATAAGAAGAAAAATTGATGAATAGGACTTAATCAAAATTTTAAACTTTTGCTCTGAGAAAAACACTGTTAAGAGAATGGAAAAGCAATCGACAGGTTGGGAGAAAATATTTACAAATCACACCTGACAAAGAACTGGTATCTAGAGTATATGAAGAGCTCTCAAAAGAAACAAGTCTATACAACCCTAGTTTTAAATGGGCAAAAAGCTCACCCAAAATAATGTAGATGGTAAAAAAAAATTACATGAAAAGATGTTCAACATCATTTACTCATTAAGGAAATACAAATTAAAACCACAGTAGATTCAAATACCAATTAGAATGGACCAAACTTTAAAAAATACTGATAGTGGGGCATGGTGTCACATGCCTATAATCCTGCTACTTGGGCACCTGAAGTAGGAGGATTGCTTGAGGCCAAGAGTTTGAGTTCAGCCTGGGTGATATAGACCCTATCTCAAGAAAAATTAATTAAAAAAAAACCCTAACTATAAAAAGTGTTAGTTACATATTTCAAAACATCATGTTGTACATAAGTATGTGCAATTTTCATCTGTTTTTTAAATAGAGATGGGATCTCACTGTTGCCCATGCTGGACTTGAACTCCTGGGATCAAGTGATCCTCCTACCTTGGCCTTCTGAAGTGCTGAGATTACAGGCGTGAGCCACCACACCTAGCCTATTTTTTAAAAAGCACTAGTGAGGATGTGGAGCAACTGGAACTCTCATATATTGCTGATGGGAATGCGGGATGATACAGCTACTCCAGAAAGTAGTTTGGCCATTTCTTATAAACACATTTTCCATGAGACCATGCAATCCTATTCTTGGGTATTTACCTTAGAGAAATGAGAAGTTTTACCTTAGAGTAAATGAGACTGTTTTAGCATCTCTATTTATAATAACCATAAATTGCAGACATCTCAAATGTCCTTCAGTGGATGAATGTATAAACTATAGTACATGCATGGAATGGAATACTGCCCAACAACAAGAAAAAGTGAACTATTGATAGTGTACCAACATGGATGGACCTTAAAGGCCTTATACAGAGTGAAAGGAGCCAAGCTCAAGGCTACATCCTTTAAAAAAAAAGTCCTACACACTTACGGCTTTTTTGTTCTTGTTTTTTGAGACGGAGTCTCACTCTGTTGCCCAGGCTGGAGTGCAGTGGCGCAATCTCGGCTCACTGCAACCTCTGCCTGTCAGGTTCAAGCAATTCTCCTGCCTTAGCCTCCCAAGCACCTGAGACTACAGGTGCGCACTACCATGCCCGTCTAATTTTTGTATTTTAAGTAGAGACAGGGTTTCACATGCTGACCAGGCTGGTCTTGAACTCCTGACCTCATGATCTGCCCACCTCAGCCTCCCAAAGTGCTGGGATTACAGGCGCGAGCCACTGCGCCTGGCCCTTTTTTTTTTTTTTTTTTTTTTTTTTTTTTTTTTTTTTTTTTTTTTTTTTTTTTTTTAAAGAGAGAGAGGGTCTCGCTTTACTGCCCAGGCTGGAGTGCAGTGGCATGATCATAGCTCACTGCTGCCCTCAAATTCCTGGGCTCGGGTGATCCTCCTACCTCTGCCTCCCGAGTAGCTAGGACCACAGGCACACGCCACCATGCCTGGCTACTTTTTTGTAGAGATGGGTTTTCACTGTGTTGCCCAGGCTGGTTTCAAATTCCTGGCCTCAAGTGATCCTCCTGTCTCAGTTTCCCAAAGCACTGGGATTACAGTTATGAGCCACCGGGATCAGTGGTTGCCAGGGTTAGGTGTGACTACACAGGACAGCCAAGGCAGGGTTTTGGATCCTCATTGTAGTGGATGATACAGGAGTCTACGTGTGTTAAAATTCCAAACCAGATGTCCTAAACAAGTTAATTTTGTTGTATGCAAGTTAAATAGAATTTTAAAACAGTAAGACCTGTATGATTAAAAAAGTAAAAACTTTGTATTCAAGAAAGTAAGTATAGTTTGAGCATATGTTTTTCTGCTGAAAGTGATGTATAAATGGATATGGTCATCTGAGTAAAATGAAGACTTACTTTGTACCTTCCCTGTGCAGCAAGAACTGTGCCTGCATATTCAAGGGCGTTTGACATCAGTTGCCTTCCGCCCTGTATGGCTGTGCTTAACACGTTGAGGATAGAAGCAACAGATTAGTACTTAATGAATTTCCTTGCTATTCTTCCCCTTAGTCTGTGTCTCTGTACATTCTTCCCTGTGAAGATCAAAAATATCTGTGAACCAATTTTCCTTTTATTGTTTGTTTTGAGACGGGGTATCGCTCTTTCGCCCAAGCTGGAGTGCAGTGGTACAGTCACTGCTCACTGCAGCCCCGATCTCCCAGACCCAAGTGATCCTCCTACCTCAACCTCCCGAGTAGCTGGGACCACAGGCACACACCAACATGCCTGGGTAGGTGGGTTTTTTTGGGGGAGAGACAGGGTCTC
Organism: Homo sapiens; assembly: GCF_000001405.40. Classification (NCBI taxonomy): domain Eukaryota; kingdom Metazoa; phylum Chordata; class Mammalia; order Primates; family Hominidae; genus Homo; species Homo sapiens. The sequence continues at coordinate 69,373,652 of NC_000016.10, read as the reverse complement.
CCTATGTTCCCCAGGCTGGTCTCAAACTCCTGAGCTCAAGCGATCCTCCCACCTTGGCCTCTCAAAGTGTGGGAATACAGTTGTACAGTTGTAAGCTGCCACACCCAGTCGGCTTGCCTTTTTTTGTATGGTGGTCTTTTTAAAGAATCTGTGTCTCTCAGACAGGATTTGAGATAGCTACTTTATTCTATCATATAACTTCAAATACTCCCAATTTTTTGTTGGCTTTTCTAATTTTTAAAAATGTTCATATATATTATAACTTCCTTGTAAATGTTCAGTCACTGTTATTTTTCCTCAAGAGAACCTCATTCTCTTGAGGTTTCTTTATGGAAGGACTCTACTTTCTCTCTGTGGCTGGTGAGACCTTATCTTACCTGGAACTTTGCCCTTTTTATTTGCTGCTTGTGAATGACCTGGGTTTGTTGGCTTCAGTAGTTCCCTAGGTGCTTTAATTGAAGTTGCCAGCTGGGGTTTATGGTAGTAAGGGGTTGTCCCTTCATTCTCCTACAGAACTGGCCTTAGGCCTTTCCAGAATGGAACTAGCAGAACTCTGTGGTCAGCACATCTCTTTCTTTCCGCCTACAGTATATCCTCCCTCCCTCATCCCCCTCTTGCTTTAAAGCTTTTGCATCCAAAAAGAACAGAATCAATTGTTCTGGGGACCTGAAATTACAGGACGTAGAATGACTCCTGTCCATTCTGTCTTTCCTCAGGAGGCCCTATTGAAATTGGTTAAATGGTCTGTAATCCAGGTGATCAGATTTTGCTCTATCAGCCATGTAACAAAAGCCATTGTATTGTTGAAAAGTGACTACCTTACAAGCAGAAAGAGACAGCTTCCAGTGGTTCATAACACTTGAACAATAATTGTTTGTTTGTTTTTTTTGAGATGGAGTTTTGGCTCTTGTTGCCCAGGCTGGAGTGCAGTGGCGCGATCTCGGCTTACTGCAACCTCTGCGTCCCAGGTTCAAGCAATTCTCCTGCCTCAGCCTCCCGAGTAGCTGGGATTACAGGCATGCACCACCATGCCTGGCTAATTTTGTATTTTTAGTAGAGATGGGGTTTCTCCATGTTGGTCAGGCTGGTCTCGAACTCCCGACGTCAGGTGATCCACCCGCCTTGGCCTCCCAAAGTGCTGGGATTACAGGCGTGAGCCACCGCGCCTGGCTTTATAATTGTTAGTTTTTAAGTACAGAAATTTGATATGATGTGAGAGAGAGTTATTTTGATGTTTGATATTCTGATTACACCTGTCATTACAAAAGTAAAAAAAGATTTTTCCCCTCCTTTTTAGGCTGTCATTATTTGTATCAAAAACAAAGAATTTGAAAAGGCTTCAAAAATTTTGAAAAAACATATGTCCAAGGACCCCACAACTCAGGTAAATTTGATACATTTTTGCTCCTGTGACTTAAATTCATCTCATTGCTTTTTGTGGGGAAATAGGGAAAGGGTTCTTGGTCAGGAATATTACTTAAATATTCTCCTTTCAACATGTAACACCTGCAGCAAGTTATCTTTTATATCCAAGATAACTCACTGTAAGATTGGCTTTTCAAAATTTAGTTTTTATTAGAGAAATTGACATAAATTATTCACTTGCCTTATTTCTGTCTAGTTTATAACAGAACATTGATTTAAATGATCAGCACCAGGTATGGAGCTGACAAATGTAACACTTCTAACTTTATTTACATTAAATGGTGATCCTGCAGATGTGAGGAAACTTCTTTGGTGAGGACATAGCACCTGTTTCCTGGTGTCAAAAGTTCTGTTGGTCCCCTGCTTTTATTTTTTCTTCTTCCTTTTTATTCATTTGTTTATTTATTTTTTTTGAGGCAGAGTCTCGCTTTGTTGCTCAAGCTGGGGTGCAGTGGTGCAGTCATAGTTCACTGCAGCCTCAACTTCCTGAGCTCAAGCAGTTCTTCCACCTCATCCTCCCCAGTAGCTGGGTTCACAGCTGCATGCCACCACACATGGCTAATTTTTAAATTTTTTGTAGAGACAGGGTCTCTTTATGTTGCCCAGGCTGGTCTGGAACTCCTGGGCTCAAGTGATCCTACCACCTCGGCCTCCCAAAGTGCTGGGATTACGTGAATCATCATGCCCAACCATTTCTTCTATATACTTTTTTTTTTTTTTTTTTTTTGAGATGGAGTCTTGCTCTGTTGCCCGGGCTGGAGTATAGTGGCCCAATCTTGGCTCACTGCAACTTCCACCTCCCAGTTTCAAGCAGTTCTCTTGCCTCAGCCTCTGGAGTAGCTGGGGTTACAGGCATGTGCCACCATGCTGGGCTAATTTTTTAAATTTTTTAGTAGAGACGGGGTTTTAACATGTTGGCCAGGCTGGTCTCAAACTCCTGACCTCAAGTGATCCGCCCGCCTCGACCTCCCAAAGTGCTGGCATTACAGGTGTGAGCCACTGCACCTGGCCTCTATATAAATTCAAATTTTATTATTTGAAAAGGTAATACATGTACATAATACAGAATTCAAAAGGTATAACCAAAGAGTTTGGTGAAAATACTCTCATCTGTGACCCTCAGCCATCTTCTTCCCTTCAGAGGCAACCAATTTCTTTTTTTTTTTCTTTTATCCTTTCAAAGATCCTCTATGCATGTGCAAGCAAATTGTGTGTGTGTGTGTGTGTGTGTGTACAGACATCCACATAGATCCATTTTCTCCATTCTTCTCATACACATACGTGATAGCATATCCTACACACTAATGTGAACACTTTTCTAAATTGCTTTTTTCACTTAATATTATATCTTGGAATCATTCTATGTTAGCATATAAGGAACTTCTTTATCTGTTTTTTATAGCTGCATAGTAACCCACTGTGGCTGAACCTGATTTATTGACCAATCCTTTGTGTTGGGCTTCCCTTCCTGTATGTGTGCCAGTGATTTGCATTGACGGCATTGCAGAAGTTCTCATAGTGTCTGTCTCACCTCATCATCATTGAATTTTTACTGGAGTTCTACTTTCTCATGTTGCAAATATCGGTCCATTGTGTAGAAGCTGAGAAATGATCTCCTGAATATTATTCGAGAAAAGAACTTGGCCCATCCTGTTATCCAGAACTTTTCATATGAGACCTTCCAGCAGAAGATGCTGCGCTTCCTGGAGAGCCACCTGGATGACGCCGAGCCCTACCTCCTCACGGTGCGCCTTGGCCCTTCTCCCATAACCATGGTGTGCCCTTGAGGATGTGCGGGGAATCAGAATATCTGAAGTGAAAAGAGTTGATGTGTGAAAAAGACATTGAATTGTATGCACTAGCTTTCTTAATTAAATGCCTTAAAAATGCAAAAGCAGGCCAGGCGCAATGGCTCACGCCTGTAATCCCAGCACTTTGGGAGGCCCAGGGGGGTGGATCACCTGAGGTCAGGAGTTCGAGACCTGCCTGAGCAACATGGTGAAACCCCATCTCTACTAAAAATATAAAAATTAGCTGGGCGTGGTGGCAGGCACCTGTAATCCTAGCTACTTTGGAGGCTGAGGCAGGAGAATCGCTTGAACCCAGGAGATGGAGATTGCAGTGAGCCAAGATTGCGCCATTGCACTCCAGCCTGGACAACAGAGCAAGACTCCGTCTCAAAAAATAAATAAATAAATAATACAAAAGCAGAGATACTGGCAGAGGCAAATGGAACACACCTGGTCTCCCTCATCTGCCATTTTTATCTCCTTTACACATGGTTAATCTGCCATGGTTGAAGTAGAACATTCACTTGCAATCGATGGTGGTTCCCAAAGGCGATGACTTGTGAACTAAGTTTGGAGGAAGGGTGGTTTGGTAGATGTGGTACGATGGAGTTGCTAACAGGAAGAAGGCATGGTGTGGAGAAAGGTGTCACTGAAAGTATAAAGTTGAAAGAAGCCAAATGAAAACATTCTTTAATTGGATCAAAGAGATAAAAGAATGGAAGCAGTGAGGCTCAGGACAGCATAGGGAAGAACTAGACCCAGGCTGTCATAGATGGGAGACTGTGGTGAAGGAACACTGAGTGAGAGTGGTTTTGTTTTGTTTTTGAAACCAGGACTTTGGCCCAGTACAGTGGTTCACACCTGTAATCCCAGCACTTTGGGAGGCCAAGGCAGGCAGGTTGCTTGAGCTTAGGAGTTCAAGACCACCCTGGGCAACATGGTGAAACCCCTTCTCTACAGAAAATACAAAAATTAGCCAGGTGTGGTGGCGCGTGCCTGTAGTCCCAGCTACTTGGGAGGCTGAAGTGGGAAGATCACTTGAGGCTGCCAGTGAGCTGTGGTTGTGCCACTGCACTTCAGCCTGGGCAAAAGAAACCAGGACTTTGAGAATGTGGAAAATATTCTGTCTCGTAACAGATCTGCCAGGCCCATATTAGGATAGTGTCCATGATCTTAGCAGTCGTTTGGCAAATCTCAGATTATTTATAAGCAGGTAGTTTGGGATATTCAGGCAGCAGGTGTCAAGATAGTTGAGCCTGGCCTAGGGTCCTTTCCTTTCCATTCCAGGTAACTGGAAACTATCCTTATCTATATAACACAAAGAGCCCTGATTAGCCTACTCAGGGCTCTTTGTGTTATATAGATAAGGATTCTCAAACAGTTGTTAATAAGGCAAAACATTTGTAGAAACAGTTATAAAAATTCTATACACAAACTGGAAGATATTAGTATGAACATTTATTGCCGGGCATGGTGGCTCATGCCTGTAATCCCAGCACTATGGGAGGCTGATGCGGGCAGATCACTTGAGGTCAGGAGTTCGAGGCCAGCCTGGCCAACATGGTGAAACCCCGTCTCTACTAAAATACAAAAATTAACTGGACATGGTGGTGGGCGCCTGTAATCCCAGCTACTTGGGAGGCCGAGATGGGAGAATTGCTTGAACCCAGGAGGTGGAGATTGCAGTGAGCCGAGATTGCACCACTGTGCTGCAGCCTGGGCGACAGAGCAAGACTCCCTCTCAAAAAAAATGTATTAGTTATCTTAAGTTTGAATAAAAAAAGCTTGATTTATAAGTCTTACAAGTTCTCTCCCATTTTATGTCCTTCGTTTTATGCCTAGATTGGATTTGTAAGTGAACTTGTTTGCATATTGAGTATATTCTTGGTGAAAGAAGCAGAGAATTAATGCAATTCTGTGGCCTCTTCTTCCTGATGACATCCTTCCTTTCCCAGATGGCCAAAAAGGCTTTGAAATCTGAGTCCGCTGCCTCAAGTACAGGGAAGGAAGATAAACAGCCAGCACCAGGGCCTGTGGAAAAGCCACCCAGAGAACCCGCAAGGTAAAAAGATGCTCTCTTGTGATCTTGGGTAAAACACTAGGGTGGTCGCTGGAAGCAGTCTCCTCCTTAGGCCAGGATCAGTTCCTCTCAGCACTCCGACCTACTAACGTGTTACGAGGTTACTCATACAAGGCACTGGGGGAGACTGCACACCCTGGGAAGATAAGGAAACAGGATGCCTGGGGTCCCTGACAACTTCCTGACTGGCCATTCCTCAAAGGCTCTTTCACCATTTCTCTCTCCTTGCCTCCCCCGTATTGACTCAGTACTTTTCTTGTGGACACCTAATCTCTTAATACATTCAGGAAGCACTGCTCAGATCTGTGAGTCGAATCCCAAAACCAGTTCCTAAAGCAGGGGTCACAAGCTTAGATGCCCTTTGAGGGCCGGTTAGGAAACCTAAAGGAACAAAGTGGACCTAGGCTGAGAGCATGGGGCTGGGAACCAGGGGATGTGCTTTTCAGCTTCTTGTGGTTGTTGCTCTGTGGGAGTATCCAAGGATGCTCAGGCTTCAGGTGCTCAGATTTTTGTATGAGATGTCCAGGGTTTTCCATGAGATTTCCCAGTTTTTGGATGTTAACAGTTGATCCACTTAAAAAATTTTTTTTCATGTTGGTTAGACAACAAGACAGGCTGCCAGATGGATTTGGCCTGCAGGCTGCCAGTTTGCCCCCTCTCCTAACAGTTTTTCCCTAAAGCATACTAACTGTTCCAAATGATAGATGAACTTTATTTTTAAAAGGCAGTTTCTCATTGTTCCAAGACTGTGTGGCATGCCTTTTACTCTGAGAATTCTCAAGATCCTGCTCTTAAGTGTGTTGTAGGCCGGGTGTGGTGGATCACGCCTGTAATCCCAGCACTTTGGGAGGCCGAGGTGGGTGGATCGCTTGAGCCCAGGAGTTCTAGGATACAGTGAGCTGTGTTTGTGCCACTGTATCCTATCTCTCTGTCCTATCTACTGTCTAGGACAGACCCAGACCCTATCTCTAAAAATAAAATGAGAAGTAAAATAAAGGTTCTCTAACTTGGAGTTTTAAATTCATAATACAACTTACATATCACATTTAAAGCCTCCTCAACTGGAATTTGAAGCTTCAAACTTCAAAAAAGTTGTGGCTGTTTGGATGAGCATCATCAGTGGTGAAAAACATCTTTGTGCCTATGCTTGATTTGCAGGCAGCTACGGAATCCTCCAACCACCATTGGAATGATGACTCTGAAAGCAGCTTTCAAGACTCTGTCTGGTGCACAGGATTCTGAGGCAGCCTTTGCAAAACTGGACCAGAAGGATCTGGTTCTTCCTACTCAAGCTCTCCCAGCATCACCAGCCCTCAAAAACAAGAGACCCAGAAAAGATGAAAACGAAAGTTCAGCCCCGGCTGACGGTGAGGGTGGCTCGGAACTGCAGCCCAAGAACAAGCGCATGACAATAAGCAGATTGGTCTTGGAGGAGGACAGCCAGAGTACTGAGCCCAGCGCAGGCCTCAACTCCTCCCAGGAGGCCGCTTCAGCGCCACCATCCAAGCCCACCGTTCTCAACCAACCCCTCCCTGGAGAGAAGAATCCCAAGTATGAAGACCTTCTTTGTAGAAATTTTGGGGCTGGTTGGTGGTCCTGGTTGGGCCTGGTATTACTTCCGTGAATGAAGTAACTTTCAGCTAAGTTACTCACCACCAAGGCTTGCTCAGACTGCTAGAACTTGACGCAGGAGTGGCCAGTGACGACGTAGCCATCCCTGCCGGTTCTGAAGCCCCGCATGTGGGCTTCCAAGCCTTGCACTAGGGCATGAGTGGGAATGGAAAGGTTTCAGAGCCTCCTACTCATCGCTGCTTTCATTTTTAGCAAACATCTGAGTGTCTTGACTTCTAAACATTAGTCTTGTGTGTTAAAAGAAATTTGTTTGCATTGGGCCACATTATACTTTGACCCTTAAAAAGAGACTGATGAATATGTATAATTTTGCACCCTTCTGAGCATTTGAGACTTGGCAAGTTCAGTGAATACTTACTAATCTCCCATGTCCTGCTAGGTACTGTGGGGCAGTGGCTAGAATACTTTAATTTTGCTCCCCATTGTGATTCTCATCCTGGCTTTGAGTTTTGCTTCCCTTTGTGTCCTGTGGTGGATCCTCCCTCCAGGCAGACTGGCCTGCTTGCTCTCTGGAACATGTTGTTTGTTTCTACCACTGTACTTTTGCTTCCTCTCATTCCCCACAGTGGACCGTCATCCCTTCATCATTGCTTGTCCAAATCCCATTTGTCCTTTAAAGGGAAGAAAAGCCGTTGTTGATGAAGTGCTTTCTGGGGGCAGAGCACTTTCATGTATCATCTTACTGAGTCACTACAATCCTCACTCTGTGAGGTGATGATATATTAGCCCCATTACACAGAGGAGAAGGGCTCAGAAAAGTTCTTAGCTCACCTGAAGTCACACAGCTAAAAGTGGCAAAGATGGGCTTTGGATTTTTAATCCAAGTCAGTCTTGACAGAAAAGCCCATGGCCTGTATACCATATACAACAAGTTGCCTCTCTTACAATTCTCCTTCCTCAGGCTGGGTGCGCTGGCTCACACCTGTAATCCCAGCACTTTGGGAGGCTGAGGCAGGCAGATTACCTGAGGTCAGGAGTTTGAGAGCAGCCTGGCCAACATGGTGAAACTCCGTCTCTACTAAAAATACAAAAATTCGCCAGGCGTGGTGGTGGGCGCCTGTAGTCCCAGCTACTTGGGAAGCTGAGGCAGGAGAATTACTGGAACCCGGGAGGCGGAGGCTGCACAGTGAGCCAAGATTGCACCACTGCACTCCAGGCTGGGCAACAGAGTGTGACTCCGTCTCAAAAAAACAAAAACAAAAACAACTTCTCCCTCCTCCACAGACTCCTCCCTGGTCACCACTAGTGATCCACCTTATGGATCTCCCAAGGCCACCTCTGCCTCTGCTCTGTGTTGTATTATTTGGGGACCTGTGGTCTGGCATGCATTGTACTTGGTGCCCCAAAGGGCTGTGGCATCTGATAAGTGATTTATCCTCAGGCACAGATTTGCACTATGTCACCACTACTTGTATGTAGAAGTGAGTCACCGGCTGGCAAATGGGCATAGCTGCTGGGCAGTGGATGCAGCTCCATGCATGTTATTCTCATTTGATACAGGATCTCATTGGCTTCTCACAGCAATCCTGTGCACTATAGGTATTGCTCCCGGGAACAGATGAGGAAACAGGAGAGTGCGAGATTACAGTAATTTTGTAAATGGGAGGATTTGTGAAGGTTTCAGACATACACCCTCTCTCATATGTCAAGGATATGAAGTCTAATGAATCCCCTAAAGCAGCAGGGGTTGGCAAGCTGTGGCCCTGGGGCCAAATCAGCCTACTGCCTGTTTTTGTAAATAAAGTTTTATTGGAACACAGTCACACCCATCATCAATGTATTATCTAGGGCTGCTTTCTGTTCATTGGTAGTTTGTTGAGTAGCCACAGCAGAGACAGGCTTGCAAAGTGAAAATACTATCTGGCCCTTTACAGAAAAAAAGGGTCAGTGTCCCTGCTCTAAAGAAGTATGTGTGAGGTGCCCTGGCCACTTATGGGAAGAAAAGCTGAGCCTATTCAGCAAGGTTTTAGGTGGCTCAGATTTTATAGAGGAACAAACATTGAGCTGGCCTGGGAAGGATGAGCAGAAGGTCGTCGAGTGTGTTGGGGGCTGGGGGACTCTACGCAGTGGGAGCTCCTTACATACAGGCATGAGAAAGCCTGGTGTGCCCCTCAGAGTGTCATGGAGCCTATGGTAGGAGAATACGGTGCATAGGAAAGAGTGAAGGTAGGAGAGTCTGCATGCTAGATGGGCCAGGCCTGGGATTTCTGTAGTCTAGTGTGTCAGGCAGAGGCTCTCAAGCTGGGCTTCATGACACAATGACCTGTGGAATGCTCAAAAAATACATATTCCCAGGCTCCTGGCTACTGAATTAGAAGAGTCAGGAGAATGCCCTTTAATCTGCTTTTTAAACCATGCCCCAGATAATTCTAATACAACAAATTGGAAGGCCTGATGAGACCCCACTCAGGGAAGGGAGGGAGGGAGGCTGGAGACTGGAGACCGCTGCCAGGGAGCAGGGAGGGGCAGTGGGATCAGGAGGGAAGGCAGGGTTGGCAGTGTCACTTGGACAGGGCCACCATGCCCCAATCTTGTATCTCCCACGGCACCTTGCACATAGCATGTGTTTACTAGGTATTTATTCACCAAGTAAAATAAGGATTCTTTGTTCTTGCATGTTAAGGAGTGACACCCAAAACACCTGTAAAAAGCCAGCAGAGGGTAACATTTTAGGCATTTTGGGCCACATGAGTTGTCTGTCTGTTCCATATTCTTTTCTTGTTTTTTCTTTTTCTTTTTTTCTTGAGACAGGGTCTCGCTCTGTCACCTGGGCTGGAGTACAGTGGCACAATCTCGGCTCACTGCAACCTCTGCCTCCCAGGTTCAAGCGATTCTCCTACCTCAGCCACCATCCCCGCCCCCATCCCAGTAACTGGGACCACAGGTGCGTGCCACCGCACCTGGCTAATTTTTGTATATTTTGTACAGATGGGGTTTGACCATGTAGGCTGGTCTCGAACTCCTGGACTTAATAAGCGATCCACCTGCCTGGGCCTCTCAAACTGCTGGGATTACAGACGTGAGCCACTGCTCCCAACTGTCTTTTTTTGTTTTTTTGTTACAACCCTTAAAAAACGGGCTTGCCATTCTCACCCCAAGCTTCATGGTACACAAGCCGCAGCAGCCAGACTGTAGCTTGCCAACACTTGCTAGACCATTGCTCTTCATGTTCAAACTGCCAGTCAGGAGCACAAGGACCAGGAAGTGGCCTGACTTGGCCAGGACCACTCAGCCCATTACAGTTAGGAGGAGCGGCCAGATCTCAGCCCCATCCACTTGGGAAGTCAGGAGAGGCAGTGAACACATCACCTGAAAGTCAGAGGTCTTGCGAAATCACCACCAAAGCATGTATTTGTACAGGTAATAGTGCTGAGAGTTCAACAGAGGACAGGGAGAAGGTGACCTGTGAAGACTGTGCAGGGAGGGAGGACAGCCACTCAGGGAACATGACGGACCAGCTGGGGACTGAGGTTCCAACTGGTTTTATTCCAGCACTGGGATAAGCACATAGAAAACAAACTATAACCCCATCTGATTTTTATTTATGAATAGTCATTAACACAAGAATATCCTGAGAAGGAAAAACCTCCTGTAAAATGTTTTCACTTTGTCTCAAGTAAATTATTCTCAAGTAACATTTGGGGATAAGATCCAATGTAAAAACAAGAGAAAGTTAGGTCTACCATTTGTCTCAGCCACTTAGTTAAGTAATTTCATAGAAAACTTATGGAACTCAAGGAATTTTTTCAAGCCTATGTACTTATTCATCAACTTGCTTTTATTATTCATTTGCAAAATACCCAAACAGCATTAAAAATAAGTTTTTTCTTCATGGCGGGTGAAGAATACAGAAATTTGTCTCTATTCTTGGTTAACTTTTGCGGGTCATTTGATTTATATAAATTCCTCAAGACTCTGAATTCAGACACTTTCCATGTTTGTAAAAGATGTTATAATTCTGAGGTCAGATCTGTGCTTTGCTCTGTTCCCAGGGCAGTTATTAATCAGGTAAATGCAAAGTTGATTAGAAGAAATGGGCTATAGTTTTCATTGAATAATTTGAGTTTGGGGTTATTTTCAGCTTTTGTACTTTTTTTAGCCACACCCAAGCATTTAACGTTTCATGTTCACAAGAAGGATTCTTGTTTGCTTTTTACTCTAATCTTTGATGGTATAACTCCCTTGTGGCTCTCTGACAATCACAATGTTAGTTCAGCTAATATGTCTCCAGCTCACATTGGGGTCTGTGTTACTGTGCTGGGTATGCTATGTGTTTGGGATGGACAAAGGAAGATGTGGCCCCCGCCTTCGAGGCGGTCCTGGTTAGGGGCACACTGCAAAGTGGCACTTGGTATGGTGGAAACAGCACTGCAGGCAGGAGGAGAAAGGCTTTCTGTGTGTGTTGTGGTTGGTAGTTAGAGGAGGCTTCACTGAGAACCATGGCCTTGAAAGATGGATGAGATGTCACTTAGCAGGGAAGGGACTCCCAAGCAGAGGGGCTACAGAGAGGCAGGAAAGTACAGAGCTTATGGAAGGAAGAAAGAGCAGAACAGTGTGGCTGTGCTGTTTGCACAGGTGTGGGCATCGTGGGGCGGTTGGTTAGAAACTGACGGGCCAGACTGGATGGTGTGGACTCCCCCATACAGGCATATAGATGCCACTGTTCAGGCAGAGAGAAGCCATTAGGGAATAGAAGAGGCATGTGGTAATTTTAGGGTGATTGTCCTAAAATCATCTTTGGCTTTGGAAGGGGAAGAGCCTAGCGGCAGAGACTCTAGTTAAGAGGCTAGTGGAATACTGATGAAAGGCGCCGTGAGCTTGAACAAGGGGGAATGGAAACGGAAAAATCAGTCCAGATATAGGAAGAAGGCATGTCCAAGGAAGAGAGGGAGGGGTTTGCAGGTTCTAAATCAGAAAAATACTGAGACCTTTAAAAGAGTCAAAACCAAACAAGCAAAACAGGAAAATGAACAGATTCTTTAGAGGGGTGGTGATGTGCTTGATGTACTCAGTGCTGAATTTGAAGGGTGTCCTGCAGCCTGAGGGGTGTTACGTGGAGATGCCTGGCCAGCCAGGAGAAAGGACAGTGGCTTTGGGAGGTGCATGCAGGCGAACCTCGATTGTGGTCACAACGGGACAGGAAGGAGTACAGGGCCAAGAGTGAGCCAAGACCAGAATCTGGGACAATCCAGGGTGAATTTGTTTTATACCTGTGCTCTCCTTGATCTCCCCTCAGAGTACCCAAAGGCAAGTGGAACAGCTCTAATGGGGTTGAAGAAAAGGAGACTTGGGTGGAAGAGGATGAACTGTTTCAAGTTCAGGGTAAGCAGAAGATTCTCCTTGGCCTCTTCTTGATGCTTGCTGAAGTACAGATGCGTGTTACTGTCATGTTAATATTCCAGAAGCTGCTTGTCTCCGAACTAGAAAAAGTTCAGTAAGTTCCCGATCTCATTTTAATTCATGAAGAATCAGTTTTTTTTTTTTTTTCCTTTTTCAGACAGGGTCTTGCTCTGTCACCCAGGCCAGAATGCAGTGGTGTAAACATGGCTCACTGAGCTTCAACCTTCTGGGCTCAAGTGATCCTCCTGCCTCAGCCTCCTGAGTAGCTGGGACTGCAGGTGTGCACCACCACACCTGGCTGTTTTTTTCACTTTTTGTAGAGATGGGGTCTCACTTTGTTGCTCAGGCTGGTCTCAAACTCTTGGGCTCAAGCGATCCTCCCACCTCAGCCTCCCAGAGTGCTGGGATTACAGATGTGAGTCACTGTGCCCTGGTCAAGGAGTCAGTCTGATGTCCTCTCCCATTAAATAATGGAGACTGTCAGAGTAACGCCTTATGTTTAAAGAGAGTTCTTGGTTTTGTTTTAATAACGCCTATGATATTTAATTATAGTTGATGTTCTTCCTAAAATCCTTCAATTAGATGTGGTAGTAGGGGGTCATTCCCTGCATTTCTTGTTTAAAGAAAAAAAAATCTTAACAGTTTCTATATATAAATCCTTTTTTTTTTTTTTTTTTTTTGAGACAGGGTCTCACTCTCATCCAAGGTGGAATGCAGTGGTGTGATCTTGGCTCACTGTAGCCGTGACATCCTGGGCTAAAGCAATTCTCCCACCTTAGCCTCTGGAGTATCGGGGACTACAGGCCCTTGCCACCATGCCCAACTAATCTTTTTTTGTATTTTTAGTAGAGCCAGGGTTTCACCATGTTGGCCAGTATGATCTCGAACTCCTGGGCTCAAGCAATCTGTCTGCCTCATCCTCTCAAAGTGCTGGGACTATACTTGTGAGCCACCATACCATACCCTACCAAAATTGTTTTCTTTTTTTCTTTTTTTTTTTTGAGATGCAGTCTTACTTTGTTGCCCAGGCTGGAGTGCAATGGTGCGATCTCGGCTCACTGCAACCTCCGCCTTCCAGGTTCAAGTGATTCTTATGACTCAGCCTCCTTAGTAGCTGGGATTGCAGGTGTGTCGCACCACGCCCGGCTAATTTTTGTATTTTTAGTAGTCGGGTTTTCACCATGTTGGGCAGGCTGCTCTCAAACTCCTGACCTCAAGTGATCTGCTCGCCTCAGCCTCCCAAAGTGTTGGGATTACAGGTGTGAGCCACCGCCCAGACCCAAATTGTACTTCTATAAAATGAACAAGGACTTGAAAATTCTAGGCTGGGCGTAGTGGCTCATGCCTGTAATCCCAGCACTTTGGGAGGCCGAGGCAGGCGGATTCCTTGAACTCAGGGGTTGGAGACCAGCTTGGGCAAGAGGGCAAAACTCCATGTCTACAAAAAATACAAACAAAAAAAATTTAGGCCAGGAGTGGTGGCTCACGCCTGTAATCCCAGCACTTTTGAAGGCCGAGGCAGGCGGATCACAAGGTCAGAAGTTCGACACCAGCATGGCCAATATGGTGAAACCCTGTCTCTACTAAAAATACAGAAATTAGCCGGGTGTGGTGGCAGGCGCCTGTAGTCCCAGCTACTCAGGAGGCTGAGGCAGGAGAATAGCTTGAACCCGGGAGGCGGAGGTTGCAGTGAGCTGAGATTGCACCACTGCACTCCAGCCTGGGCAAAAAAAAAAAAAAAAAAAAAAAAAAAAAAAATTGGGAATGATAGTAAGAGGAAGATTAAAAAATGAAGGAGAAAAAAAGAAAATTTTAGTACAAAACAGCAAAACCATATGATTTCTTTTTTTTTTTTTTTGAGACAGAGTCTCGCTCTGTTGCCCAGGCTGGGGTGCAGTGGCGCGATCTTGCCTCACCGCAACCTCCACCTCCTGGGTTCAAGTGATTCTCCTGCCTCAACCTCCCGAGTAGTTGGGACTATAGGTATGTGCCACCACTCCCAGCTAATTTTCATATTTTTAGTAGAGAAGGAGTTTTGCCATGTTGTCCAGACTAGTCTCGAACTCCTGACCTCAAGTGATCCGCCCGCCTTGGCCTCCCAAAGTGCTGGGATTACAGGCGTGAGCCACCACACCCAGCCAAAACCATGTGATTTCAAAGCAGTGGTTAGCAAGGGGTTATAATGCAGAAATTATACATATAAACACACCTATAGTCATGTGCCACATAACAAAGTTTTGGTTAACGATGGACTGCATATATGGTGACGGTGGTCCCATTAGGTTATATATAGAGCTGAAAAATTCATATCGCCTAGTGACATTGTAGATGTCATAGGCATTGTAACATTGTAGTGCAATGCATTACTTTGTCTCTGTTTAGATATGTTTAGATACACAATATTTACCATTGTGTCACAGTTGCATGTCACATGCTGTACAGGTTTGTAGCGGAAAAATAGGCTACACCATATATCGTAGGCATATTCCTTTTTTGCAGAGGTTAGCTAAGTTAATAGTAATCGGTAAGATTAAGGGGATTAGGACTGTTATAGCAGTGGAAGAATACATGTTTGTTACTTTTATTTGGAGTTGCACCAATGTTTTTGGTTCCTAAGTCCAGTGGATGACTCTAGTCCTTTAAAAGTTGAGAAAGCCATGTTGTTAGACATGGGGACATGAGTTAGCAGTTGTCAGATACTTTCTCCATAGATAAGAAGTTGCAGGCTAGAGCCTAGGCTCTACCATCTAGGTTTGTGTAAGTCACACAAGGATGAAATCACCAAACGATGCATTTCTCAGAACATATCCCCATTGTTAAGCAACATATGACTGTATATATACATACACACACTAATACCTATATGTATATGTAGACATTATATATACATAAGGGTTTTAAATATGACGTTCCCTCAGTAATTTTAGAAAACGATGTTGGGGCCAGGCATGGTGGTTCACACCTGGAATCCCAGCACTTTGGGAGGCCGAGGTGGGTGGATCACTAGGTCAGGAGATTGATACCACCCTGGCTAACACAGTGAAACCCTATCTCTACTAAAAATACAAAAATTAGCCGGGCACGGTGGCTCATGCCTGTAATCCCAGCACTTTGGAAGGCCGAGATGGGCGGATCATGAGGTCGGGAGATGGAGACCATCCTGGTTAACACAGTGAAACCCGGTCTGTACTAAAAATACAAAAAAATTAGCCGGGCGTAGTGGTGGGCGCCTGTAGTCCCAGCTACTCGGGAGGCTGAGGCAGGAGAATGGTGTGAGCCTGGGAGGCGGAGCTTGCAGTGAGCCGAGATCGCTCCACTGCACTCCAGCCTGGGCGACAGAGTGAGACTCCTTCTCAAACAAACAAACAAACAAAAATTAGCCGGGCGTGGTGGCGGGCGCCTGTAGTCACTCGGGAGGCTGAGGCAGGAGAATGGGGTGAACCTGGGAGGCGGAGCTTGCAGTGAGCCGAGATAGCGCCACTGCACTCCAGCCTGGGGAACGGAGCAAGACTCCGTCTCAAAAAAAAAAAAAAAAAAAAGAAAACGATGTTGATTTTACTGAAGAGCTTGAAACGCATCACTAGCCAGCATTTACGGATGCCTGTTTGTAAAGCACTTGCATTGTACAGGTTCTCATAGGCTGAAGTGACTGGTGTTTGCAAATAAAGGAGAAAAGTAAATTATCCTTTAGTGATATCCTTTCTCTTCTCAATGCTTGTGAAATTTGAAGAAGTTTTCCCTTTGGGGACATTCCATGTCTTTTTCTTGTGGTTTGTGCAGAGAAAGGTGAACTCTGAAATGAGTCTACTTTTAATGTTTTCCAGCAGCACCAGATGAAGACAGTACAACCAATATAACAAAAAAGCAGGTAATTTAAAATTCTCTTTTCTGTTACTGGTTATGTGGGTAGAGCAGAGGTAAAATACGCGCCCTGTCTCACAGGTATAGACTGGTTATGTACCCAGTAAAAACCTTTTTTTGAGATTTTCAGATAATCCAAACTAAGTTAAAGTAATAATTATCTTCTGGAAGAAAAGACTAGGAAAACAGATGACACATTTTCCGGAACATGAATGATGTAGATATGTTTGCAGTTTGGAATGCAGAAGTGATTGTTACTTGAGGATCAAATGGCAGGACATCAAGAATTCCTGTGTCCAGATCCACAGTGCTCATATCTTGTCCATTCCATGTTTAAAAACATAAGCTGTGATTTCAGGTTCAGATGATTCTCCTGGGATTCTTGAGTTTACCTTATCACTACATTGGAGAAAATGTAAGTAAGTGGAGAGGAAAGGTGGTAATAAATCTTTTGGTTTTCTTTTGCAGAAGTGGACTGTAGAAGAAAGCGAGTGGGTCAAGGCTGGAGTGCAGAAATATGGGGAAGGAAACTGGGCTGCCATTTCTAAAAATTACCCATTTGTTAACCGAACAGCTGTGATGATTAAGGATCGCTGGCGGACCATGAAAAGACTTGGCATGAACTGAAACAGGCTTTCATTTCCACAGAATTCACAGGAGCATGGTTCCTAATAATAGCCCCTGATAGTCTGCTCTTTCTTTCTTTTTCTTTTTTTTTTTTTTTTGAGACAGAGTCTCGCTCTGTCACCCAGGCTGGAGTGCAGTGGCGTGATCTCGGCTCACTGCGACCTCCGTCTCCCGGGCTCACGCCATTCTCCTGCCTCAGCCTCCCGAGTAGCTGGGACTACAGGCGCCCGCCATCACGCCCGGCTAATGTTTTGTATTTTTAGTAGAGACGGGGTTTCACCGTGTTAGCCAGGATGGTCTCGATCTCCTGACCTCGTGATCCACCCAACTCGGCCTCCCAAAGTGCTGGGATTACAGGCATGAGCCACCGCGCCTGGCATCTGCTGTTTCTTTCAGAAGCTGGGCTGGGATGAGAATTTTGGGCAACCTCCTTCGACGTGGGGGAGGTCCCATTTCCACTTCATCACTGTTGGAGATCATGGAGCTAAGAAGCAGAGCCAAGTCCACCCATGTCCTTGGCAGAGATGACAGGCACACAGCTTGTGCAGTGCCAGAATATCATTAGCGTTTCCCTTCTTTAGTGGTTTGCTTAAATTTAAATCCCTGGTAATCTGTAGAACCTTCTCCTAGGAAATGGTGAAGTCTATTAGGAGCCACTTGTGACTCCATGACCTGTTAAAACCAGCAATGTGAGTATTATTTGGAGTAAATTTGTTCCACGTCAAGTTCTGGCCTTCTGATGCAAATGCAAAGGAACTTAGTCTGTTATGAACCCAGGTTGATGACAGACCAGTCCTTGTGGAATAAGATTCCCTTTAAAAACTCTTTAGCCAGTCGTGACATCAACCCTAGACCTGTCTGCCTTGGCATTTGCTGTCAACATCTGCTGGGCTATGTAGGCAGGTTAATCCTCCACTTCTCATGTGGTTGAACCAGTGTGTTTTTTGGTAAAATGGTGATTGTAGATAAGATTAGTTCCCTGATCCCCTGCCCCCTGTCCCCTGCCTCTTTTCCCAATTCCCTTCCTTATGCTGGACTTTTAAAGCTTAAAAAAAATCCGATTGAATATAAATGCCTAATTTCATTCTTTGTGAAATGGTTGCTTCCTCCTGATTCCCTAATTGTGCTGTGTTCGTGTCTTGCACTGGAATTCAACATTCCCTTCTCCTTTTGTACTGTGTTGTGCTTGCTGTCTCTCCCGGACACCCTTAAAGACTGTCTTTTTAGCAAAAAATTTCAGTAAAGTGTTTTCTGTAATCTTTTTTTAAAAGGTGAGAACTAATTATTGTCCATACTTGTAGCATTCTTCATTAAAGTCTTGCTTCTCTCAACTGTAAGTAGCTGTTTAATTGCAGCACAGCATGTATCCACAGAGGGAGGTAGCAAAATGTTAAACTTTGCTGAACTATTTTGATCAAGAAGCTGATGTCAGACTTTATTGAATGTTTTAATCCTTGGAAGCTATGTCAAACAGATGATATGGAAGTTTCCTCTTAACCTTTCAGTTTCCTCATATATCATTTCTGGGGACAAAAGAATTCCCCCTTTCTCACTTCTGAGTGAGTGAAAGGCAAGGCTTAAAGAAATGCTAAAGTTTTAAAATTCATCCATTAGGCCAGGCATGGTGGCTAATGCCTGTAATCCCAGCACTCTGGGAGGCCGAGGCAGGAGGATCACTTGAGGTCAGGAGTTCGAGACCAGCGCGGCCAACATAGTAAAACCCTATGTACTAAAAATACAAAAATTAGCTGGGCGTGGTGGCGGGTGCCTGTAATCCCAGCTATTCAGGAGGCTGAGGCACAAGAATCGCTTGAACTCGGGAGATGGAGGTTGCAACGAGCCAAGATCATGCCACTGCACTCCAGCCTGGGCAACAAAGCGAGACTCTATCTCAAAACAAAACAAAACTGGCTGGGAGCCATGGCTCACCCCTGTAATCCCAGCACTTTGCGAGGCCAAGAAGGGTAGGATCACCTGAGGTCAGGAGTTCAAGACCAGCCTGGCCAACATGGTGAAACCCCATCTCTACTAAAAATACAAAAACTTAGCCAGCCATGGTGGCAGGCGCCTGTAATCCCGACCTCTCGGGAGGCTGAGGCAGGAGAATTGCTTGAACTTGGGAGGCGGAGGTTGTGATGAGCGGAGATGGTGCCATTGCACTCCAGCCTGGGCAAAAAGAGCAAAACTCCTTCTCAAAAAAAAAAAAAAAAAGTTTAAAATTAAAAATTTTGAAAAATACAAAATTAGCCAGGCATGGTGGCAGGCGCCTGTAGTCCCAGCTACTCGGAAGGCTGAGGCAGGAGAATCGCTTGAACCGGGGAGGTGGCGGTTGCAATAAACCGAGATCGCACCACTGCACTCCAGCCTGGGTGATAGAGTGAGACTCCATCTCAAAAAAAAAAAAAATTCATCCATTAGTTACAAGTTGGAAACTTCATACAGCTTTATTACCTATTAACTGCATTTTGGGGTTTAGTACCTATTGTTCTTCTATCAACCAACCCCAACTGAAACCACAGGGAGAAGTTGAGAACTTGAGCTCCTTTCAGGCTAGCCGCCTTCTGCCTGCAGCTGGTTTGGTCTCCCTCTGAACCGGATTAGAATCCAGAAGCTTTTCTCCCCTTAACTCTCATGTGAGTCAATGGTGCTCTCCAGGTAGAGGAGTGAAACTGATGCATTTAGGGAAACAAAATATCCTAATCAGTGTTTCTTTTTATTTATTTATTTATTTATTTATTTATTTATTTATTTATTTATGAAATGGAGTCTCACTCTGTCACCCAGGCTGGAGTGCAGTGGTGCTATCTCAGCTCACTGCAAGCTCTGCCTCTGGGTTCACACCATTCTCCTGCCTCAGCCTCCTGAGTAGCTGGGACTACAGGCACCCGCCACCACACCTGGCTAATTTTTTGTATTTTTCGTAGAGATGGGGTTTCACCGTGTTAGCCAGGATGGTCTCGATCTCCTGACCTCGTGATCCGCCCACCTCAGCCTCCCAAAGTGCTGGGATTACAGGCGTGAGCCACCACACCCGGCATCAGTGTTTCTTAAACTTGAGAATGCCTATGTTCATTAATATTTTTTCACATAATTCAGTGTTGTTTTTATTATAGTTATTGAAATGTGTGCAAAGATAAAACTATGCTTACAGCTTCTGTAGAACTATAAAACTTACTATGAACTGACGATTGTTTCGCCGAAACCAAGTCACTGCTTATGGCATGACCAGTGCTAGGACTGCGACGGTGGTGGGACTCGGGTGGGGGATGCCTGTGCCACGTGTGCTGATAGAAGTTCCCAGACTCTTCTGTCACTTGAGCAAGACTGCCATAGAGCCACTGTGCTCCCAGAGTGCTGTGCTGTCATTTGGCCTTTGCTAGAACTGAACCCCATGTATAGAGTCTGTTTTCTGCCTACTTAGCTTGTGACACTTTGAGTCAATGCAAATAATTGCTGGAAGGTGTTAATGCTGTTTTGTTTTTTGTTTTTTAAGATTATGACTAAGGCTAGGCACGGTGGCTCACACCTGTAATCCTAGCACTTCAGGAGGCCAAAGCATGGGGATCACTTGAGCCCAGGAGTTTGAGACCAGCCTAGGCAACATGGCAAAACCTCATCTCTACAAACAATACAAAAATCAGCCAGGTGTGGTGGTGCACTCCTGTGGGTCCAGCTACTTGGGAGGCTGAGGTGGGAGGATCGTTTGAGCCCAAGGGGGTGAGGCTGCAGTGAGCTATGTTTGTGCCACTGCACTCCAGCCTGGAAGACAGAGTGATACCATCTCAAGGAAGCAAAAAAAAAAAAAAAAAAAAAAGATTAGGACTGAAAAATGGTTAGGCAGTGTCAGAACTCAGAGACTGACAGCTTGAGAATGAGAAACACTGTCCTGCCTGGTGGTTAAGAGCATGAGCCCCCACCGGGGACCCAGCTCTGCCAGGTGTGCTTGTGGGAGCGTGAGCCACCACTGGAATCTCTGAATGTCTGTGTCCTCATCTCTAATGCCAGAGCTCACAATACCTCCCTTGCAGGGCTATTGTGAGAATAAAATAAGATGCAGGTAAATCTTAGCTCAGTGCCTGCCATGAAGGAGGTGGGTGTTGAAATCATGAATAAAAGAATAAAGATTAAGGATGTGAATAATATAATTGTCTTTAAGTGGGTTCTGGATAGTTTTTTCCCCCATGGGTGCTGAAGAAGTCCTGAATAAAAGAAAGATCAAGGCTGGGCGTGGTGGCTCATGCCTGTAATCCCAGCATTCTGGGAGGCCGAGGCGGGTGGATTACTTGAGGTCAGGAGTTCGAGACCAGCCTGGCCAACATAGTAAAACCCTGTCTCTACTAAAAATTCAAAAATTAGCCGGGCATGGTGGCAGGCACCTGTAATTCCAGCTACTCAGGAGGCTGAGGCAGGAGAATCGCTTGAACCGGGGAGGTGGAGGTTGCAGCGAGCAGAGATCGTGCCACTGCACTCCAGCCTGGGTGACAAAGCTACGCTCCATCTCAGAAAAAAAAAAAAAAAAAAAAAAAAAGATTGAGGCTTTGGATAATATAATTGTCTTTCAGTGGGTTTGGATAGCTTTAGGTGACCGTTAGGTGAAAGGCATCAGGACGAGGACTGTCAGTGGAGGGGTCTAAGCACCATCCTCTGGCACTGTATTCATCCATTTACATCTTTGCACACACATGCTGTGATTTGCTCTGAGCTGCAGCATTGGGGAGAGAGAAGTGTTGCCCCATGTGTTTATAGGAGCAATTTGATGTAAGAGAACAATCCCCCCAGCCAACTTTTTGTCAGTGTATTCAGAAGTTGTAAACTTACCCACTATTATATCCCCAAGAAGCAGGAACTAAAAAATGACAGCCCTAATGAAGGGTGGAAAGACCTCTTCTGAGGTGGTAGATTCTATGTAGCACCCATGAAGTAGGTTTGGTAAGCCACTGAGTTTTTGAGGTGAAAGCAAAATTTCCTCCTGCGAGCCAAACATGGGAGTATCATGGCAGTTCTATGATGAATATCTATGTGTGGCCCTGAAATGGGCCGTAATGTGACTTGTGGAGTTAATCATTAGCCCAGCGGTTGTCTGAACGACTTGATTTCCCTGGGCTGCGAGCAGTTCACCTGCAGAGGAGGCTCCAGAAAGCGGCATGTCCCCTTTGCTCTTTGGGGCTGGGCTGGTCGTTCTGAATCTAGTGACGTCTGCCAGGAGCCAGAAGACAGAACCTCTAAGTGGCTCTGGGGACCAGCCACTCTTCCGTGGAGCTGATCGATATGACTTTGCCATCATGATACCTCCAGGAGGCACGGAATGCTTTTGGCAATTTGCCCACCAGACTGGATACTTCTATTTCAGTTACGAGGTATGTGGGTGACTGGCCATACTGGGGGGCTTTTTTTTTTCTCCTTTACTCATAAAGTGGGTCAGGTTTTAGGCCAAAACAAGGTCTGGTTGTCTTTATTATGCTGTGATTCCCCACCTGTTAATGAAATGGACCTGCAGTTAGAGGGAAACTCCAGCTGGGTGAATAATCACCAACAGGAGCTAAAACATATGGTTTGGCTTCTTACATCAGGGGCCATGCTCAAAGCCATGGGGCAGACGGGGTGCCTCTCCCTGAAGAGGTAATCATTACATGTACTCGGATTTGGGGATGAGAGGGGAGAGAATACATTTTTAATATATTAAAACAAAATTGGATAATGGTGCTTTGGAGACTGATCCAGAGATTTCAAAGAAGGCTGCTTCAGCTTATGGGGTGGGGGAGTAAAGGTTCTGCTGCCTTTAGGAGCAATTCTGGCAAGTCAGAGATTCACTAGGTCAAGTTTTTTGTATTCGGCCAGTTAATCCTATTTTTTTTTTTTAGGACGGTAAGTGTTTTCAAGTTACTTATTCAAAGGTCAAGTACTTTTACCCATACTATGGTCTTATATCATGCTGTCCAAGGATGGTGAACTCAGTATGAAAGTTAGAGGCTGTTCATTTCCTTTGTTCTTTATCTTAGAAATCGGTTAACTTTCTAATTTTTGTTTACATAGTAATAGACTTTGTTGATCTTACTCCACTGTAACAACATTTATTTTAAATAAACTTATCAGAGACTTTTCTTACCTCTGAATTTCTATTAGAACAGCAGCCACTACTAAGCTCACTGTGGCCTGGCCTAATCAAGATCTAGCTTGGGAGCAAGTGTCCATGGAGTGCTTGTTGTAGGTGTGCACTGCCAAGCAGCAAATGCCCAAATCTGGGACATCATTGGGGAGCTCAACCACCAAGCAAGTTCATTCAAGAACTCTACAGCCAGGCCGGGTGCGGTGGCTCACATCTGTCATCCCAGCACTTTGGGAGGCTGAGGCAGGCGGATCACCTGAGGTCAGGAGTTCGAGACCACCTTGGCCAATATGGTGAAAACGCATCTCTACTAAAAATACAAAAATTAGCCGGGCTTGGTGGCATGTGCCTGTAATCCCAGCTACTTGGGTGGCTGAGGCAGGAGAATCGCTTGAACCTGGGAGGTGGAGGTTGCAGTGAGCCAAGATCACTGCACTCCAGCCTGGGTGACAGAGCAAGACTCCGTCTCAAAAAAAATAAAAAATTCTACAGCCAGAATCGTACTTTTTTTTTTTTTTTTTTGACAGAGTGTTGCTCTGTCGCTCAGGCTGGAGTGCAGTGGCATGATCTCGAGTCACTGCAATCCCTGCCTCCCGGGTTCAAGCAATTCTCCTGCCTCAGCCTCCAAAGTAGCTGGGATTATAGGCGCACGCCACCATGCCAGGCTAATTTTTGTATTTTTTAAGTAGAGACAGGGTTTCACCATGTTAGCCAGGCTGGTCTCGAACTCCTGACCTTGTAATCTGCCCACCTCGGCCTCCCAAAGTGCTGGGATTACAGGCGTGAGCCACCGCGCCCGGCCCAGAATCATACATTTTAGTGGATCCACACTAGCTGTGTGTTCCGAGCAAGGCATGTCTTCTTCACACGGGTGCTGTTGGCATTCTGGGCAGTTCTTTGTCCTGCTGTACTGTTTCTTACATTGCAGACGTTCAGCAATGCTGTGCTGCCTCCCCTTAACACCATCACTGTGATACCTCAGAATCCTCCAATCAACTCCAAACCCCAGCAGGGGGTTGGGCAGTCCCACCCCAGACAGAGACCGCTGTGCTGATGACCGTGGGACGTCAATCTTACCACTCAGCTGGCTTCCTCGTGATGTAGCAGGGGTTCTGCTACCTATTTAATGTGTCTTGGCAGGTTCAGCGGACAGTGGGGATGTCACATGACCGGCATGTTGCTGCCACGGCACATAACCCACAGGGATTTCTCATAGACACCTCCCAGGGTGTTCGGGGCCAGATTAACTTCTCTACCCAAGAGACAGGTCTGTTTTCATTACCATGGCTATTATAATAATCATAGGGTCCTATGAAATTACAGAAATAATGAGGAAGTATACAGAGATGTTTTAACAGTAGGAAAAAAATTCAGCCTTTAACACCAAAAACCAGTGTTCCTGGAGGCTGCTGACCTCCAAGGATGCCAAGTGGCAGTCTACTGACGATTTGGGGGCAACACTCCAGGTGAGCATTCTAAGTCTAGGGTTCAGCCGCTCAATTTTATCTCATCATCTCCAGTTAATCAGATTCTGGGAAAGTGACCAAAAAACAGAGACCCATTTATAATACAGAATTCCAATTAACAAATGGATTACAGGGAAGCATGTCTTTCCAGTCATCAGAATATTTGAGTCAGTTACTAAAAGCAGATTCAGAACAAAAGAAAATGCATGATATCCATGTGAGATATCCACACTCCACAGCAAAGCACTCCTCCAGCCAGGTCAAGCCTGTCCCACTTTGGAGAGCAGCAGTGTCTTAACTGCCCTCTTTAATAGCCAGCTGCACTAAAAAAGACATTTTCTCAACAGGGGCATCAGACAGTCCTTCACTATGAAGCACAGCATGTGTATCAGTGTTAAAAGATCTTGAACAGGCTGGGCGTGGTGGCTCACACCTGTAATCTCAGCACTTTGGGAGGCCAAGGTGGGCGGATCACCTGAGGTCAGGAGTTTGCGACCAGCCTGACCAATATGGTGAAACCCCGTCTCTACTAAAAATACAAAAATTAGCTGGGTGTGGTGGCAGGCGCCTGTAATCCCAGCTACCTGGGAGGCTGAGGCAAGAGAATTGCTTGAACCTGGAGGCAGAGACTGCAGTGGGCCGAGAGCGCGCCATTGCACTCCGGTCTGGGCAACAGAGCGAGACTCGTCTAAAAAAAAAAAAGATCTTGAACATCTTTGGCCCCTACATGCCAGTAGTGCCTTCCAATCATTTTGACTTTCAAACACTGCCACACCTTTCTAATCCCACCCCACCCATCTTCTACCGGTCCTCTCCACCTTGCTCCTTCCCACCCGCTCCCCACCCCGCGCCCCCCTCCCCCCCGCACACACAAAGGGAGGCAACCCCAGCCCCAACAGATATAACCAAACCATGAGTCACTGTACACACCGCCTTGGAGGCAATCACTCCAGGAGAGCTGCTTTCATGCACTATGCATCTATTTTTTTTTTTTGTCTTTCCTAATTTCAAGTTCAAGATGGTGTCCCTAGCTTTAATTGTATACAAGGACCAGGCAAACACCATGCTCTTAACTTCAACTCAATCTGTTGAGCAGGAGTTCCTTAATACAAGATGTGGGAATTATATGTTAAAGAGAAAACATTGTTTGCCACTACCCAGTATGGAAAGAACGAGTTACTAAAATTTGGCCAAATATAATAAGTAATATTTAGTATAAGTTTAACATAAGGTCCGTGTCTTCCATGTCAAAAACGGGATCTTTGTACTTTCTAAGTAAAAAGAAGGTCCTGTAGTAGAATTCCAAAACTAGAGGACAGATACCTCCAGGGAATCCTTAACAAAGGGGAGGAGACCAAAGACTTGGTAATGATCTAAGAATTCCTACAGGTTTTTATCAGCTTTGTCTAAGTAATCAGCATAATCACTTCGGTTCTGTGCAAGTGTACCTCAACTTTGGGGTCTTCTATGAGGGGCCTGAGACTGATCACAAACAGAAGGAAAGAAAACAACTGAATGATACTCTGGATGCAATTGAGGTAAGGAAGTGTTTTGTGGAAGAGAAACATCTGTGGAAACTGATTTTTAACTTCAGAGGGAAGATGACTTCATTTAGGTAGAAACCAAACAGGCAAGGGGATGTGAATTTCTTCATAAATTATGACTTGGCTGGGCACGGTGGCTCACGCCTGTAATCCCAGCACTTTGGGAGGCCGAGGTGGGTGGATCACCTGAGGTCAGGAGTTCGAAACCAGCCTTTCCAACATGGTGAAACCCTGTCTCTACTAAAAATACAAAAATTAGCTGGGCGTGGTGGTGCGCACCTGTAATCCCAGCTACTCGGAAGGCTGAGGCAGGAGAATCGCTTGAACCCTGGGAGGCAGAGGTTGCAGTAAGCCGAGATCACGCCACTACACTCCAGTCTGGGATACAGCAAGACACCGTCTCAAAATAAATTACGACTTGAAGCTCTTGAAATTCCATCTTCGTTTTATACCAAGGGTTGGCAAACTATGTATGGCTGACAGGCCAAATCTGGCCCATTGCCTGTTTTTCTTTAAATTGAGATATAATTCATACACCGTACACCATCTAAAAGTGTGTAAGTCAGTGGTTTTTTAGTATATTCACAAGGCTGTGCAACTATCAGCATCTAATTCTGGAAGTTTATCACCCACCCCACCCTCAAAATCCCACTCCCCATTAGTCATTCTCCATTCTATTACCCCAGGCCTGCCTATCACTGTTCTACTGTCTCTATAGATTTACCTATTCTATACTTAATTTTTGAGACAGGGTCTCACTCTTGTCCAGGCTGCAGTGTGCAGTGGCTTGATCACAGCTCACTGCAGCCTCAACCTCCTGCGCTCAAGCAATCCTCCCACCTCGGCTTGCCAAAGTGCTCAGATTCAGCACTTTGAGCCACTGAGCTGAGATTACTCAGCATTATGAGCTACTGTGCCGAGATTAATCAGCACTTTGAGCCACTGTGGCTGGCCTCTATACACTTTATTTAAATGGAATCACACAGTACATGGGATTTTGTGACTGGCTTATTTTTATTATTTTTTGAGACGGAGTTTTGCTCGTTGTCCAGGCTGGAGTGCAATGGCGCAACCTCAGCTCACTGCAACCTCTGCCTCCAGGGTTCAAGTGATTCTCCTCCTCCCAAGTAGCTGGGATTACAGGCACCTCTCACCATGCCCGGCTAATTTTTGCATTTTTAGTAGAGACAGGGTTTCACCATGTTGGCCAAGCTGGTCTCAAATTCCTGACCTCAGGTGATTGGCCCGCCTCGGCCTCCCAAAGTGCTGGGATTACAGGTATGAGCCACCGCGCCCAGCCAAGACTGGCTTCTTTAATTTAGCATGTTCTCAACGTTCATCCATGTTGTAGCATGTATCAGTACTTTTCTTTTTATGGCTGAATAATACTCTCTTTTATGGATACACATTTTATTTATCCATTCATCAGTTAATGGACATGATGGATATTTAGGTTTTTCCACCTCTTGGCTATCATAACGTGGCTATGGACATTTGCATGCAAGTTTTTGTGTTAGCATGTTTTCATCTGTGTATACCTGAAAGTGGAATTACTGGAGACTGTTTACCACAGTGGCTAAACCATTTTAAACTCTTGCTAGCAGTGTATGAAGGTTCTAATTTCTCTACTTCCTCATCAACACTTATTTTTTGTTACAGTCATCCTAGTGGGTGTGAAATGTTATCTTGTGGTTTTGAGTTGCATTTCCCTAATGATTAATAATGTTGAGCATCTTTTCACGTGCGTATTGGCCATCTCTCTTCTTTGGAGAAATGTCTGTTCGAGTCCTTTGCCCATTTTAGGCCAGGCCAGTTGGCCCAACACCTGTAATCCCAGCACTTTGTGAGGCTGAGGTAGGATAGCTTGAGCCCAGGAGTTTGAGACTAGCCTGGGAAACATGGTAAGACCCTGTCTCTACAAACAAAACAACTTTTTAAATGACCCGGGTGTGGTGGCACATACTTGTGGTCCCAGCCACTCGGGAGGCTTAGGTAGAATTGCTTGAACCCAGGATGTCAAGGCTGTGACAGTGAGACCCTATCTCAAAAAAATGAAAATCCTTTGCCCATTTTACTTTTTTTTTTTTTTTTTTTTTTTTTTTTGAGAGAGTCAGTCTGTCGTCCAGGCTGGAGTGCAGTGGTGTGATCTCGGCTCACTGCAACCTTTGCCTCCTGGGTTCAAGTGATTCACCTGCCTCAGCCTCCTGAGTAGGTGGCATTACAGCCACGTGCCACCACGCCCACCTACATTTTGTATTTTTAGTAGAGACGGGGGTTTCACCATGTTGGTCAGGCTGGTCTTGAACTCCTGACCTTGTGATCTGTCCAGCTCAGCCTCTCAAAGTGCTGGGAATACAGGCGTGAGCCACCGCACCCTGCCTGAATTGTCTTTTTATTGTTGAATTTTGTTTATATATTCTGGATACAAATCCCTCCTAAGATATGTGAGTTGCAGATATTTTCTCCCATTCTGGCAATGTCTTTTCACTTTCTTTTTTCTTTTTTGAGACGGAGTTTCATTCTGTCTCCCAGGCTGGAGTGCAGTGGCGTGATCTTGGCTCACTGCAACCTTTGCCTCCTAGGTTCAAGCGATTCTCCTGCCTCGGCCTCCTGAGTAGCTGGGACTACAGGCGTGTGCCACAATGCCCAGCTAACTTTTGTATTTTTATTTATTTATTTATTTATATTTTTTTGAGACAGAGTCTCGCTTTGTCACCTAGGCTGGAATGCAGTGGCACAATTTTGGCTCACTGCAACCTCCGCCTCCCGGGTTCAAGTGATTCTTATGCTTCAGTCTCCCAAGTAGCTGGGATTACAGGCGGGTGCCACCACGCCTGGCTAATTTTTGTATTTTTAGTAGAGATGGGGTATCACTATGTTGGCCAGGCTGGTCTTGAACTCCTGACTTCAGGTGATCTGCCCACCTTGGCCTCCCAAAGTGCTAAGATTACAGGAACGAGCCACCGTGCCCGGCCACTTTTCACTTTCTTTTTTTCTTTTTTTTTTGTTGAGACAAAGTCTTGTGCTGTCGGCCAGGCTGGAGTACAGTGGCACGATCTCAGCTCCCTGCAACCTCTGCCTCCCGGGCTCAAGCAGTTCTCCTGCCTCAGCCTCCCGAGTAGCTGGGATTACAGGCGTGTGCCACCACACCTGGCTAATTTTTGTATTTTTAGTAGAGACGGTGTTTCACCATGTTGGCCAGGCTGATCTTAAACTCCTGATCTCAGGTAATCCGCCCGTCTCGGCCTCCCAAAGTGCTGGGATTACAGGTATGAGCCACTGCACCCGGCCACTTTTCACTTTCTTAATAGTCTCTCCTAAATGCACAAAAGCTCACTGCCTGTTTTTGTAAATGGAAGTTTTCTTGAAACACAGCCATGCTCATTTGACAATTACATATTGTCTGTGGCTGCTTTTGTACTACAATGGCAAGAGTTCAGCAGTCACAGGGGCCTGCAAAGCCAAAAATATTTACCATCTGGCCTTTTAATAAAAAGTCCACAGGCCCTTGTCTTCTACCATATACAGAGAACATAAAACATCACCTGGAATGGTAACGACATGCTGAGTACATCTAAATCTAGAGGTCCTCTGGAAGAGCTCTCTAGTTTGAGTACTGAAGTTTTCCATTATTTAAAAACAAAACAAAAGGCCGGGGCAGTGGCTCATGACCATAATCCCAACACTTTGGGAGGCCAGTGTGGGTGGATCTCTTGAGCCCAGTAGTTCGAGATGAGCCTGGGCAACATGGCAAAACCCTGTCTCTACAATAAAAAAAAAAAAAAATTAGCTGGGTGTAGTGGCATGTGCCTGTAGTCCCAGCTACTAGGGAGGCTGAGGTGGGAAGATCACTTGAGCGCAGAAGGTTGAGGCTGCAGTGAGCTGTGACTGCGCCACTGTACTCCTGCCTGGGCAAACAAGTGAGACCCTGTCTCATAAAACAAAAACAAAAATTTTAAACTCAAATCCAGACCATATTTCATACATAGCAAACACAACATTTAACAACTATCATTGTATTGTACATCTTAAAATCATATGGGTAAATTATTTGACTTGAGATAGGTTAGTGCTAGTGAGCGCTCAGGTGAGGCTAGATGGGGGTTTGGAAGAATCCCCCTTAAAATTGTCTCTCTCATAGGACGGCACACAAAAGGTGCAGAACAATATCTTTCACATGTGGCGATACTACAACTTTGCCCGGATGAGGAAAATGGCTGACTTTTTCCTTATCCAATCAAACTATAACTACGTGAACTGGTGGTCGACAGCCCAGAGCCTTGTTATTATTCTTTCTGGGATCCTGCAACTGTATTTCTTGAAGCGTCTCTTCAATGTTCCAACAACTACAGATACAAAGAAGCCAAGATGCTAAGCTAAGGTGACTATAGCACCCTGGCTGTTTTCTTCTGGGGCTTAGTCGAATCAGCTTTGTAATGTTATGGGACAAAAATCAATTATCTCATTAATGTTTTAGTCTGCTGCACACATCTAAAAAAGCAAAATGGCAATAAAATCATAACAGTGAAAAAGTTCTGAAGAAGTATGTATTAAATGTATGCATCAAAATACTGTTCATCATATAGCAGTCCCTTAGCCTTCACTGAGTCTACTTAGAGGCTAACAGAAAACCTTAGAAGGAAGATGAGTTGAAAAAGGCCACAATCAAGTTTGCTTACATATAAAAGCAGGAGTTGGTAATGTTTTATTCTTAAAGACTTCACCTTTGGAACTTAAAATAAGCAATATATTCATTAAAGAAATAGTTTAATTTTGCAATACAGATAGTCTTTAAATTTTTTGTCTATAAAATATTTAAAGAAATATTCTAAGGATCTTAAAGTAACTTTGGGAGGCACGGGGAAGGACAAAGGGACTGAATTTTTATGTCGTGGCCTCTGATCAGTGCTTTTAGTCCAATCCAGTCAAGTAAGTAAAGGTTCATAGAAAAAATTGTTTTATAAAATCATAGTGATGAAAAAAACTTTCCAGCCTAGCGTCATCCCATCCAAGAAAAATACTGAGAAAACAGCTTGTAAAAAAGAAGGTAATAAAATCAAATTATACTCATAAAACTCTACACTTAATAACAGGAATACATAATATATATAATATAAAAATAATTACCATTTATTCCATACCTATCATTTCCAAGGCACTGTACACTGTACTAGATGCTTTACAATCAGATGGAGTCTCACTCTGTCACGCCCAGGCTGGAGTGCAATGGCACCATCTTGGCTCACTGCAAGCTCTGCTTCCCCAGTTCAAGCCATTCTCCTGCCTCAGCCTCCCAAGTAACTAGGACCACAGCCATGTGTCACCACACCTAATTTTTTTTTTTTTTTTAGTAGAGATGGGGTTTCACCATGTTGGCCAGGCTGGTCTCAAACTCCTAACCTCAAGTGATCCGTCCGCCTTGGCCTCCCAAAGTGCTGGGATTACAGGCGCGAGCCACTGTGCCCAGCCTACAATCATGATTTCTAATTCCAAAAATCAGACTTTCTAATTCTCAGGTAGATGGCCAAAGCTGATTTTCAAGTTTTGTGTCTTTTTAAACAGAAGAAAATGAACCTTATTAAAGCTGAATGACTCATTCAAGGCCATATAGCTGGTAGGTGGCAGAAGTGGGGTTTGAACCCGTTTTTCTTCTATACCACACACCAATTACTGTATAGAAAAATAGCTGAATTGCTCCTATTAGCCAAATTTCATTTTTAAAACCCCACATGTGGTTTATTATTCTGTTATGGCAATGTCTATGTTGCATATTAATAAAAAAGAAAATCCTTGTGTTTAGAAAACAGTGTTATCACAGATAACAATAAGCTATTCTTGTTCCTGGTTCCAATGATTTTGAACCTATTTCTCAGAACAAGAAGCCCTCTGATTCAAATATGAAACAGTATTCTATTTCGTCACAAAGATCTGAAACCCCATTTTTGAGCCATCTCTGTATATAATAAGAATCCAGCCTGCATTTGTCAGTGATAGAGAGTACAGTAAATAAGAAGTCCCTGAAGAGGCCAGAGTGTTGACAAAATTCAACATGATGGTGGAGTCCACACAAACACAGGAAACAAAGCTCGGCCTTTCCATACAGCCGTCTGTCCTTGGAATGGCTTCGTTTTAAGTCAACGTCTCTTCATGCCGCACATATTCCCCAATGTCTGCTTGATGAAATACCACAATCGCCATGGGGTCTACTTTTCTGCAGTCTTGTGTAGATTTGGCTGCCACCCCAAAACCCTGGGATTCAAAAGAAGAGACACTAACTCACTGAAGTCATTCAATATGCCCATATTGAGGGCTGGAAATAACAAAGACGGAAAAAATACAGTTCTGGTCTTTCTGGGATTCAAAACGTGCTGAGAATTTATTCTCTCAAGCACTCAGATTGAAGACATACCCTTCTTGAATAAGAGTACTTGAGTTCTGTAACAGCTACCATCTCTACTCACCAAAGGGATGTCTGCCATGGAGTACACCACCACGCCCTGGTACTGAGAAGTATTTTCAGTGATTCGACCCAGACCAGATTTCAACACATGGTTCCCATACAGGAAGGACTGCTCTGCACCAGGCTTTATCCAAACTTTATACTATAAGAGAATTAAAATCCAAGAGACATAAAAACGTTACTATTTCTATCCATGCAGACAAGCTAGCTGCTGGATCTGTGAATAATTTTCTGAAATAATTTTAAGGGAAACAGAGAGACTCATGTTTTCCTCAAACTGTCTATCTCCTGAACAGAAATGCAGGAAGTTGCCCGGTGCAGTGGCTCACGCTTGTAATCCCAGCACTTTGGGAGGCCAAGGCAGGTGGATCACTTGAGGCCAGGAGTTCGAGACCAGCCTGGCCAACACAGTGAAACACTGTCTCTACTAAAAACACACAAAAAAATCAGCCAGGTGTGGTGGCACATGCCTGTAATCCCAGCTACTGAGGCACAAGAATCACTGGAAACTGGAAAGTGGAGGCTGCAGTGAGATCGCACCACTGCACTCTAGCCTGGGCGACAGAGTGAAACTGTGTCAGGAAGAAAGAGAAAGAGAAATGAAAAGAAAAAACAGAGCAAGAAAGAAAAAGAAAAAAATAGAAAAAGTTATTTTCTCAACTCTACAAGGATCATCCTCCATGGCCAGGTTAACAGCTCTTTTTCTGGACCCCGGTGTCTTCATTGCTGCCACTTATTTGCTTTCTGATCTCTAGCTGGGTCTCCCTAGGCTCTTCTACTTCGCTGGAGAAAACTAACCCTACGCAGCCACATAGCATTCCTATCCCATAGCCCTGACCATGCTCAAGCTGCAAGACCTCTACACATCTCCATGTGCTGAAACTCCTCCAAGCACACTGTCAGGGACTCTGTGGGAGAGAAGCTGCCGGACAATCTGCCTAATCCTTGACTTCATCGCCCGTGGCAGAATTGGAAACCGCCCCACAAACCTTGGCATAAGGTGCAAGGTAATCCAGAGCTGTGACGTGCAACCGAAACTTGTGGGTTTTAGTGAATTTTCCAAAGCAGGTCCCCAGCGACACCAGCTTGTCCCCGGAAATATTGGCGGCCAGCTTCATAATCTTCTCACTAAAAGGGTAAAGGGGGAGCAAGGTTGCGGATG
This sequence comes from Homo sapiens, assembly GCF_000001405.40. Taxonomy (NCBI): domain Eukaryota; kingdom Metazoa; phylum Chordata; class Mammalia; order Primates; family Hominidae; genus Homo; species Homo sapiens. The sequence continues at coordinate 69,340,159 of NC_000016.10, read as the reverse complement.
AAGGAGGCTCGTGGGACCCAGGACCCCTCTCCCCTGGGTCCATGCTGCCTGCCCGGCCCCGCCTCACCTCACATAGTACACCCGGTCGTTGTGCAGACGGAAACAGTAGGTGCCATCGGGCCGGTCCACCAGCAGTTGAAGATTCTCCCCAATGCTGAGGGCAAAAAGAGGACTGGAGACCGCGCCCGAACGAACCGGTCTCCGGCACCGCGCCCCCACTCCACCCTTGGCCACCACACCCACACACTCCCGCGTCCGCCCCGCGCGCTCCTACTATTTCGCTATCTTCTCAAACATGACACGGGTCTCCTCTTCAGTCAAAGGCCGCATTTTTCCCCCTGGGTTGGAACACCGGATCCTCGTGCCTTGGTAACTGGAAACGGAAGTCGGTCGCTCGCTGCTCCCCGGCAATCCCAAAGCCTTCCTCTCTAGCCCCGTACCAATAGTTCGTCTCGCTAGCGCCCAATAGTCTGGACGACCGCAGGGGAAAGCAAGCCGGCCGGATGAGAAAGCATAGAGACCGGAAATGTGCCTGTTTCTTCCTGTCCTAAGTTCGGAGTCAGCGCCCCTTGTGGTCCGGAAGGGAAGTGACGTTGTTGCTGGGAAGATGGCGACCGCGGCGACTATCCCATCGGTAGCCACGGCCACAGCAGCGGCTCTCGGCGAGGTGGAGGATGAAGGGCTCCTGGCGTCGCTGTTCCGGGACCGCTTCCCCGAGGCCCAGTGGCGCGAGCGGCCCGATGTGGGCCGCTACCTCCGGGAGTTGAGCGGCTCGGGGCTGGAGCGGCTGCGGCGCGAGCCCGAGCGCCTGGCGGAGGAGCGGGCGCAGCTGCTGCAGCAGACGCGCGACTTGGCCTTCGCTAACTACAAGACCTTCATCCGCGGCGCCGAGTGCACCGAGCGCATCCACCGCCTGTTTGGCGACGTGGAGGCGTCGCTCGGCCGCCTGCTCGACCGTTTGCCCAGCTTCCAGCAGAGCTGCAGGTGCGACGCGCCTGGCGCTAAAGGGGTTTTATAACTGTAAAAGCTGACATTTACGATGGTAGAAATAACTAACACATAAAGCGTTTACCACGTTCCAGGTTCTCTGCTGAGCGCTTTATTAATCCATTTAAACCTCACAACAGCCTTCGAGATAGGTACTGTTATTCCTTTTTTATCTTTTTTGAGACGGAGTCTCGCCCTGTCGCCAGGCTGGAGTGCAGTGGCGAGATCTCGGCTCGCTGCAACCTACCTCTGCCTCCTGGGTTCAAGCGATTCTCCTGCCTCAGCCTCCTGAGTAGCAGGGACCATAGGCGCGCGCCACCACGCCCAGCTAATTTTTTTGGATTTTTAGTAGAGACGGGGTTTCAGCATGTTGGCTGGGATGGTCTCGATCTTTTGATGTCGTGATCTGTCCGCCTCGGCCTCCCAAAGCGCTGGGATTACAGGCATAATCCACTGCGCCCAGCCCTGTTATTTCCATTTTACATATGAGCAAGTCAAGACAGAGATTAGTGACGTCCAAGGACACAGCTAGGAGGTTTCGAATTCAGAACTGGTTACCCAGAAGCACGTCCCTCCCTCGAAGGGCAGTTGTGGGCACAAAGAAAAAGGATTCATGCAAAGCTCTTATTATCGGGTCTGACACAGTTAACATTATAGGTGTGAGCTGAATATATGTGCACATTTATATACTTATTTTATACGAAAGCGTGGACCGGAGGTCATCTGCTTCAAAACTTCCATTGACGGGAAGGTGACAAGGAAATCCTCGCATTTGAGGGCATCAGATATCAAAAAGTCTCTCCATTTGGATGGCTGGATGTGGTGGCTCAGCCTGTAATCCCAGCACTTTGGGAGCCTGAGGCTTGAACCCAGGAGTTCGAGAGCAGCCTGGCCAACATGGCAAAACCCTGTCTCTATAAAATAAAAAATTAGCTGGTCGTGGTGGCGTGCGCCTGTAGTCCCAGGTACACAGGAGGTTGAGGTGGGGGGGTCAGTTGGGCCCGGGAGATTGAGGCTGCAGTGAGCCATGATTGTGCCACCGCACTCCAGTTTGGGAGGTCGAGGCTGCGGTGGGCTGTGATTGTGCCACTGCATTCCAGACTGGGTGACAAAGTGAAACTCTCTTAAAAAAAGAAAAAAAGGCTGGGTGCGGTGGCTCACACCTGTAATCCCAGCACTTTGAGAGGCCAAGGCAGGCGGATCACGAGGTCAAGAGATCGAGGCCATCCTGGCTAACATGCTGAAACCCCCATGTCTACTAAAAATACAATTAGCTGGGCGTGGTGGCACGCGCTTGTAGTCCCAGCTACTCGGGAGGCTGAGGCAGGAGAATTACTTGAACCTGAGAAGCGGAGGTTGCAGTGAGCCAAGATGATGCGTGCCACTGCACTCCAGCCTGGTGACAGAGCAAGACTCCGTCTCAAAAAAAAAAAAAAAAGTCCTTTGTGAGTCATATTCTGTCTCCATTATCCCTAGTTCTGCCTTCCAGCCTTTCATGATTAAAGTTTAATTTTTCTTTTGAGCCTTTGGATATTTGACAGCAGCTTTTGTACCCTTCCATGCTCCAGAATAGATAGGGGACTTGATAAAGCAGGTCTCTGCAAATATGGAGAAGTGTTGAAAGTAGACTGTGGCAGGAACTATGGTTGAACATTAGCATAGGAGAAGATGAAGACCTGAGGGGAAAGATTGTGGATTCTAGGCAGTTAGTGCTTCATTTTGAAAATAATGATAGCTACTGTTAAATATTTAACTGTGTCTCTTTTACTATTTTTACTTTGACGCATTCGCTCTGTTTCAAGTTCTATGTTAAATGCTTCACACACATCATCTCATTTAGTTCTTACACCCTTATGAGGAGGGTCCTATATACTTTTTTTTTTTTTTTTTTTGAGACGGAGTCTTGCTTTGTTGGCCAGGCTGCAGTGCAGTGGCGCCATCTCTGCTCACCGCAACCTCCACCTCCTGGGTTCAAGTGATTCTCCTGCCTCAGCCTCCTGAGTAGCTGGGACTACAGGCGCGCACCACCATGCCTGGCTAATTTTTTGTATTTTTAGTAGAGATGGGGTTTCACTTGAACTCCTGGCCTCAAGTGATCCGCCCACCTCAGCCTCCCAAAGTGCTGGGATTACAGGCGTGAGCCACTGCGCCTGGCCCTATATACCGTTTTACTAATGAGGAAATAGGTTCAGAGAGGCCAAGTACCTTGCCACAGCCAGCAAGTGGCATATCTGGATCTCCATCTGTTAGATTTATTAATTGTATGTTTTTGGACAAGTTGCTTAACCTCTCTGGGATTAAAAATTTCCTCAATTGTAATAATACTTACCTTATAGGTGGGGTGTGAGGAATAAATCAGATAGATCATCCAGCCCAATGTTCATAGCAGGTACTTGGTAACTGTAGCTAAGGTTTGGGTACAGAGCAGTGAAGGATCAACATTCTTCTGATTATTACTAGGAACTTTGTGAAGGAAGCCGAGGAGATCAGCTCCAACCGCCGGATGAATAGCCTGACCCTAAACCGGCACACAGAAATTTTGGAAATACTGGAGATTCCTCAGCTCATGGACACCTGTGTCCGGAACAGTTATTATGAAGAGGCCCTGGAGCTTGCAGCCTACGTACGCCGACTGGAGAGGAAATACTCTTCCATCCCTGTCATCCAGGTAGCCACCTTGCCCAGAGAGGACTCAAAGTAATGTTCTTGTAATCATTTATTCTGTGGTCAGGACTGAAGCTTTAGGTAGAAACTCTTGCATGTTTCACATCAGTTTCTGCCAGCCAGGTATGCCTGAACAGAAAACATTCATTTATTCAAAATACATATTAATCATGTGCCAAGCACTGCTCTATATGCTGGGGATACAGTGTGAATAAAGTGGTCCTGGCTCTCATGCAGCTTACGTGCTAATGGGAAGTCTGATAATTGACAAAGAAATGATATCATTTCAGATAGTGGTGTCTGAAGAAAAAAACAGGGAATGGGGTAAGGGAGTCTAGGGTAGGTTTCTTTAGGTAGGGTGATCAAGAAGGACTCTTCTAGGGAGGTAACATTTAAGCTGAGACCTAAATGAGAAGGAGGTGCCAGCCCACAAAGATCTGGGGAGAGAGCAAACCAGAAAGTGTGAAGAACAAGTAGAGAGGGCTGAAGTGGGCAGAAATTGAGGTGTTTAAGGGATACAGAGGCAGCCAGGGTTAATGGATTGTAGCAGCGGGAGAGCACTAGGAAGCAGGTGAAGATGGAGAGCCAGGTAGGGCCACCAGTGTAAGTCCCAACAAGTGGTTGGAATTTTCTTGATTGCAGTGGGAAGTCACTGGAGGATTTTAAGCTTTTTTTTTTTTCTTTTTTTTTTTTGAGACAGAGTCTCGCTCTGTCCCCCAGGCTGGAGTGCAGTGGTGCGACCTTGGCTCACTGCAACCTTTATCTCCCGGGTTCAAGTGATTCTCCTGCCTCTGCCTCCCGAGTAACCGGGATTACAGGCCTGCACCACCACACCCACCTGATTTTTATATTTTTAGTAGAGACGAGGTTTCACATGTTGGCCAGATTGGTCTCAAACTCCTGACCTCAAGTGACCTGCCTGCCCACGGTGCTGGGATTACAGGTTTGAGCCACTGCACCTGGCCAGGTTTTAAGCTTTTTAAGCAAGAGAGTTAACTAACCTGATCTTTGTTGGTGAACCTACAGGCATCAGCTTTAGGAAATTACTTCACATTTCAGGAAAGCCATGGGAATGTTGGTCTGCAGTCTTCAGAGTTAGGGGAATGGGTTCTAGAGAGCATCCTTCCCAGCGCAGTGTGACTCTCTCTGTGTATTGTCAGGGCATCGTGAACGAAGTGCGCCAGTCCATGCAGCTGATGCTGAGCCAGCTGATCCAGCAACTGAGGACCAACATCCAGCTTCCTGCCTGCCTCCGTGTCATTGGCTACCTGCGGCGCATGGACGTCTTCACTGAGGCTGAGTTGAGGGTGAAGTTTCTTCAGGCCCGAGATGCTTGGCTCCGGTCCATCCTGACTGCCATTCCTAATGATGATCCCTATTTCCATATTACAAAAACCATCGAGGCCTCCCGTGTCCATCTCTTTGATATCATCACCCAGTACCGTGCCATCTTCTCAGACGAGGACCCACTGCTGCCCCCTGCCATGGGTGAGCACACTGTGAATGAGAGTGCCATCTTCCATGGCTGGGTGCTACAGAAGGTCTCACAATTCCTGCAGGTGCTGGAGACCGACCTTTACCGGGGCATAGGCGGCCACCTGGACTCTCTGCTGGGCCAGTGCATGTACTTTGGGCTGTCCTTCAGCCGGGTGGGAGCTGATTTCCGGGGTCAGTTGGCTCCTGTTTTCCAGCGGGTGGCCATCAGCACTTTCCAGAAAGCAATTCAGGAAACAGTGGAGAAATTCCAGGAAGAAATGAACTCCTACATGCTCATCTCGGCTCCAGCCATCCTGGGCACCAGTAACATGCCTGCTGCTGTGCCAGCCACCCAGCCGGGGACGCTGCAGCCACCCATGGTGCTCCTAGATTTCCCACCCCTCGCCTGCTTTCTCAACAATATTCTGGTTGCCTTCAATGATCTGCGCCTCTGCTGCCCTGTGGCCCTGGCGCAGGATGTGACTGGGGCCTTGGAAGATGCCCTTGCCAAGGTGAGCACATTCTGTTGGTTTTCTGCTACCCTGGGCCTTCTCTGGTAATGGGTGGCCAGATTTTTGTAATAAACCCGTCTATTTGACGGTGTCTGCTGACATGGAGAGGTCTAGTGTGGTTTTGGAGGTTCTCCTGATTGAGAAGCTCTGGCCAGTTGCCCTTCATGGGACCTAGGACAGTCCATGAAGTGATTTGCCTATAGTAACAATTCGGTAATACACGTATTAGCTTTCTAGTGCTGCATAACAAATTTCCACAAACTTAGTAGCTTCCAGCAACACATTTATTACCTTCCAGTTTTGGTGGGTCAGGAGTCCAGGCACAGCACAACCGGGTCCTCTCTGCTCAGGGTCTTACAGGGTTGCCATCAAGGTGTTGGCTGGACTATGGCCTCATCTGGAGGTTGGGGCTCCATTTCAGACTCATGCAAGTTGGCAGGGGTCAGTTCTTTGCAATTGCAGAACTGAAGCCTCAGCTCCTAGAGGCTGTCCACTCCATAGGCAGCTGACAACATGGCTGTTTGCTTCCTCAAGGCCAGCAGGAGAGCTACTCTCTTGAGTCTCTTCTTTTAGGTACCTCCTTTTAAAAACTTCATTTGATTAAGTCAGATGATTAGGGACTTTAATTACATCTACAAAACCCTTTACCTTTAGCATATTCTTTTATTTTTATTGTTAAAAGTGTTTTATTTTACAGAGAGATAGTGTCTCCCTATGTTGCCTAGGCTGGTCTCAAACTCCTGGACTCAAGTGATCCTCCTGCTACAGACCCTCAAAGTGTGGGATTACAGGTGTGAGTCACTTGAACTTGGGAAGTCCAGCATCAGAGTCTGTGTTCTTACCCTGTCGCTATGCCACATATCTGTAGTGTCAGCTAGGCTGCTCTGTTGGTTTTGAAACTTCTCTTTCCTAGCTGTTTTCTTACAGTTTTCCAGTGGTTCTAGCTTTCTGAAACCTCGGGGCTTAGTAGAAAGCTTGTATAGTTTTGCTTCATTTTCCTGGATCCAGCACAGTTCTGGTTGGTCCTCCGTGGAAGTTAAGAACCATGTATTGGGCCGGGCGCAGTGGCTCACGCCTGTAATGCCAACACTTTGGGAGGCTGAGGTAGGAGGATCTCTTGAAGCCAGGGGCTCCAGACCAGCCTGGGCAACAAAGCAAGACCCTGTCTCTACAAAAAATTTTAAAACTTAGCCAGACGTGATGGTGCACGCCTGTAGTCCCAGCTACTTGGGAGGCTAAGGTGGGAGTATCCCTTGAGCCCAGGAGTTTGAAGCTACAGTGAGCTGATTGTGCCGCTACACTCCAGCTTAGGTGACAGAGCAAAATCCTGTCTCTAAAAAAAAAAAAAAAAAAACCAAAACCATGTATTCTCTCTATAGTTTTATGACACTCCTCCACTGGAACCGGAAACTATACCCGTAATGTAACAAGTTGGGTCTGAACTTCACATTAATAAAGTGACACAATTGTGGACAATGACCATAATTCTGAGTTTAAATGAGACAGTAAAATAATGTACTGTTAAATTACTTTGTTCAGGAAAACTGGAGGGGCATACATTTTTTTGCCTAGTTTCATGCACTGCTGTCCCAGTGGTGATAGGCTGTCCCAGTAATTGACGGTGCCCTTGTCTCTTAGGTAACTAAAATAATCCTGGCCTTCCATCGCGCTGAAGAGGCTGCCTTCAGCAGCGGGGAGCAAGAGCTCTTTGTCCAGTTCTGCACTGTCTTCCTGGAAGACCTTGTTCCGTATTTAAATCGCTGTCTCCAAGTCCTTTTTCCACCAGCTCAGATAGCACAGACTTTAGGTAAGAGAATGAAAATTCTGTAAACTGCCTTACTGATGTGTAATTCACATACTAAATAATTCATCCATTTGTGTAAGTCAGTGTTTTTTAGTAAATATGAATCCAATTTTAGAATATTTCCATCACTCCAAAAAGATCCTTCATGCACGTTTGTAGTCATTCCTCGACAGCATCCTTAGTCCCTGGCAACCTACTTTCTGTTGCCATAGATTTGCCTCTTCTGGACATTTCATAAAAATGGAATCATACATTATGTGGCTGTATCTGGCTAAGCGGAAGAAGCCAGTCACAAAAGAACTACATACGTATGATTCCATTTATGTGAAATATCTAGAGAAATGGTTTTTACAGTCTTTTTTTTTTTTGAGGCGGAGTCTCGCTGTGTTGCCAGGCTGGAGTGCAGTGGCACAGTCTTGGCTCACTGCAACCTCCACCTCCCGGGTTCAAGCAATTCTCCTGCCTCAGCCTCCCGAGTAGCTGGGACTACAGACTCGCACCACCACGCCCAGCTAATTTTTGTGTTTTAGTAGAGACGGGGTTTCACCATGTTGGCCAGGATGGTCTCTATCTCTTGACCTGTGATCCGCCCACCTCGGCCTCCCAAAGTGCTCGGATTACAGGCGTGAGCCACCACGCCCGTCCTAAAGTCTTTTTTCCAATTCACTTTCACGTCCTTGTCCCTTTGTGGTAGGAGAGGGGCTTGGTTGAGGCACAGCTTCCCAAAGGGCAATGGGTCAGTGCATCACACGTGCAAAGCCTGGCTGCCCTCTGCTTTTTCCCTGGTGCTGCCTGAGGTCTGGGTTCCTGCTGCAGGCACCCTACACTGCTGTTCCGTTACGTTCTGCTTCACAGTATAGCTTCCCATTCCCTGTAACAAAGGTGGTTTTTGCTGTATTAAAACATAGTAATTGATGGCTGGGCGCAGTGGCTCATGCCTGTAATCCCAGCACTTTGGGAGGCCGAGGCGGATGGATCACCTGAGGTTGGGAGTTTGAGACCAGCCTGGCCAACATAGTAACTCCGTCTCTACTAAAAATACAAAAATTAGCCTGGCATGGTGGCGGGCGCCTGTAATCCCAGCTACCACGGAGGCTGAGGCATGAGAACTGTTTGAACCTGGGAGGCAGAGGTTGCAGTGAGCAGCAATCACGCCACTGCACTCCAGCCTGGGCGACAGAGCGAGACTGTCTCAAAAAAAAAAATAGTAATGGCTCGTTTTTTTTCCCTTAAATTTCCTTTTTTTTTTTTTTTTTTTTTTTTGAGACGGAGTTTTGCTCTTGTGGCCCAGGCTGGAGTGCAATGGCGCGATCTCGGCTAACTGCAATCTCCACCTCCTAGGTTCAAGCGATTCTCCTGCCTTAGCCTTCCCAAGTAGCTGGGATTACAGGCCTGCGCCACCAAGCCCGGCTAATGTTGTATTTTTAAGAGAGATGGGATTTCTCCGTGTGGGTCAGGCTGGTCTCGAATTCCTGACCTCAGGTGATCCGCCCCCCCCTCCCCGGCCTCCCAAAGTGCTGGGATTACAGGCGTGAGCCACCGCGCCCGGCCTCCCTTAAATTTCTATATTGAGTTTTATTAGTAACTGTTTTCCATTTTGCTTTCCCCACGTCTGGGTTAGGCATTCCTCCCACTCAGCTCTCCAAGTACGGTAACCTAGGGCATGTGAACATCGGCGCCATTCAGGAGCCCCTCGCCTTTATCCTGCCAAAGAGAGAGACGCTTTTCACCCTGGATGACCAGGCGCTGGGGCCCGAGCTCACAGCTCCAGCACCAGAGCCTCCCGCCGAGGAGCCACGCCTGGAGCCCGCGGGCCCAGCCTGCCCGGAGGGAGGGCGAGCGGAGACGCAGGCCGAACCGCCCAGCGTGGGGCCCTAGCCGGCGTCCCCTGCCTCCAGAACGCGGTGCGTGAGGTTCCCGGCGCGGGGTGGCCAGGACTGCCTCGCCCTGGAAGGTCCGGGGCGGGTTCGGGAGGCGGGAAGGCGCTCCCGGGAGGAGAGCGGAAGGGGGCGGTGCTCACTGCCAGTCTAAGCAGGAAGGCGGGGATCCAGTCGCGGCTTCGCTGTGTGCTGGCCGACGGCGCTTCCCGGCGTGCCCCGCGCTGCGGCCGGAAGGGGCGGGCCGGGTCACTGTTAAGGGGGCCGCCATGGCCCGGCTGTGGGGCGCGCTGAGTCTTTGGCCACTGTGGGCGGCCGTGCCGTGGGGCGGGGCGGCAGCCGTCGGTGTCCGGGCTTGCAGCTCCACGGCCGCCCCGGACGGCGTCGAGGGCCCGGCGCTGCGGCGCTCCTATTGGCGCCACCTGAGGCGTCTGGTGCTGGGTCCTCCCGAACCGCCGTTCTCGCACGTGTGCCAAGTCGGGGACCCGGTGCTGCGCGGCGTGGCGGCCCCGGTGGAGCGGGCGCAGCTAGGCGGGCCCGAGCTGCAGCGGCTGACGCAACGGCTGGTCCAGGTGATGCGGCGGCGGCGCTGCGTGGGCCTAAGCGCGCCGCAGCTGGGGGTGCCGCGGCAGGTGCTGGCGCTGGAGCTCCCCGAGGCGCTGTGTCGGGAGTGCCCGCCCCGCCAGCGCGCGCTCCGCCAAATGGAGCCCTTCCCCCTGCGCGTGTTCGTGAACCCCAGCCTGCGAGTGCTTGACAGCCGCCTGGTCACCTTTCCCGAGGGCTGCGAGAGCGTCGCCGGCTTCCTGGCCTGCGTGCCCCGCTTCCAGGCGGTGCAGATCTCAGGTGCGGGCGGCGGGGACCGGGGCTGCTGGAGCAGCGCGCGCGTCTCTTCTGCCCGACTCCGCGAGAGCGCAGAAGTGGTCGCGGTTCATACGCCGGACCTCCCGCAGGAGCGAAGTGGGATGCGGGAGCGGAGAGGCCTCAGGACGGATAGAAGCTCCTGTGGGGTAGAGCCCGCTCAGATAGGACGCAGGGGCGAGGAGAGGTCCCCTAGTTCCGCTGTTACCTGACAGCCTGGCGTCTGCTTTCTGCTCCCTTGCTCTCTGAGGCAAACACGCTCTTCGGCCCCAGTTAGATCCGCCACGGTGGAGTTGGAGAAGTGGGGGTTAGCCCCCGCCAGCCTGACCCAGCCCAGGGGGCTAGGCCATTCCCCCGTGGTACCACAGGATGCCTCGCGGAATGCGGGCTCTGCTGGGGTCGGGGTGATTGTTCCTGCACAGCAAGCCCGTCGGTTCAAGATGGTCAGAAAAACAAGTGGGGTCTCAAGCTGCAGAACCTCTGTTAGGAGTTGGGAGCCCACAGGTACCTCAGAAGTGGGAGGAGTGTTCGGAAGGGTCGCACCGTAGAAAGATGATTTCTCATCTCAGCTCTACAGTGAGCTCGATAACCTAATTACCAGAGTTGGGAACCAGGTTGAACGCTTGGTAATGGACCGAGATGAGGGACGTTTTCCAGTTAGAAGAGGAGCTGCTGTCTACATTTGCCATCTGCTGTTGCCTCTTGTCAATGGGAACAGCCAGGACCGGGGGCAGGGGTAGGGAGGTTGAGGATGATGCAGTTCAGCTGTTCCCACTCACCAGGGCTGTAACTTCCTTTGCAGGGCTGGACCCCAATGGAGAACAGGTGGTGTGGCAGGCGAGCGGGTGGGCAGCCCGCATCATCCAGCACGAGATGGACCACCTGCAGGGCTGCCTGTTTATTGACAAAATGGACAGCAGGACGTTCACAAACGTCTATTGGATGAAGGTGAATGACTAAAGCTTTGCTACTGGGGCTGAGGATTCCGGATACCAAGACGCAAACACTTTCACTTTGAGCTGGGCAAATCTTACTTGGCATCAACTTGGATGGCTCGCATATGACAGGAAACTGGATTGCCAAGGCATGGCAGACTGAGCTGGAGGAAGATGTCAGAAATGTTTGCCCTGAAATCAGTTACGGACAAAATGTTGGCTACAACTTGAGGAGAAAAATCACCCCCAAAGGAGTGGACATTTCCTAACAATTCTGTATGGAGGAAGGTGGGGTAATTGCATTCGTCTGCAGTAGACACGAGTTCCTCGGACCTGTATAATCTCCCAAAGCCAAGGTTTGGTAATAATGTAGTCCCCAAATACCTGAAAGCTGTCTTTAAAAATGCAGGTAAGCATGTGACTGGCCATTTGTGCCGAGTTCTTATTTTTACGGAGGGCTTGTGGCCTTAGACGCCAGTTTGCTTATGGAAATGAAAGAGAATAGTCCCTGTTCAAGGATGTGTTTCATGACAGCACGAGTGTAAATGAGTGCCCACACATTTTAACAGCCTTGGGCAGGATTTTGCTGCTGAGATCCCTAGAGCAGCTGGTTCTTGGCTCATTCTTGGGGTAGAGGCCGTGGATCAGGGCTGGGGGCAGGGGTGACAATTGAGAAGTGCACTGAGCCCTTTCCTGTTAACAATTGGGCATAGAAAGCAGGATTAGTACTTCCTGGTTATACACTTATTTTGTAAAAATAGAATTAATATCACAGCAACCAATGTGTAGGTTTAAGAAAGTGGCCAGGTGCAGTGGTTCACGCCTGTAATCCCAGCACTTTGGGAGGGCGGGGCGGGTGGATCACGAGGTCAGGAGCTCAAGACCAGCCTGGCCAAGATGGTGAAACCCTGTCTCTACTAAAGATACAAAAATTAGCCGGGCGTGGTGGCGAGCACCTGTAATCCCAGCTACTCGTGAAGCCAAGGCAGAGAATTACTTGAACCCAGGAGGCGGAGGTTACAGTGAGCTGAGATCACGCCACTGCACTCCATCCAGCCTGGGCGACAGAGCGAGACTCAAAAGTATGATTCTGGCTGTAGAGTTTTCTTTTTTTCTCTGTCTCAAAAAAAAAAAGTGTCAGCTTTGTCTTGTCAAGAGGTGAAGGAACTTGTTTTATTCTTTTATTTTTTTTTTAAGATAGAGACGGGGGTCTTACTATGTTGCCCAGGCTGGCCTCAAATTCCTGGTCTCAGGCAATCCTCCTGCCTCGGCCTCCCAAAGTGCTGGGATCAGTTGTGAGCCACACTACCCAGCCAAACTCCAGTTTTAGTTAAACTGTTTCACCTCATTTTTATGCTGAGTTTTGTAAAGTAGGTATTCTTGCTGAACAGAGTCCTGAAAATCAAACTATACAAGTAGTAGGAAGTCCATTAAGCTGTTTAGAGGAAAAAGTGTTATAAATGGCAGTTAAATGAACCCAGGAAAGACCCATCCTCCTTTGTGGCTTTCTCTGAGGCCCCATGAGGCCAAGCAGAAGCAAACTGGCTCTAGGTGCAGCCAGACTTTGAAAAGGAATCCCGGCCAGGCTTGGTGGCTCATGCCTGTAATCCCAGCACTTTGGGAGGTCAAGGCAGGCAGATCACCTGAGGTCAGGAGTTCAAGACCAGCCTGGCCAACATGGCGAAACACTGTTTCTACTAAAAATATGAAAATTAGCTGGGTGTGCTGGTAGGCGCCTGTAATCACAGCTACTTGGGAGGCTGAGGCGGGAGAATCGCTCAAACCTGGGAGGCAGAGGTTGCAGTGGGCTGAGATCTCGCCACTGTACTCCAGCCTGGGCGACAGACCAAGGCTCTGTCTCAAAAAAAAAAAAAAAAAAAAAAAAAGGGAATCCCAACCAGATACTGGTGCAAGGTCAGAGATGCAGCCAATGGGGAGATTTGTAGAAAGCTCATAGATGCTAAAAACATGGGTCTTTAGGAAAATTAGAATTCAGCTGAGCCTCCTTTCATTTGGACAATGTTCAGAAGCTCTTACAGGGGGCTATGGCAATCTTTTGATGCTTCTTATAGCTTTCTGAGGTTAACGCTTTTGTGGTGGGCATCGGTAGCAATAAAATGCAAACTTTATTGCATTTCCAGTAAAATCTCTCCCACTTTGAGCAGGAAGCACTCACAAAAAACGCATATACATGTCAACGTTGTGAGCTCATCAGAGTTTTAGAAATCAACTTCCACAGTGAAAGCCAATGTAGGCAGAAGGTTTATAACAGAATCCCCAGGCAGAGAAGTGAATTTCAGAGCATTTCAGGGAGGAAACTCCTCTGCACATGTCAGCATGTTTAACATCGATGATGGCAGGTTGTGTGCTGGCAGCCAGAGTCTGAGGCCACTGTCCAAAGTTCAGCGTCAGTGGTTCCTGTTGCTGGTCATGGAGAGAGACAACTGGAAAGTCAGGTGTCTTCACGCTCTAACTAGAGCACAGGGATGGACCATAGCCATGCTAACCTTTGTTAACCCCTAGGACTTGTCAAGGTGTTTAAGCAGTAGGAATGAGGAAACAACGTTCTGATTCAAGTAAATGTAACTAGAAGTAAAAATTTAAAAACTTGTAAGCTCACTAAAGTGAAGCTCTGCAGACACGGTTCATATCCTGGTGGCTGAGGGCACATAACCAAGAACTTACACAAGCACCCCCAAGCCACAAAGATCCCAGCTGCTATGGTTGAGGGGTAACCTGCCAGCACTGGAGCCAAGTGTTGGAGCTACTGATCCAAAGTTAGCTCACTTCTGCAGAGGCTCTGAACCAGAGCAAAGAAATGGCCCAGTGCAAGCCCAGTGTGAGCCAAGAGTTGGCCATGTAATCAGTTCTGGCCCAACCAGGTTTGAAAGGTAGAGGAGCAGTACTGGGTTTTGGAGAGGGAAGGTTGGAACAAAGCCCTTTGCAGGCTATAAGCTTCATTTACTAGGCCAGGTCTTTCTGTGTGAATGTGCTTTGACTTTGGTCTGTTTATATGCATGGGGTAAACGTGGGACAGCCTCTGCAGCTTCACTGCCTGCCGGACGTGGGTCCAGGGCTGCCAGCTCTGGGTCCTTGGTCTGTTGGGGGTCGCAAACTGAAATGGCCATGGGGCTATCTGGGCAGGCAACACAGATGAGTGGGGATGGGGGACCCCTTCTGTACAGAGCAGCCTCTACTTAGTGGCCGCTGACAGGCTGCCCCATGAGGACGCAGGCCCAACATTACCTAATTTAATCTTCTAGAAGTCAGAATTCTGAATTTTTATGTCAACTCTCGACTTTTTTTTTTTTTTTGAGACAGAGTCTTGCTCTGTCGCCCAGGCTGGAGTGCAGTGGCGCGATCTCGGCTCACTGCAAGCTCCGTCCCCCGGGTTCACGCCATTCTCCTGCCTCAGCCTCCCAAGTAGCTGGGACTGCAGGCGCCCACCACCACGCCCGGCTAATTTTTTTATTTTTAGTGAGACGGGGTTTCACTGTGTTAGCCAGGATGTTCTCGATTTCCTGACCTTGTGATCCGCCCGCGTCGGCCTCCCAAAGTGCTGGGATTACAGGCGTGAGCCACCGCGCCCAGCAACTCTCGACTTTTAAATGTTAGCGGCCCAAAGTGCTGGGATTACAGGCGTGAGCCACCGCGCCCAGCAACTCTCGACTTTTAAATGTTAGCGGCAGACCAAACCAAACAAACACAGCTGCAGGACGGGTCTGGTACGCAGGGCTCCCACTTTGCAGTCTCTGATCTGTAGGCCGAACAACGGCAAGAACTGTCTGGATCCCACAAACATCCCCAGCCAAACTTCTGAGGCCTTAAGGGGAGGAGGCCTTGCACACCTGACTGGAGAACAGGCCTAAGAACTGCAGTGTTCTGTTTCCTGCTCTGCTTTAGAAAAGAGAGGAGACAGAAAACCAGAGGGTCTTTTAATTGGAAGCAAGGGTGGCCCTTCAGAGTCTCAGTTAAGAGTCAAGGAAAGATGAGATCACTTGGGTAGCTCAAGAAGGGAAAAGGATTTATTAGACCATTTCCAGGACAGGGACCCAGGGGCAGTGGCTGGGTTCAGTGTTCTCACGCTCAGAGGAAGAAAAGGCAGTGGTGAACACCCGCCTGACTGCCTTACCCTGATCTAAACGACACCATCTCCTCCCCCAAGGAAGACACAGCCCTGGATGTGAACCTAGGAGGGTGGGAATGGCTTATGTCACTCGGTCTTTGAGGCAGAGCTTGGGCTGGGGTTGCAGGGGCATCAGCCAATCTGCTCTCAAGGAGCAAAACTTGGGCGTAAAAGGAACGGGCAGTGGGGCTAGCCGGCTGTCTGGAGGTCTGGGTGACCTGGCAGCACGGCTGCTTCTCCCCCGCCACCCCGCCCCACTCCTTGACACTTCCAGGTGATTTTATCTTTATAAATAAGATGAAAATCCAAGCAGCATTAATTTAGGGGAACAAAAGATGGAAAAAAAAGGGGGGGAGGCAGAAGGAGCTGATGAGCATCCAGGAGAGGAGGAAGTAGGAAGAGCAGTGTCCACTGTGTGCCCCAGGGCAGTGGAGTGTCTCTGTGGCTGCAAGGCCCTTCCTTCTGGCTCCCTGGCAGACGGCCAGACAGCAGAGGGAACTCTGTATTGACTGGGACAAGCCCTGGAGCCCTGTCTGGCTGTTGACATGGGGAGTGCCTGGATTTGCCCCAATCAACCTCCCACCTTCACCATTGCCCAAGTGAAGCAGCTTTTAACTCTCTTGCCCAAAGTCCTCTGAGAATTTCTTCACTTTCAGGAGGTCGTCTGCATTCACCGTGGGCCGGGTGGTGGCCAGAGACCGCAGCATGTCCGACTGTGAAGGCAACAGTATGTGCCTGAGCAGGAGCCAGGCTCCAGGTCCCCAACCTCCCCTCAGCACACAACAGGCGCAGCTGAGGGTGGGAAGAGGTTTGCCTTCAAGGCCACCCCAGAGGCCTGCTTGAATCTGCCTATGGCAGGGACCCTCTTCCCTCTCGAGGCAGCTCAGATGGGCCTCCTCCTGGTCTGAGAATCTAAGCTCCATCATCTCATAACTCCCCTTACGAACTTGCTTTCTTTTTTTTTTTTTTTTTTTTTGGAGACGGAGTCTGTCACCCAGGCTGGAGTGCAGTGGCATGATCTCGGCTCACCGCAACCTCCACCTCCTCGGTTCAAGTGACTCTCCTGCCTCAGCCTCCCAAATAGCTGGGACTACAGGCACGTGCCACCACACATGGCTGATTTTTGTATTTTTAGCAGAGACGGGGTTTCACTATGTTGGCCAGGCTGCTCTTGAACTCCTGACCTCAGGCGATCTGCCCGCCTCGGCCTCCCGAAGTGCTGGGATTACAGGCGGGAGCCACGGCGCCCGGCCAGGAGCCTTCTTAGCTGCACACCCCCAACACCAGCCACAAGGGCAGACCCTTGCCAGGATGGCACGGGCCAGGCTATGCAGGTGAGGCGCTGCCTTTGCAACTGCGTCACAGTCTTGACACATTCACTGCCTCACTGCACCGCAAAGCCAAACCCATGGATTGACGTCATATTATCTGGACCTGACTTTACTTGCTAAAGAATATAAAATGCAGGCTAGGTGTGGTGGCTCAGCTCATGCTTGTAATCCCAGCACTTTGGGAGGCCACGCTGAGAGGATCACTTGAGCCCAGCAGTTTCAGACTGGCCTGGGCAACACTGTGAGGCCGTTTCTAAAAAAAAAAGGAAAAATTAGCTGGGCATGATGGTGTGTGCCTGTTGCTACTCAGGAGGCTGAGGTCAGAAGATTGTGTGAGCTCGTGAGGTCAAGCCTGCAGTGAGCTATCACTGCACCACTGCATCTAGCCTTTCTCTGTATGTACAAAATGCTAATGCTGCCACCTGCATTCTGGGCCCCCAGTGAGTGTAATGCCAGCTTCCCTGAGCTACAAAGGCCATTCTCAACAGCCCAGGACATAGAAGAAGACTATTTTTTATTTTTGAGACGGAGTCTCACTCTGTCACCCAGGCTGGAGTGCAGTGGCCCAATCTCTGCTCACTGCAACCTCTGCCTCCCGGCTTCAAGCGATCCTTCTGCCTCAGCCTCCTGAGTAGCTGGGACTACAAGTGCACACCACCACACCCGGCTAATTTTTGTATTTTTAGTAGAGACAGGGTTTCTCCATATTGGCTAGGCTGGTCTCGAACTCCTAACCTTGTGATCTGCCCACCCTGGCCTCCCAAAGTGCTGGGATTACAGGCGTGAGCTACCATGCCTGGCCTGGAGAAGACCGTTTTTATTCTGGACCCAAACCCTCAATTTTCTGGGCTCTGTGCAGCCCTCTTCCCTCCCCTGTCAAGTCACTTACCATGCAAACCACAGGCTCTAAGAGTTTGTCCCCAGGGACATCCATCCAAGTCATCTCCATGGCTCCTGGGTCCCCTGGTGAGCATGGAGTCAGGAGGTCATCAATCATCATGCTGGGGTTGGTGCGAGAGGGGCCACAGACCTGAAACCAAATGGATCTGACTGGGGCAGCTGCCCCTCAGTGTCAGAGGGGCTCGACCCCTCCGGTCTCTAAGGAAGTCCCAAAGAGAATGCTCTGTGGGTCCCTAGCATCTGAGGAGGACGGGCTCCTTCAGAACTCGGGCTGGGTGGTCCGAGCGACTCATGATTTGCATGGGACTCTGGCAATCTGTAGCCCCAATGCCTTGATGTCTTCCTCATTAACACTGTCACGTCTCACCAGGAATACAGTGACATTAAAAGTGTGATATGGTTTAGCTGTGCCCCCACCCACATTTCAACTTGAACTGTATCTATCTCCCAGAATTCCCACATGTTGTGGGAGGGACCCAGGGGGAGGTAACTGAATCATGGGGGCTGGTCTTTCCCGTGCTATTCTCGTGATGGTGAAGTCTCACGAGATCTGATGGGTTTATCAGGGGTTTCCACTTTTGTTTCTTCATTTTCTCTTGCCACCAGCATGTAAGAAGTGCCTTTGGTCTCCTACCATGATTCTGAGGCCTCCCTAGCCATGTGGAACTGTAAGGCCAATTAAACCTCTTTTTCTTCCCAGTCTCGGGTATGTCTTTATCAGCAGCATGAAAATAGATTAACACAAAGTGGTTTTCCAACTGAAGTCCGCTGCCTTGGCAAAACATTCCCCCAATGTCCACAAGGCTCATTCCCTCACACCTTCACCTCCTGTCTCAGGCATCACCCCAGTGCCATCTGCCCTTCCCTCCATGCCCGAGACACCTCTCTCCTAACCCTGCTCCATCTCCATCCTCTGAGACACTCACTGACTGTGTTGACTGTCTCCCCACCAACAACGGAAGGTCTAGGATTTTTGTCTGTTGGTCACTCATATCTTCCCAGCACTTAGGACAGGGCCGGGCACACAGGAGGACCCACAGCAAATACTCAGCAGAGATCTGCTGAATGAATAGACAGGTCTTCCTGGTCATTTTATATCCAACACTTTCCAAACACTGATTTGGTGTCCACCCCGCACAAGAGCACACAGTGCTGACGGAGGAGGCCGCAGCAGGGTTAAGACAGTAAAGTGGCCCTGTCCTCTGCTTTCACACACCCTGAGATGGCCACACTCCAGAAGAGCTGCAGGGAGGGGACAGTGGGTGCAGCCCCCATGGCACTGGCCCTCGGCTCTCCAGGAGGCCTCAGAGACTGTGTCACCTGAGCAGCCGGGGAGCAGGACCAGGAGCTGGGAAAAAAAAAACCGAACATCCCGCTCTTACTATGAGATTTTTCTCAGCAGTGGCCGCGGGCACTCACCTTTTTGAAGTGTGTGGCCGACTGCACCTTCCTCACGGGCTGCATGAGAGAGTCCCGCACGATGATGCTGATGTCCGCGCCCGAGTAGCCTTCCGTCTTCCGGGCCAGCTCGTGGATGTTTGCATCCGTGAGGTTGTGGGGAGTGCTCCCGAGATGCAACCGGAACATCTGGGCGCGGGCAGCTTCCTCCGGCAAGGGGATATAAATTCGTTTTTCAAACCTAGAGAGCCCAGCACACGGCAGGAGTTGACAGCGGATGATGGAATGGTATTCACGGAAGGGGAGGCACGAAGATTTGAGTGAAACGGACGCATTTCATGGGCCAGTGATGCTGGCGGCACATCCTCAACAAGCCAGCCTCACAAAGGGCTCTGCTTGGCAGGCAGACGGGAAGACTCCAGGGAAAAGGGGCCAGGCTGCACCCGGGCTGCCAGCAGCAGGCGGACCGTGACCATGGTGGGAGGAAGCCTCCAGCCCTGGCTTCTCCTGGGGAAGACTCACCTCCTCCTGATGGCCGAATCCAACACCCATGGGATGTTTGTGGCTCCAAGAACCAGAGTCCCATCATTGTTATTCCCCACCCCTGTGGAGAAAGGGAGACAAAGACTCAGACTCTGGACACCTGCACGGGTCAGTTGAAACCTGGGGACAGACCCCGGGGGCTTTGTGTGTCAGCAATTGAAGCCATCCCTGTGCCACCCACCACTGGCAGGGTCCCAAGTGAGATTAAACCACATCTTGGTCTGGCTGTGCCAGGTGAGACCTATGGCACTGCCTGCCATGGGAGGGGTGGAGTGGCCCGTGAGGCAGAGGCCTCAGGCACCTCTTGGGAATTGAAGTCCACCCGTGCCCTGAGGGGCTGGAGCTGGGGAGTGCCTCTCCGAGGCTGAGAACAACCAAATCCAGCCGCAGCTCAGAATAAAGCCCAGGGTTGGCTTCAGGTGCAACAAGAACCAAGGGGGCCCTGGGCCCGGCACACACCCTGCATCTGGACCAAGAACTCCGTTTTGATCCTCCGGGCGGCCTCACTCTCATTTTCATTTCGGGACCCGCAGAGGGAATCCACCTCATCGATGAAGATGATGGAGGGCTTGTGCTGCCTGGCCAGCTCAAACAGGTTCTTGACCAGCCTGTGAAGGTGAGAAAGGGGGTGAGGACAAGACGTTCACGTCCGTGCCCGCCTGGGCTCCCGGCACTTCCCTCTTCTCACCCTTCCCACAGGGAGGCGCAGGCCACGGTCATGCCGGAATTGCGGAAAACGTGGTGGTGAGGAGCCCTCGGGCCACACTGCACCAAGAGGAGGAGCACACCTTGGTGTCAGCCCCAAACGCAGAGCCTCAATCCCAGGAGCCCCATGCGCTAGCTCTGCACTTACAACACGTCAGTCCCCTTCTTCCGAGCCCGTCTCATCACACGCAAAACAGGAGTCAGTGTGGGGAACCATGTCCCCCACACACTGCCCCAACAGGGACCGCAACCCAGACCCCAAAAATATCCTCACTTCCTTTCCCTTCTCTTGTGGAGCACTTCACCTCTCCCAGGTCCCTTCCACCTTCACTTGTCTTTGTTGGGACTGTGTCCCAGCCGATAAGCTAGCGACACACTGCTCTTGGGTACCCTCCCTGAAAACCAAACCACTCCTCTGAGAGGTGACTCCACAGGGTGGGCCGCTGGGTCACTAGCAGTGCCGGGGCTGCTGGCAGAGCATGGCCTGGTGGCCGACTTACTTTTCACTCTCCCCCAGCCACTTGGACATCAGATCTGAGGAGGACACAGAGAAGAAGGTGGAGTTGTTGGCCTCTGTTGCCACGGCTTTGGCCAGGTAGGATTTCCCTGTGCCAGGGGGTCCGAACAGCAGAATCCCCCGCCAGGGGGTGCGCTTGCCTGCAACAGAGAACCACAGAAGTTAGGCCTCCTGACTGGGGAAAGGAATAGGAAAAGCAGAGGGTCTCGAGTCCCATACATACAGTAAAACAGGGCATTCTGTGAAACAACGGACTCTACTGGCAAACAAGTGATGGGAGCTACATTCCCTGCTGTGCCCTGTGCTATGACCCCATGACCTTGCACAGTGCCCCTGCTATGACCCCATGACCTTGCACAGTGACACCGGCTGGCACTGCTTCCTGATCCTGCCCCCACCCTGTGACGTGATCGTCATCTCATAGCTCCAGCCACAGCAGTGTTGTGGACACCAGCGAGCAGCCAGGCCTGGCCCTCTGCAGGCCCCGGGGGCTGAGTCGCCACTGACTCCCGGGTGCCTCGGAGTGCCAGCCCTGCGGAAGCCTGGAATTTTTACATTGGGGTTTGAAATGGCTCAACTCTCACCTGTGAACAAGTGTGGGAATTTGATTGGCAAAATGACAGCTTCTTTGAGGGCCTCCTTGGCCCCCTCCAGCCCGGCCACGTCGTTCCACCGTATGTTGGGCTTCTCCATCACGACGGCACCTGCGAGAGGGAGGCCGGCCCGGGCCCGGGCCCGGCCAAGGGGCATGAGCCAACCCAGCAGCGGACCCACTCTCATCCCCTGCCGCTGCCACAGGGCCGCGAGCCACTTACCCATCAGCTGTTCTTGCAGTTTCTTTTTCTCCGGATTATCCCCTTCACTGTCACTGTCACTGCTGGGAAGGGAGACGGAAAGTCACAAGCTGGCCCTTCAGCCTGGAGCACAGAGGTGCTCCCAGCAAGTCCAGGCTCCGCTGCCTGCACACTGGTTAAGGAACGAAGCCTTCCTGGCTTAACAGTGCCGTGTGACTCAAGCAAGTACTTCAGGGACATTTGGGCCAATGCTCTCAGCAGCTCACTTCAGGACCCCCCCAGCAAACACTCCTATAACCCGCCCTGTTTCTTCGCGGAGCAGATGGGAATCCGGGTCGGCCCTCTCCTGAAGGCCGTAAGGGAAATGTGCTTCAGCTGGACTTAAAGAGCAGCCCAGGCCAGGTGCGGTGACTCACACCTCATACTCTGGGAGGCCACCTGCAGTGGCTCTCACAGCCCAGGCTGGGTGCGGTGGCTCACCCCTGTAATCCCAGCACTCTGGGAGGCTGAGGCGGGAGGATCGCTTGAGCCCAGGAGTTTGAGACCAGCCTGGGAAACAGCGAGATCTTGTCTCTACAAAAAACACAAAATTAGCCAAGCATGGTGGCACGCACCTATGGTGCCAGCTACTTGGGAGGCAGAGGTTGCAGTTAACCAAGATCGCACCACTGCACTCCAGCCTGGGAGACAGTGAAGCCCTGTCTGGGGGAAAAAAAAAAAAAAAAGCCAGTCAAACAATGCAGCTGCCAGAAGCTTCTTTTTTTTTTTTTTTTTTTTTTGAGATGGTGCCCAGGTTGGAGTGCGATGGCACAATCTCCATCTCAGCTCACTGCAATCTCCGCCTCCCGGGTTCAAGTAATTCTCTGAATTCTCTGGCGTCAGCCTCCCGAGTAGCTGGGATTACAGGCACATGCCACAATGCCTGGCTAATTTTTTTTTTAAGACAGAGTCGCACTCAGTCGCCCAGGCTGGAGTGTAGTGGCTCGATCTCGGCTCACTGCAAGCTCCGCCTCCCGGGTTCACGCCATTCTCCTGCCTCAGCCTCCTGAGTAGCTGGGACTACAGGTGCCCGCCACCACGCCCGGCTAATATTTTGTATTTTTAGTGGAGACGGGGTTTCACCGTGTTAGCCAGGATGGTCTCAATCTCCTGACCTCGTGATCCGCCCGCCTCGGCTTCCCAAAGTGCTGGGATTACAGGCGTGAGCCACCGCGCCCGGCCTATTTTTTTGTATTTTTAATAGAGACGGGATTCACCATGTTGGCCAGGCTGGTTTTGAAATCCTGACCTCAAGTGATCTGCCCGCGTTGGCCTCCCAAAGTGCTGGGATTACAGGTGTGAGCCACCATGCCCCGCACCAGAAGCTTTTTGTAGAGACTCAGGGACAGCATGTGCCCCTGACTCCAAAGCAGCCACTGCCGAAGGACAGAGGAGAAAGCAAAACCGAAATCGAAAGGGAACTCCTGGGGAGAACGCAGCCACTGTCACCCCAGGGCTACTTCCTCCCTGGATGGAATCTGTCATCCTCAAAACTTGATTTAATCCTTATTGGAGATCCCTGGCCTCCACCCCTGCCTCGCCAGACCTCTCCCTCTGCGGATGGGAACGTGGTGCAGACCCTCCATCCAGGAGGAGGCCTCGCCTCTGGTGAGGCAGCTGACACCACCCACCCCTCTCCTGCCTGGGGGACCCCCTCACTTCCCCTCCCACGCCTCCGAGATACCACCAGCATTTGTGTTCATATGACTGGGATCACCGTGGTGGGCGAACCCAGTACCTGAGGTGAGAGGCTGTGGAGAGGACCCTGGCTGGGGAATCGGGGCCACCCGCCCTGCTTTGGGGGTCCAAGTTCCATCCTGTGCCACCTCGGCAGGGCTCCTAACCCGAGCCGGCCGCCCCACCTGTTGGAGGCAGGTGACTCTTTGACAGTCACAGCAGCTGGCACTCATTGCATGCTCTCGTGTGCCAAGCTCCAAGGGCACTGCCCACGTCATCTCACTGCTCCCTGTGGCAACGCTCGGAGGTGAGTTCCACGACCTCCCCACTTCCAAGATGTGGAGATGGTAGGCACACGGGGTCCTGGCACTAGGCTGGGAGGTGACAGAGCTGGGGTCCCGTCCTGAGAGGCTCTACCATCTGCACCAAGCTCCCCCTCTCCCCATGGCTTGTGGGTCAGATCCAATGAGACGGTGAACATGGAAGTGCTCCAGGCCATGCTCCCTGAAAGCAGCTGCTGGCACTGTCATCCCTGCACTATGAGGACCATTCCCACAGGGAAGTCCAAGGCAGCATGAGCGCCAGGAATGATAGGGAGCCGTGAGGAGGGCCCAGGTTCCTGGGCGGACGCTGCAGACACTCACCCCTTGCCCTCACTCTGGTTCTCTTTGACTGGCTTCTTGCCGTGTTTCTCTTTGCTTCGTAAATAATCCTTCAGCTTCTCGGCCCGGTCTAGGTACTGCACGCACTTGGCTCGAATGCTCTCCTTGGCCTTGTCGCTGTGGGCCTCATCTGTGAAAGGGAACACAGAGGGGCCCCTGTGAGGCTCGTGCGCCACCCCCTCTCCTCCGCTCCCCTCTGGAGTGCGGCAGCCTGAGGACCCCTCGTGTGACTCACACTTGATAGCGTGGAGGAAGTACTCCACCGCATGCTGGTACAGCCGCAGCGCCTCCTCGTAGTTCTTGGCTTTGTCCTCCTCTGTGGCTTTCGTCACCAGATCAATGGCTTTCTGGAAAGGCAAAGCAAATGGCTCAGTGCTTCCTCGGAGAGGTGGAAAGTCCCTGGGGTCACAGGCATGGGGATGAAACGTGACGAGGGATGCCGCTGGGCCTGTGGATTTATTGCTTGCGGGCCATTTCATTGGCCTACTTTTTCAACATCGGCTAGAAAGGCCTTCAAAGAAGGCTTTGAAAACCAGCCGGCCATCTTCACAATAAGCTCAGACGGTTAAAAGCCACGCTCTGGATTTCAGCAAGTGGAAACCTGACCTAATATCTCAGGTCAGGGCTCAAGGGGCAAGTTCATGGGACTTTCTATTCTGCTGCCTCAAGGGAAAGAGAAACAGACCCGAGCTGAGAGCCTGGCAGAAGGGACACGCGGGAGCAAGTGACTGCTGGTTTGTTTAGCAAGGAGACCAGAAATTGCACCCGGCCTCAGGGCCAGAGAAGAGCCAGCCAGAAGGAAAGTCCTGCCCGGACTGCAAGTTTGCACAGGATACACTGAAAGGCCTCTCTCCTCCTCCTCCTGGCTCCATGCAGCTTGCTTCTCCAGGCTGCAGAGAGAAGACAGTTTCCTTCGCTGTCTAAAGTGACACCCTGGGAAGGGACGCTTACACACAATGCTCCACATACCAGTAGCTCCAGTAAGAAAAGTACTTGCTTGCTCCCTGCTGCCAACAGAAGAGAACTGTGTCCCTCTGGAACCTTCTAAGAGCTCTGTGAGAATGAGTGTCTTTGGGAATCTCATAAATCCTGTAGGCCAGTGCCTTAGGCTGAACTGAAAGCACCTACGTGGTTTTATTTATTATTATTATTTTTTGAGACAGAGTCTTACTCTATCATCTAGGCCGGAGTGCACTGGCGCGATCTCGGCTCACTGCAACCTCCACCTCCTGGGTTCAAGTGATAGATGCCCACCACTACATCCGGCTAATTTTTGTATTTTTAGTGCAGACAGAGTTTCACCATGTTGGCCAGGCTGGTCTCGAACTCCTGACATCAAGTGATCCACCCGCCTTGGCTTCCAAAGTGCTGGGATTACAGAAATGAGCCACCGCGACCGGTCAGTAAAGCACCTACATGGTTTTAAAGCCTGGTTTTAAAAACCGCAGCTTCACCAACGCCTGCACGAAGCATGACCAGAATTCTCCTCCTCAGATCCGGCACCAGTTACCAGGCAGGCAGTCCCACCGCAGACCCACGGTTCCAGGCACAGCAAACAATAAACCTCCTGACCGGCTCTTGGCAGGGCCGGGGCATTTGTTCAGCCCTCTCTTATCTGCAAGGAAGAAGTCTCCGAAAGAAACACACACAGACAGCTCGACAAAACAGACAGGCCAGGGGAGGCTGGGCCAGGCTGATGTGAAATGAACTCAGCGGATTGAAGAGATGAGAAGAGGGGTGAGTGCTGGCCATTATTTTCAAGCCTCTGCTCCCTCTACTACCTACAATGAATGGCTGGGAGCCCCAAACCTTCTTGGAAATGAGCTTAGGCACAGGCTGCCCTTGTCTGCCCTCTTCTGCATGATGTTCCTTCAGATGAGACAGGAAGGCAGCGCTCCTCTCCCTGGTGGCTTCTCGTCTCCAGAACACACACCCCCAGTACCTTGGACTTTTTCACTCTCTGTAGCTTCATGCTTGGGTCTATCCTTAGAACAATACTGAAGGTATTCTTTGTCCCATAAGGAGCAGCACTGACCCATCCCCTCCCTCCTTTTGGAAATTCTAGTAATACACCTAAGAGTGTGCTGGGGCTGGGCACGGTGGCTCATGCCTGTAATCCCAGCACTTTGGGACGCGGAGGCGGGCGGATCACCGGAGGTCAGGAGATTGAGACCATCCTGGCTAACACAGTGAAGCACCATCTCTACTAAAAATACAAAAAGTTAGCCGGGTGTGGTGACGCGTGCCTGTAGTTACGGCTACTTGGGAGGCTGAGGCAGGAGAATTGCTTGAACCCAGGAGGTGGAGGCTGCAGAGAACCGAGATCACACCAGAGCAAGAGTCCATCTCAAAAAAAAAAAAAAAAAAAAGAGTGCACTGGACTTTTCTGGCAGCCACATACAGTTTTTCACACACAGGGGGTCCAAGTTTCAATGGAGAGAAACAGTTTTACAGAACAGGAGGGTAAGGTGAGAAACTGCCAGCCCCGCCGCATCTCTAGTAACACGTATGGCAAAAGATGAGGATGAAAGAAAAGAGTGCTAATGGGGGCTGGCAAATGCTTACTGTAAAGGACCAGATGGTAAATAATTTAGGATTTGCCAGCCAGATAATCTCTGTAGCAACGACTCAACTCTACCTTGATGGCACAAAAGCAGCTGTAGACAGTATATCAATAAACGAACAGGGATGTGTTCCAATAAAACTTTATTTATAGACCCTGAAATGTGAATTTCATAGGATTTTCATGTGTCATGAAATACTGTTTTTCAAGCCATTTAAAAAATGTAAAAACCTATGACATTATGTTAAGTCATAATGAAAGAAGCTAGCCACAAAGGACCACCTATTGTATGACTCTGTTTATATAAAGTGGGTTTCTCTGTAGGCAAACCCACAGAGAAAAAAAGTAGATTAGCAGTGGTTGCCCAGGGCTGGGAGAGAGAGGGGTTGTGGGTGAGGGGTTTCTTTTGGAGGTGATGAAAATATTCTAAAAAGTGATTATGGTGATGGTCACACAACCATGAATATACTAAAAGCACTGAATTATACACTTTAAATGGGTGAGTTGCGCTGGGCACAGTGGCTCACATCTGTAATCCCAGCACTTTGGGCGGCCGAGGTGGGCAGATCACACTTGAAGTCAGGAGTTCGAAACCAGCCTGGCCAACATGGTGAAACCCCGTCTCTACTAAAAATACAAAAAAATATTAGCTGGGTGTGATGGGAGGTGCCTGTAATCCCAGCTACTTGGGAGGCTGAGGCAGGAGAATCACTTGAACCCAGGAGGCGGAGGCCGCAATGAGTTGAGATTGTGCCACTGCACTCCAGCCTGGGTGACAGAATGAGACTGTCTCAAAAAAAAAAATTAATAAAAACAAAAATATATAACGGGTGAGTTATATGGTAAGCACGCAAGTTATACCTTAATAAAGCTGTGTTTAGGCCAGACCCGTGGCTCACACCTGTAATCCCAGCACTCTGGGAGGCCGAAGTGGGCAGATCATCTGAGGTCGGGAGTTCGAGACCAGCCTGGCCAACACGGTGAAACCCGGTCTCTACTAAAAATACAAAAATTAGCCGGGCGTGGTTGCGGGTGCCCGTAATCCCAGCTACTCAGGAGGCTGAGGCAGGAGAATCGCTTGAACCTGAGAGGCAGAGGCTGCAGTGAGCCAAGATCACACCACTGCACTCCAGTCTGGGTGACAGAGTGAGACTCCATCTCAAAAAAATAAATAAATAAAATTTAAAAATAAATAAATACACCTGTGTTTGAAACTGAAAAACATTCTCGGTTCACGGGCCATAAAAAACCTGCCTGGGCAGACGGGATCTGCGGCTTCTGCTGGTGGTACGGTGGGATCTGGCTATGGACTCTTAATTCCTAACCTGGTACCCCAACTCATTCCATGTCTGCTCCTACTTCTGCCCTCCTCCACCTCCAGGTCTCTGAATGCTACTGGAACTCTGATGTCCCTTCTTCCATGAAGTCTTGCCTAACTCTCCCAGGCACTTTGTTGGCTGTCACTTAATGGACACCTACTATGTGCCAGACATACAAGAATGCTTTACCGTAATTATTCAATTTAAAGCTATCATCACAACAACCTAGAGGGCATTACCCCATTTTACAGACCAGGAAACTCGAGACCCGAAGATGAAAAAAAAAAACTAGCCCAAGGTCACTTGCTGGTGAGTGGCAGAGCTGAGATTCAAACCCCGGAATGAGGCCTGAGCATGTTGATCTCTTCTGGCCCCGCAGGACTGACAGCACCTAGAGGGTGGGTCAGTTGTTCACCCAGGTGGCGCCATCCCAGCACCACCCTGCAGGATCTAGGGAATGAATGAAGGGTCGCTGGCCGAGAAGAGGAAGTCGAAGATTGGGGAAGGGGCCGGGGCTTGTTCGAAGTGAGGTCGAGGGACTTCCAGGACCCGGGACAGGAGAGGAGGGAGCGAGACAGGAGAGGAGGGAGCGAGCATCGCTGTCTGAACGCCCAGCCGGACCCCGGGCCGAGCTTCCTGAGGGTGCCTGTGCGGCTCGGGTGAGGCTGATCCCCACGGCGGTACCGGGGCGCCGGCTACACGAAGCGGCCCTGGGGCTGGGCCAGCCGGGCAGGGCCGGAAGGCCTGAGGGTGGAGATGCCACCCGGCTCCGAGCGCGTGGAAACAGACACGGGCGGAAGCGGCGAGGGGGCGGCCGGAGCGGGGTCGCGAGGCCGGGGCTGGGAGGCGCCCACCTGACCACCCGCCCGCCGCCCGGCTCTGCGGCCCGCAGGCCCCGCTGCCTTCGGCCTCCGAAGTCGGGCCGGGCCGCACGAAGTACCTGGAGGGTTGACGTTGTCATTTCATCTCCTGGGTCCGCCCCACACCCCGCGGCGCTGCTTGCGGCCTCGGTCCGGCCCCGGGGAGCCGAGGTACTGGGTCCGGCGCGGGAAGCCCGGCGGTGGGCGCTGAGCGCGGTGCGCGGGCAGGGCGGCCGCTCGCAGCGGGAGCCGAGTCCGAGGGCAAGCGAGGAGCGCAGCCCAGAGCGGTCGGGCCCGAGCCGAGCGGCTGCCCCCTAGCGTCCACGGCTCGCACTGCAGGCACCTCTCCCTGCCTCGGCGAAGGCAGGGGGCGGTTCGAGAGGCAGGACTGACTGGGGACGAGGAGGTGGGACTAGGGCGAGACGGACAGGGGGCGGGGACGGGGTGGGTGGGACAAGGCCGGGGCGGGGCCTGGCGGGACGTACATTCTCGGGGCGGGGCCAGGGGCGGAGCGGGGTAGAATCCGGAAATCCTGACCTCGCTTGGAATAACAGCGCCCATTGAGCAGTTTTATTCTCACAATAAAACGAACTTATCAGAGCGTTGGTTTCTCCATGTTTAATATCGCACGATCATAATTAGTACCTGCCTTGTCTGGCTTTTGTGGGGAATAAATGAGCTAGCTAATGTAAACAGAGTGTGCCCCACACTGGGGCTCAATCCCTGGTGGGATGCCGCTGACTGTTCAAAGCCAGTTTTGTTTTGCTTGGATTGATTGACTGATTGATTGATACGGAGTCTTGCTCTGTCGCCTAGGCTGGAGTGCAGTGGCATGATCTCGGCTCATTGCGACCTCCGCCTCCCGGGTTCAAGCGATTCTCCTGCTTCAGCCTCCCGAGTAGCTGGGATTACAGGCATGCACACCTACTGTGTGCAGCGTTGTGTGCTAGTTTCTGGGGATACAATGATCAAAGCAGTTCTAGGGCTGGGTGTACTGGCCCACGCCTGTAATTCCAGCACTTTGGGAGGCCAAGGCAGGAGGATTGCTTGAGCCGAGGATCAAGACCAGCTTGGGCAACATAGTAAGACCTCGTCGCTAAATTAAGAAACAAAACAAAACAAACAAACAAAAAAACGCACCAGAGGCAAGTGATCCATTTGTCCACAAGTCTATCCTGTGAGAGAAAAAAAATGGAGGGCAAAAAACATCCAAGTTGAGGCTGGGTATGGGGGCTCATGCCTGTAATCCCAACACTTTGGGAAGCCGAGGCAGGCCGATTGCTTGGGCCGAGGAATTCGAGAACAGCCTCGGCAACAGGTGAACCCCCATCGCTACAAAAAATAAAAAACGTATCTGGGCATGGTGGCGCACACCTGTAGTCCCAGCTACTCCGTAAGCTGAGTTGGGAGAATTGCTGGAGCCTGGGAGGTCGAGGCTGTAGTGAGCCGTGACCAGGCCATTGTACTCCACCCTGGGAAATGAAGCAAGACCCTGCCTCCAAAAAAAAAAAAAAAAAAAAAAAAAAAAAAAAAAAAAAAAAACCAAAAAATTGGCACACCTTAATCTCTCTTCACAAAATGCTAATTAAATACAAAGGAGAGGCCGGGCGCGGTGGCTCACGCCTATAATCCCAGTACTTTGGGAGGCCGAGGCAGGTGGATCACTTGAGGTCAGGAGTTCAAGACCAGCCTGGCCAACATGGTGAAACCCTGTCTCTACTAAAAATACAAAATATTCGCCGGCCATGGTGGTGGGCACCTGTAATCCCAGCTACTTGGGAGGCTGAGACAGGAGAATCGCTTGAACCTGGGAGGCGGAGGTTGCAGTGAGCCAAGACCACGCCATTGCACTCCAGCCTGGGCGACAAGAGCGGAACTCCATCTCTAAATAAATAAATAAATACAAAGGAGAAAACAATGAGGACATTAGCTTGACTACGCGACCGAAGGGAACACCCCTGGTGGTGGGATGCGTGGCCCTCGTGTGTCTCTCCACATGATACCCTGAAGAGAGCATGGCATCGTGGCATCTCTGCCAAGAGTGTGTGACACAGCCTGGTTGTGAGGCAACACCGAATAGAGCCAGCTGGAGAGCTGTGCTGAACAATCAAAGCCTTGTGCTGAGACTCAGGCACATGCGAATTAGAGTAAGGCCGAGGAACATTCCAGACTGAAGAACTGAGACACGACGACAAAAGGCAAGAAAGTGGTATTGGCCAGGATCCAAGGCCAGAGAGGAAAACAGGACATGGCCGGGATGGCTGGCATCATTTGAATGGGGTCTATGGAATGAGTGGTGGTGTGCCAATGTTGATTTCTTGATTAGGAGGACTTTATGGTGGCAATGCAAGGACTGTCCTTATGTTTTGGAGGTCCTCACTAGAGAATTTAAGGGTGCTAGAGAATCATATTAGA
This sequence comes from Homo sapiens, assembly GCF_000001405.40. NCBI lineage: Eukaryota > Metazoa > Chordata > Mammalia > Primates > Hominidae > Homo > Homo sapiens. The sequence goes on along the minus strand of NC_000016.10, from coordinate 69,309,197 downwards.
GAAAGACAAGGTAATGGAATAAATATGGCAAAATGTTAACAACTGGAAGGTTTGGGTGAAGAAGATTTGTATTGTTTTTGTAACTTTCCTGTAGGTTCAAAACTATTTCAGCATTTTAAAAATTGGAAAAAAAAAACAACCCACGTGACTAAAGCAACTTTTTTATTTACAGTATAAAGGTTACAAAGGTATATATGTATTTATATATATAATACCCTTAAGTTACACATTTTCATTGTAATGTACAATGCTGTATGTTGATGTGCTACTCAAGGGGAAGTGTTGTTTATGCATCTATATTTATAGAGTATACATAAAGCTTTTTAAAATTAGGAACACAAATACTGCCCTGTTTTACGCGTTGGGTTTTTGATTTGGTATCCAGAAGATCTGAGACTTAAATTTCAAACAAGACTTAAAAAGAAGGCTTGTTTAAATACAGGGTTCTAAAAAGAAGGAAAAAACCCAGAACATCACATACTTTTAATTATTTGTAAAAGCATTATTCTAGTTTTCTAAGTCTTTATACTTAAAAATGAAAGCAGTGTGGAAAAGAATCCACATAAGCAGGTATCATCAGAGTTTGCACAGATTAGCCAAAACAGGCCTTCAATAGGTAGTGGTTTTCTACATTATCTTCCAAAAGACCTCAGGTTTGGTACCAAAAAGGACAGATTTTTCTGGGCACCAAGGTCTTATAATGCTGCACTCATCCAATGGATTGTAAACATAATACTGGAGTCGTATAGTGGAGGGAAAATTCTGAAACTTGTTCTTACGATAAGGGCAGATTTGCGACAAAGTGAGAATATCATCGAGAATGATGATCATGCCAAACCTGAAACTTAATTGACATCATCATTTCCTCTCCCCCCAATTCTATTAATTCACAAATCGAGGTGAAAAGACACAACTGACACCCGCTTTAACAGGACCCAGATAGAAGGAAAGACATTTCTTCCAACCTAGGAGGAACACACATTTACAATACTTATGTGCTGGTTTTAATAGTATACAATCATTAGCACCTGATTGTCAAAGGGTAGGTTTAAAGAACAAGACACTGAAGGCATGACCTAATTTTTGTGCACAACTCCAAGATACTTGAAAACCAAGGGGAGGGCACCCATGTGATTCGGTTTCCTGTGCCATTCCAATCACTGATAGCTCAGGTACTTTCTGGGCAATGACCAAGGATGTTGCCTGAAAAGCTAACCCTAGAGATAAATGGAAGGCAAGCTGGATAGAAAGGGACTGTTATTGTGTGAAAATTATGGAAAACATTCAGTCAGCCTTATTTTCTTTAGGTGCCCTTTTCATTGAGTCCAAATGCCAGCGTGTCCTGGAATAAGTGAAATTTTGTTAATTTTTATTTTTTAAATGTTAAAAGTTTTTTTTTTTTTTTTAATTTTTTAAATGGAGTCGGGGTCCCGCTGTGTTGCCCAGGCTGGTCTGGACCTCCTGGGCTAAAGTGATCCTCCTGCCTTGGCCTGATTTTGTTAATTTTTAAATATCTTCATTTTGATCTATCATTAATGGAGAAATATTCCGTCTACCATGTATATAAGGACTTTCAGCAGATGAAATGCTTAAATAGTTTAAGGGTGGAAATGAATACAGCAATTAGAAATAAGGGGTTGATAAAATATGCATTTAGTTTTGCTGTTACAGTTAAAGAAGCATTTTTTAAGAAAGACTTTCTCATTTATCTACTTTGTGCAATAAAACTTAATTTTTGTTGTTGTGATTTATCTTACAAAGGATACTGTATACTGTTCTCTTTCCCAAACTAAAGTCTAAATTTGCACTAAAAAAAAAATCATGCATGATGAAAAGACCAGCCTACTTAAATGTGCTTGGAGTCCTTTCATGTTGGCATGGATCAAAGCCTGAGTATCCCTTCAAACATTTTCCAGTTTGCCAGATCCAGATAAACAGACTTGTAAATATACTTTGGTAAAAATATGAAGTGATGAATTACTTAACTGCTGAATGATAAACAGATGGCATGGTGTGCTGAGAAATAACGGATTATGTGCTACTAGAGGGCAGGAACTTTCTTTTGGACCCTTCAGAATGCCTGGTGTAGAACTATACATTAATAAATGTTTATTAGATGAAAGAACACATGAATATGTCATTAATTAGCTTTCCAGTTTCAAAATTAGTGTCAATAGCATGGACGTAAGATTATTGCAAACTGAGAAAGGGACTTAGGGGACTCAGAAATTATAAATCTTTTTCTTCTTTTTCTTTTTTTGGAGATGAAGTCTCGCTCTGTTGCCCAGGCTGGAGTGCAATGGCATGATCTCAGCTCACTGCAACTTCTGCCTCCTGGGTTCAAGGGATTCTCCCACCTCAGCCTCCCGAGTAGCTGGGACCACAGGCGCGCACCACCATGCCCAGCTAACTTTTTGTATTTTTAGTAGAGATGGGGTTTCACCATGTTGGCCAGGCTGGTCTCAAACTCCTTACCTCAGGTGATCCACCCACCTTGGGCTCCCAAAGTACTGGGAATACAGGCATGAGCCACCGCACCCGGCCAGAAATTATAAATCTAACCAGGATTCCCAAACCTACAATACAATGAAATATCATTTCTCTCTTATAGGTTTTTGGTTTTAACCAATCTATTTTAAAAGGGGCAATTCAAGGATTATGGTTTATATGGTGGATTTCTGTTGAATATGATCAAATGTTCACTGGAGAACAAGCAATAATTTGCAAAAGGCATATTTATGCCTTACATTAAATGTGGATCCTCTTCTAAAACTAGAATAAGCATCAGTTCAGTCACCCAACGTGGGAAGAAAGAATAGAGGTGGCAAGAAATGAAGCTCAAGTTTGTTTTGAAACAAAAGAAGAAACTTATTAAAAGATTCTTCTGAGTTACTACATAACAACCATTCTTCTAGTTGGCAGTTTAGCTAGTCAGAGAGACAAAAAAAAACAAAACCAAAACCAAAAACAAAAACAGATGTCCTCTATGTGCCTATTTATTGTGCCTTATCCTTAACTTGAAATTCTATCCTTTAAGAGAATGAATTTGTGTCACTCATCTGCCAGATGTTTTTGTTTTTTTAGAGAAAGGTTTCAAATCAGCCACTTAAGCAGTCTATTACTAGTGTAAAATAAATTCCATTTAACATCACAGCATAGGAATAATGATATTGCTCAAAAATACAGAACCCTGATATATAGCATAATTATTTTAGAACTATCATCACACATTTATCGAGTGTCTATGTATCCAGCACAGTGAAAGATTTAGCTTAAAGGGTGGAGGCGGGCAGATTGCTACAATTGGTTTTTAAAGACAGTATGTGGAAAGTCAGAATAATTTTAGATTACCAAGCAATTAGGGGGCACAGAGAAAGAACAGCAGGAGATGGCAGACTGCTCTACTTCCATCTTCAGTGGGGTTAAAAAAAAAAAAAAGCCACAATAACAACAGAAATTTAACTGAAAGTGATGTCCAAACTCAAAGTAGAGTATAATACCACCTGGTAATTAATGTCATACCTGACAGAGATATATAAAAAGAATGAATGACTACAGTCAAATTCAACTTAAAGTTTAAGCAGAATCCCAAATTTAAGTAAGTCTCTTTTCATTACATAGATATTTGATCTGATCAGAGCAATTTGCTTTGAGACCAAAGAGATCTGGCATTTTACTTATTCATTAGGAATTGAAAAAAGAAGACCTTTGGCTTTCTAACCAGCCATTTCATTCATGGCATCAACAGCCGATGGCAGCCACATGGAAATGTATGCTGGATATTTGGATAGTTTAAATATTATGTACAAGGAATAGCTTATAACCAGTGAAAATAATAAGAACATAATTCAGCATAAGTGTCCAAGATAAGATACAAAAAAGCAGAGAAAGTGCTTGAGTCTACAGGTCTTCCCTGAAAGTTTCAAAAATGTTTAATTCTTAAGCAGGTAGGCCTTTTAATAGAATTTGCATAGCAGCATACAAGGTAATTTGCATTAAAATATATGAACAGAGATTCTTCCATGGCTTTGAAAACAAATATATCCACATGCATATAAGTTAAGCAAGAAGACCTGGAATTTCTCACAAAATTAAAAAAAAGAATCTATTATAACCTTTTCTCACACTTTCGCCCATCAAAACCATTTACAGCAAAACCTGTTTCTAGGAGAAACATAGCCTTGTCCAGATTCCACACAGCTTAATTTTTTTTTTAAGCATAATTTCTGGGGCCAGGTGCAGTGGCTCACATCTGTAATCCCAGCACTTTGGGAGGCTGAGGCAGAAGGACTGCTTGAGTGCCAAGAGTTCAAGACCAGCCTGGGCAACATGGCGAAAAAAAAAAAAGAAAAAAAAATCCATAAAAATTAGCCAGGTGTGGTGGCACACACCTGTGGTCCCAGCTACTCAGGAGGCTGAGGTGAAAGGATCATTTGAGCCCAGAAGGTTGAGGCTGCAGTCAGCTATGATCATACCACTGCACTCCAACCTCGGTGACAGAGTGAGAACCTGTCTCAAAAAAAAAAGAAGGAAAAAAAAGAACAAATTCTGGTTTATCAGCTAAGTGCATTCATTCAGCTGGAAAAGCTTTGTTACCATTCAACTTAGGAGGATAAATTAGGAAAACAATCAGTAATAATGTTAGGTATTTGTTGTTTAGAAAGATTTTTTTACTTATAAAAATATAAGAAATAAATAATCCAATCTCTCCTGCCATGCAATAATTTTGAGTAACAAAGTTTGTGAGAGTACAGAACATAAAAACAGGCACTATCAGACCTTCTTTGGCCTAAAAAGTGCTAAAACATGGCTTTAAAATAGGTGAATGACATTTAAAGTAGTATTTTTGACTGCCTATATATGTTCCAGTATTTAACCTGAAACTCTTATCTACTAGGGAGGTGAGTTTACAGTTACAACTATCTAATAAATACTGCAGGAACTTATATTTAAGTATTTCTTCATATACAACATTAGAAACTAATTTCCAGATAATGTTTCATTTGATGACTTCAGGAAAGGACTTACCTTTTTCAGAAAAAGAAAAACTGAATGTTTTTCTTTTGTTCCTTTCCTTTTCTTTTTATGGAGAGAAAGGAGAGAAGTTTTAGGAGAAAAGGTGGGAGACTTTTCATATACCAACTCGCTGCTCCTAGGCATCTGTGTGGAATGTGGAGAAGCTGTCGAAGCCCCGGGTCTGGGGGGCACAGGAAGCAGTCCCTCTGAATGGGGAGCAGACACTATTCTGCAGTTTCCTTTCCATTCCACACACTGGAACCCACCACATCCTCAACAATTTTCTTAATTCAAAATGAAAAAGAAATGAAAAGTGAGCTGGTTCTATAAAAAAGGTAGAATATCGAAAATTCCCATTTGTAGTTATCATTTGGAAATAATTTGCCATACTTTGGCATCTAAATATAAATACATATTTATCATGGTGTCCCATTCATTAGAGAGCACTTCATTTGCGGACTGAAAATCCCACAAACACATTTGATTGAAGAACAACCTTGGTCATCATGACTGGAGAGCTGTTAGGTATGTAAGAAAAGCAGCAAAAGGGTTCTGGTTCTTGGGGCTGCTAATGGACAAAGGAAACCTCCCACACTTTCATTTCACAGCAAGACTCAAAAGATATTAAGAACCCTACAGACCTCAGTGCTATACATGTCAGTTTAACCTTGACCAAAATGAGTGAAAATGCACACATGCCTTGCCTTTCCTGCTCACATTTTAATTCCACCTATTTTACATCCTCATATAACCAACAAGCAGGGTGGCTCAGAAGCTCCCCTGCAAATCTCAGTGGCTTAGCTTTTCACATTAACACAGAAAACCTCAACCAAATGGCTTTGCTGCTGAAGTCTGTAAAGGCATCATTCAACATCTCATATTAATAATGCTCTCACTGCATAGAGGGTTCAAGATTGCCTACCTGAGGGTATTACATATTGAAATTCTGATTCCAGAAATCATTTCTGGACGTTCAAGAGATTTTTTTCCTTCTCTGAAATGAAAATTTATTGTGGGCCAGGCACGGGGGCTCACACCTATAATCCCAGCACTTTGGGAGGCCAAGGCAGGTGGATCACTTGAGGTCGGGAGTTCAAGACCAGCCTAGCCAACATGGTGAAAACCTGCCTCTACTAAAAATACAAAAATTAGCTGGGTGTGGTGGTGGGTAGCTATAACCCCAGCTACTCAGGAGAATCACTTGAACCTAGGAGGTGGAGGTTGCAGTGAGCCGAGATCATGCCACTGCACTCCAGCCTGGGAGACAGAACGAGACTCCGTCTCAAAAAAAAAAAGAAAAGAAAATTTATCTCAGATGGAGCCAATCTTAGGTTTATGAACTTTCAAAACATAAAAAGCTCTTGAAAGACATATTCTTGTCTAGATTTTAATTTCCAGTTTTAAGCAGTTCAGATAATTCATTTTTGGAACTTTGACAATTATATGAAGCTGGGGGAAGAACAGGCATCTCTCCCCAACCTCTGCATATTGTTGGTTTCACTGTAATGAGGAAGGAGGACTGACTTATGGGTGAAGGAGGACAATGGAGTTACAATGTTGACCTAGAACTCTCTCTGCTCATGGGTCCTCCCCATCGGTCAGGCCGCACTGAAACCAAATAGCTCATTTTGCACACAGGTGTGTTTTTCTCTTCTTTTCTCCCCCTGTGCCTGCCCCATCTGAAGTGACACCCTCCTCCACCCTCCACAGCGCTCACATTCTTCCGTGGCACTCTTGATCAATCAAGCAAACAAGAACTTTCCCTAGACCTTTCTTCAGAGAGCATAAAGAACATCCAAGTCAATATTACCTATTCTTTGAGATCCAGGGACTGTGCTAATTTTGACATTTTATATGATATTATACCATTTTAAATGTTTGCAGATATATACCACCTTCAAAATTAGGAAAAACAAGCTGAGTTCATTTTCTAACACTACAAAATCAGCATTCTTGCTGCTACTGTGTCCTAATGATATCTGGCAATCTTAACCAAAAGCAGGTAGCTGTTCCACGGTCTCATCACCCTGCTCACTGTAGGGTGTGCTGTGAAGCCAATAGTAAGTCTCGAATTAGCAGTTGCTTGTCCATGCCACTGCTGCCACAAAGGGCCAGGCCACAGCCAGGATGCTGCATCCTGTTGTTTTTGGGCAGCCCAAAACAATTCAACATGACGTTTGTGCGGAATTGCTGGCTTCACCCACCAAGTCTACTCCTCAAGCAGGCTGGCTCTTTAGGATTTATCTTGTTCAAACAGATCTGCCTACTAGAAGAGATGCCATTAAGGAAACCCACCTCAATGACTATTCCTCAAAACTAGGATAGGTGATCTCCTGGAAATGGCAGTGATTTCCAGTTATTCAAATAGTGACTAATAAAGCTCCACTAACCCTAACCAAAGGCACATTTGGTAAGCAATAAAAAAAATGGCTTAACCTAGGAAGAGGATTTTCATTTAAAATAAATCTTATCCCCTGGCTCCTAACAAAAATAAAATTGGAAAAACCTAAACCAAGCAAAACTTTTCTTTAAAAGCAGTGGCTTCCAACTTGCTTTTCAACTCAGTCACCACTAGAAAGGAAGTAGAAGGCAAGGCAAATCAAATTTACAAGTTCTAAGTCCTAGAGACAGTGGCAAAGCTTGGGATAAGGTGGGAAGTGATGGCCAGGCTGAGATAGAGGGAGATCCAGGGCAAATGGAACAACCCTTTGGTGATACAATTCAAGGACTTCCTATGGTGGAAGGAGCTAGTGAGGACAGTAAATTCCAAGACATACGACCTATCTGGAATGCTCAGGAAGCAACAGGCTGCTGCAAGCTAGCACCTGGGAAGGGACAATTGTTCTGAACAAGAGATCAAGGCTAAGCACAACACAAATCCTACAGGGAGAAGAAAAAGAAAACAATGCTTGGGTATTTGATTATGTCTAAAAATGAAAACAATGAAAAAAAAAGAAAACAATGAGCCATTCTTTTTAGCAGTAGAAATAAACCTAATTACTCATAAACCATATTTTGAAATGAGAATAAATCAACAGCTTCATTTTGGAGCCTTTTAGAGTGCTAGAATATCTGGCCAAGGTAGACTGTGAAAGGTAGGCTCTTCTTTAAACACGGTTATGGTTCAGCAGTTATTTGCAGGTCCTTGGGAAGGCACTGTGCTGAAGGAGAGCAAAGAGTTTCTTTTTGTGCTTTTTTTTTTTTGAGGTGGAAATATTTCTTGTGACAGTCAAGGCTCTTTTCTGATTTTTTGTTGCTCATACAAGCAGTCCCATACGAGTGACTTTGGCCGATAAAAACGTGTGCAACACAAATACAATCGGCTTCGGACAAGAGTGCAGGTCCATGGTCTGTGGAGAAAGGACACTAAGCATCACTACCTCACTACCATATACAGACAACTTAATAAACGAAGATGCAAAATAAATTTAAGGTAGGTAAAGAATGTGCCAGAGCTATGGAAACTCTTAGGAACTTAAAGCCACAGGCAAAAGTGCACTATGGAGTAAGGTTATTCCATGTCATAATACTGGTGTGAGGTTTCACATCCCCAATTAGGAGACAACTGGTGGTGTACTGGGTTTCACCATGCCTGGTAGGAAGAACTAAATAGTAGAGGATTTAAAATCTAAGGCCAGGCACGGTGGCTCACGCCCATAATCCCAGCACTTTGGGAGGCTGAGGCGGGCAGATCATGAGGTCAGGAGATTGGGACCATCCTGGCTAACACGGTGAAACCCCATCTCTACTAAAAATACGAAAAATTAGCCAGGCATGGTGGCACGTGCATGTAATCTCAGCTACTCGGGAGGCTGAGGCAGCAGAATTGCTTGAACCAGGGAGGCAGAGGTTGCAGTGAGCTGAGATGGTGCCACTGCACTCCAGCCTGGGCGACAAAGCGAGACTCCGTCTCAAAAAAGAAAAAAAAAAGAAAAATGACGGCAACAAAAACCAACACCCAATGCCATCTTGAAAACTGAAGAAGAGCAGATACAGTGGCTCACACCTGTAATCTCAACACCTTGGGAGGCCAAGATGGGAAGATCACTTGAAGCCAGGAGTTCAAGACCATCCTGGGCAGCAAAGCGAGACCTCATCTCTATAAAGAATATAAAAAATTGGCCAGGCATGGTGGCACACACCTATAGTCCAGTCCCAGTTACTCAGGAGGCTGAGGTGGGAGGATCACTTGAGCCCAGAAGGTATAGGCTGCAGGAAGCTATGATTGCACCACTACACTCCAGCCTGGGTGACAGAGACCCCATCTTTAAAAAAATTTTTTTTAATTTAAAATTTCATGGTTCTAAATGGAATGTCAGTCCATGACTTTGTATATAAGGGGTAAGAAGTAATGAGAAGGAAAGAGAACATCTATTAGATAAACATGTGTTTCAGAAACACTCTTACCAGTTCTCCCTCGGGACCACCAAAATCCAAGTATAGATTTCGGATGCCATCATCAGCAGACATCTTCAGCCTTTCAAAGGGGTAGCGGTACAATATGCTGCTGGAGCCTCCATTTTCCCTTGAGATGGTGAACCCATTTTCATAGTGAATAGTAAGCCTCACCTCTTGGCCATTTAACATGCAGCCTGTTGAAGAAAAGCAAAAAACATTAGTTGTAAAGTTGCTATGTCAGTTATCAAGTGAAAAGGGAATCTTCTGACTTCAAAATAGGAAAAATATTTTCTTGAGAATGTGTGATACCTAACCTGTATGGAAACTTCTAAAGTGTGTTTTGTGCTAGGCGTGGTGGCTCACGCCTGTAATCCCAGCACTTTGGGAGGCCGAGGCAGGCGGATCGCAAAGTCAGGGGTTTGAGACCAGCCTGACCAACATGGTGAAACCCCGTCTCTACTAAAAATATAAAAATTAGCTGGGTGTGGTGGCGGGTGCCTGTAATCCCAGCTACTCAGGAGGCTGAGGCAGGAGAATTGCTTGCACCCGGGAGGCGGACGTTGCAGTGAGCCAAGATTGCACCACTGCACTCCACCCTGGGCGACAGAGCAAGACTGTCTCAAAAAAAAAAAAAAAAGAAGTGTGTTTTGTTTTGGTCACTGAGATGAGGCAGAAATGACCATAACACTCCTTGACATCTGTTCGATTTAATTCCTCGAGTACCCACTGAACACTCATACTGGCAAGTGTGTGTAGGCTGTGCAAGGCACTAGAGAAGTAAGAGGCACAGTCCCTGCTCTCAAGGACTTTGTAAACTCATTGGCATAGACAGGAAATCCCCAATTGTGTAAGGCAGAATGTACAGAACATGAGCAAACACCAAAGTGAATGAGGCCAAAGTCAAGAAAAGGTTTCCTGGAGGAGATGGGCCTTCAGATAGGCCCTAAAGAATTGGTAATACTGGCCGGGTACGGTGGCTCACACCTGTAATCCCAGCACTTTGGGAGGTCGAGGTGGGCGGATCACTTGAGGTCAGGAGTTAGAGACTAGCCTGGCCAACATGGCGAAACCCCGTCTCTACTAAAAATACAAAAATTAGCCAGCCATGGTGGCACATGCCTGTAATCCCAGCTACTTGGGAGGCTGAGGCAGGATAACTGCTTGCACCTGGGAGGCAGAGGTTGCAGTGAGATGAAATCACGCCACTGCACTCCAGCCTGGGTGACAAGAGCGAGACACTGTCTCAAAAAAAAAAAAAAAAAAAAAAAAAAGAATTGGTAAAACTGGACAGGCAGGGAGGAAGAGGCAGAAGGACTGAACTGGGCAAGAAGGACCAACCAAAGGAGCAAAGGCAGAGAGGCCTTTCAGGAGCCGTGACATGGTTTGGTTGGCATTTGGGATGAAGATAAAGATTATGTTCATCAAAGTTAAAGGCTATACTCAGCAAAAGTCACAGTCAACGCTATCAAAGATACAATTCAAAGGACACCTCTGAATTGACAGGATACAAACAATTTTGGTCATCAAGACTGGCAAATGCCCCAGGTGTGGTGGGTCATGCTTACAATCCCAGCACTCTGGGAGGCTAAGGCAGGAGGCAGGAGGATCACTTGAGGCCAGGCGCTAGAGAACAGCCTGGGTAACATGGCAAGATCTCATTTCTATAAAAATAAAAAATGTATCTGGGCATGGTGGTGTGTGCCTATAGTCCCAGCTACTCAGGAGGCTGGGGTGGGAGGATCACTTGCGTCCAGGAGTTCAAGGCTGCAGTGAGCTATGATCATGCCACTGCACTCTAGCCTGGGTGACAGAGCAATGTCTAAACAATTTTAAAAAGAGAGATTTAGAGATTCTTTTTTTTGTTTGTTTTGAGATGGAATCTCCTTCTGTCACCCAGGCTGGGGTGCAGTGGCGTGATCTCGGTTCATTGCAACCTCACCCTCCTGGGCTCAAGCAATTCTTCTGCCTCAGCCTGCTGAGTAGCTGGGATTACAGATGTACACCACCACGCCCGGCTAATTTTTTTGCATTTTTAGTAGAGACAGGGTTTCACCACGTTGGCCAGGTTGGTCTTGAACTCCTGACTGCAAGGGATCCATCCACCTCGGCCTCCCAAAGTGTGGGGATTATAGGCGTGAGCCATTGCACATGGCTTCTTTTTTTTTTTGGAGACAGAGTCTCGCTCTGTCTCCCAGGCTGGTGCAGTGGCGTGATCTTGGCTCACTGCAACCTCTGCCTCCCAGGTTGAAGCAATTCTCCCGCCTCAACCTCCTGAGTAGCTGGGATTACAGGAGCGTGCCACCACACTAGGCCAATTTATGTATTTTTAGTAGAGACAGGGTTTCACCATGTTGGTCAGGCTGGTCTCAAACTCCTGACCTTGTGATCTGCCCGCCTTGGCCTCCCAAAGTGCTGGGATTATAGGCATGAGCCACCGTGCCCGGCCTCCTTTTTTTTTTTTTTTTTTTTTTTTTTTTGAGATAGAATCTTGCTGTGTCACCTAGACTGGAGTGCACTGGCGCAATCTCAGCTGACTGCAACCTCTGCCTCCCGGGTTCAAGCAATTCTCATGCCTTAGCCTCCTGAGTAGCTGGGATTACAGGCGGGCACCACCACACCCAGCTAATTTTTTGTATTTTTTAGTAGAGACGGGGTTTTGCCATCTTGCCCAGGCTGGTCTTGAACTCCTGAGCTCAGGCAACCCACTTGCCTCGGTCTCCCAAAGTGCTGGGATTACAGGTGTGAGGCACGGCACCTGGCCTGAGATTTTTTTTTTTTTTTGAGATAAGAGTCTCACTCTGTCATGCAGGCTGGAGGGCAATGGCGCAACCTCGGCTCCCTGCAACCTCCACCTCCCAAATGATTCTTATGCCTCAGCCTCCCGAGTAGCTGGGATTACAGGTGTTTACCACCACACTCAGGTAATTCTTGTAGTTTTAGTAGAGACAGGGATTTCACTATGTTGGCCAGGCTGGTCTCAAACTCCTGACCTCACGTGATCTGCCCACCTTGGGCTCCCAAAGTGCTTGGCCCCTGAGATTTCTTTTTTCTTTTTTTTTTTTTTGAGACAGAGTCTCTCTGTCGGCCAGGCTGCACTGCAGTGGCATGATCTCGGCTCACTGCAACCTCCGTCTCCTGGGCTCAAGCAATTCTCCTGCCTCAGCCTCCCGAGTAGCTGGGATTACAGGCATGTGCCACCAGGCCTGGCTGATTTTTTGTATTTTTAGTAGAGACAGGGTTTCACCATGTTGGCCAGGCTGGTCTCAAACTCCTGACCTCAGGTAATCCACCCGCCTCGGCCTCCCAAAGTACTGGGATTACAGGCATGAGCCACCGCGACCGGCCTGAGATTTCTTAAATGTTCTGTTTTGGATTGTTTCCCCTGGAGAAGGAAAGAATGGAAAGCAAATGTGACTGTGTGTGATTCTGTGTGTGTGTGTCAAACTTAATGTATTTAGGTCTAGATATTGAGCTTGTTTTAGTTTAAAAAAAATTTTTTTTTTGAGACGGAGTTTCACTCTTGTCACCCAGGCTGGAGTGTAATGGCGTGATCTTAGCTCACCACAACCTCTGCCTCCTGGGTTCAAGCAATTCTCCTGCCTCAGCCTCCCAAGTAGCTGGGATTAAGGCCTGCGCCACCACGCCTGGCTAATTTTTTGTATTTTTAGTAGAGATGGGGTTTCTCCATGTTGGTCAGGCTGGTCTCGAACTCCCGACCTCAGGTGATCCACCCGCCTCGGCCTCCTAAAATGCTGGGATTACAGGCATGAGCCACTACACCCGGCCATAGTTTAAAATGTATAATTAATACCAGATTCTTCTGAATGAGACTGTGACCTGGTCATGTAAATGCTGTGCCAAATCGAACCAATTAAACAGTTTTTCTCTAAACATTGAGTACATCACACCACAGTGATGCAATGATGATTAAGTGCCTGACACCCCTTACCCTTTTAGGAGTAATGAACCAAAGGGAGATAGGGGAAATAAGCCTTTCATTCTGATTTAACAGCTATGTGTGTGTGTATGAGAAGTGGCTTTTTTTTTTTTTTCAGTATAAATTCCCCATTTAGTAAGAGGAGTGGCCCTTTTCTGACGGGATAGCATCTGGGACTTATTAATGGAGCTGTTGCAGGTGGCTCATTATGTCTTGGTTCACTTAGAATGCTTTTGGATGGCTATGTGTCCACTATGCACTCCAATTTATAGATAAGTCAGTAAAAAATTCAGTATGTTGGCTGGGCGCGGTGGCTCACGCCTGTAATCCCAGCACTTTGGGAGGCCAAGGCGGGTGGATCACAAGGTCAGGAGTTCGACACCAGCCTGGCCAATATGGTGAAACCCTGTCTCTACTAAAAATACAAAAATTAGCCGGGAGTGGTGGCAGACGCCTGTAGTCCCAGCTACTCGGGAGGCTGAGGCAGGAGAATTCCTTGAACCTGGGAGGCAGAGGTTGTAGTGAGCAGAGATCAAGATCGGGCCACTGTACTCCAGCCTGGCAGACAGAGCAATACTTTGTCTCAAAAAAAAAAAAAAAAAAAAAAAAAAAAAAATTCAGTATGTTGATTTTGTTTAACAGGGTTGTTACCAGAAATAGAAAAAGACACACAATAGCAGCACAATAGTAAGTACTGAAGTTAAAGGGGTAAAAAACTACAGTTTTGGCTGGGCGCAGTGGCTCACACCTGTAATCCTAGTACTTTGGGAGGCCGAGGCAGGTGGATTGCCTGAGCTCAGGAGTTCGAGATCAGCCTGGGCAACATGGTGAAACCCCATCTCTACTAAAATACAAAAGAAATTAGCCAGGCATGGCAGTGTGTGCTTGTAATCCCAGCTACTCAGGAGGCTGAGGCCGGAGAATTGCTTGAACTTGGGAGGCAGAAGTTGCAGTGAGCTGAGATTGCACCACTGCACTCCAGCCCTCCAGCCCTCCAGCCCGAGTGACAGAGCGAAAAAAAAAAAAAATCAAAAACTACAGTTCTTCAGGTATCAAGAGAGGAAGGTACATAAACACAGGGCTCTGCGGTAGGTGCTTTTATTTTATTTTATTTTAGATGGAGTCTCGCTCTGTCGCCCAGGCTGGAGTGTGGTGGCATGATCTCGGCTCACTGCAACCTCCGCCTCCTGGGTTCAAACGATTCTCCTGCCTCAGCCTCCCTAGTAGCTGGGACTACAGGGGCGCACCACAACGCCCTGCTAATTTTTGTATTTTTTTTTTTTTCAGTAGAGATAGGGTTTTGCCATATTGGCCAGGATGGTCTCAAACTCCTGACCATAGGTGATCCACCCTCCTTGGCCTCCCAAAATGCTGGGATTACAGGCATTAGCCACCATGCCCAGCCTGTAAAATCCTTTATAGTGATAAGAGTTTCAGTGTATGGGACTGACTGATGGCTCTTTAGTCAAAAAACAATTTTTTTTTTCCTGATGATACAAGCATGATGTAACTTTAAAAATTCAAACAACTGGCTGGGCACAGTGGCTCATGCCTGTAATTCCAGCACTCTGGGAAGCTGAGGTGGAGGACTGCTTGAGGCCACAAGTTTGAGACAAGTCTAGGCAACATAGTGAGATTCTATCCCTACCAAAATTACAAAAATTAGCCAGGCATAGTTGCATGCACCTGTAGTCCCAGTTACTTGGGAGGCTGTGGTGGGAGGATTGCTTCAGCCTGGATGCAGTGAGCCATGTTCGTGACACTGCTCTCCAGCCTGGGCAACAGAATGAGACTGTCTCTCTAAAAACAAACAAACAAACAAACAAAAAACATAAAATAAAAATTCAAACAACATAAAAGTGGCCTATAACTGCAGTTGGATTTAGGGATGGAGAAAAAGCCAGGGATGTCTATGGCCCAAATTACTGAGCAGTAAAAGGCACTGCCCACTTCAACAGCCAAGATAGGCTCTACATCTCCCTCCGTTATTTCTTCTCTTCCATCTGTCCCTCTTCCAGGCTAAGGCCAATCCCCTCACCTGTGCCTTGGATTGCATCTACCTCCACCTTCCTAGAAATTGTAAAAGATTGATTACTACTTCTACCTCTTGTGTTTTCAACATGTCCCTCTGAATCAGATCCCTCCCATTCACTTTTTTAAATGCTCAAGCCTCTCTCATTATTAAAAGAAATGCCACTACTCAACTCTGTACCTTACCTCCAAGTACCACTCCCCCTCTCTCCTCCTCTTCATATCAAAACTTCTTGAAAGAGCTGTCTACTCAGTTTGCCCATGATTCACCTCACGTCCACTCCTCAGACCTCTGCAATCTGCCATTGCCATTACATCGTTTTGCATCTCTCCCCAAGGACATCAATTATCTCCATATCGCTAAATCCAACCTGCTTTTTCAGCCTCATCCTACTTGGCACTTGTAGTACTAATTGTTGGCTGTCTATCAGCTTCTATTTCTCTATTCTTCTTTATAGGCAAACCTCAATTTTATTCAGGTTTTTACTGTGTCCTAATGTGTTTCAGGGAAGGGTACTCCCGACTTATGGATAGACAGCTTCTGGGTCAGTCAAAGCATGGGTTTCCCCTGGTGATTGTTCTGGTTCAGACTGGACATATGAGCCAAACTGACTCAATCAGATTGAAAAGATCTATCACTAGGAAGAGAAGGGCCCTCTCTCTTTCACTCTTGCTCTCTTTTATGCAAGATATTTAATATTTATTCTAGTTTTAGTGGCCATGTCCTACTATTTTTAGCATAAATCATCCCAACTAATACATTTACTCCTACTGACTTTTCCTCCCTTGAAATACTCTTCCTCTGGTTTCCATGGCTGTTACCATCCCCACCAATCCCGGTTTTCCTTCTACTGCTCTGACTACTACTTCTCAGATTCCTAAGTTGGGGGTTGTGGGGTGAGGCACTGGCTTTTTCACACCACGGGGATGTTGTTAAGTATAAAACATACATTAGAGATGGCGTTCTAAGAAGCTCCCCGATAGTAATTTAATAAAGCTAGGAGGAAAACTTGCTCAATAAATAATAAATCAAAAAATTGATGTTATAAGAAGGTGAACACTCGGCCGGGCGTGGTGGCTCATGCCTGTAATCCCAGCACTTTGGGAGGCCGAGGTGGGTGGATCACCTGAGGTCAGGCGTTCAAGACCAGCCTGGCCAACAGGGTGAAACCCCGCCTCTACTAAAAATGCAAAAAAAAAAAAAAAATTAGCTGGGCATGGTGGTGGGCACCTGTAATCCCAGCTACTCAGGAGGCTGAGGCAGGAGAATTGCTTGAACCCGGGAGGCGGAGGTTGCAGTGAGCCAAGATCGTGCCATTGCACTCCAGCCTGGGCAACAAGAGCAAAACTCTGTCTCAAAAAAAAAATTATATATATATAATATATATATATATATAATATATATATAATATATATATATATATAATATATATATAATATATATATATATATATATATATAAAAAATAAGGTGAACAATGGTAAATACAACCAGTGTTGTATTTATCCACTTTGTGTAGATAGTACAACCAGTGTATATGTTATCCACTTTGTGTCTATGTATTTATATTTATTTTTTTGAGACAGAGTCTCGCTCTGTCGCCCAGGCTGGAGTGCAATAGCGTGATCTTGGCTCACTACAAGCTCTGCCTCCCGGGTTCTCGCCATTCTCCTGCCTCAACCTCCTGAGTAGCTGGGACTACAGGTGCCTGCCACCACACAGGCACCTGCCACCACACCCGGCTAATTTTTTGTATTTTTAGTAGAGACGAGGTTTCACTGTGTTAGTCAGGATGGACTCGATCTCCTGACCTCATGATCCGCCCACCTCGGCCTCCCAAAGTGCTAGGATTACAGGCGTGAGCCACCGTGCCCAGCCTATTTATTTATTTTTAAGACAGGGTCTTACTCTGTCGCCCAGGCTGGAGTGCAGTGCTGCAGCCTGGACCTGCAGGCCTTAAGCAATCCTCCCACTTCAGCCACCTGAGTAGCTGGGACTATAGGCATGTGTCACCATGCCTGGCTAACTTTCAAAATTTTTCATAGAGACGCGGTCTTACTCTGTTGCCCAGGCTTATTTTATTTATTTTTTATTTTTATTTTCTTTAGAGACAGGGTCTCATTCTGTTGCCTAAGCTGGAGTGCAGTGGTGTGATCACAGTTCACCGCAGCCTCAAACTCCTGGGCTCAAGTGATTATCTTGCCTCAGTCTCCCAAATAGCTAAGACTACAGGTGCATGCCACCATGCCCAGCTCATTTTTTTTAAATAGAGATGGGGGGTCTTGCTGTGTTACCCAGGCTAGTCTCGAACTCTGGTGTCAAGTAATCCTCCTGCCTTGGCCTCCCAAAGTGCTGAGATTACAGGCATAAGCCACAGCGCTGGGCCAACTATGTGTTTTTTTAAATGAGAACTGCTGGTGGTTATCAGTGTGTCATGAGGGATAAAGAACCTAATGGCAGAGTTCTATGCTACAGGTCCTGTTTCTGGGGCTCTGGGGGGCCCTATCTAGTGTTTCCAGCAAGTCCCCAGGCCCATCTCTCTAGCAGCCATAGGACTGTGTGTGTTACTCAGAGCACCTCAGAAGGGAGTAGGTCTTTCAGGTTAGACCTGGCCTGACAGCCCAGAACTGTCTCAGAGAAAGGCTGGGGCATCCTTCCCAGTGACTGCACATAGGAAAAGCCAGCCCATCAGGTATAGGCAACAGGTTCATCATGCCCAGGGTCACAGAAAAGAACATGACACTGTGTTCTCTTATTGCTATTTGGTCAAAGGCATGAAGTACATCTTACTTATTTTTCTTTTATTACAAAGCACAGCACTTGATAAATACTAAAACATTCAGTAAATATGTATTAACAAATTAGACTGATATTGTATATCCTTCAGAAGTTTAACCTGGTCATAAGTGTGAGTCATTTAGAGAAATTTCAGGGCTTAAGGCTCTAGTTCTGGAGCCCAAAAAGGCCCCAGTTCAAGTCCTAACCATACTAACACCAGTTCCCATATCTTGAAAATGCAGGTGACAACATCTGCCCCAGAGAGTTGTGTGTGAAGGTTAGATGATGCCTGTATTTCATTTATGCCTTATGACAATCCTGATACATACCTATTATTCTTTTGGTTTCTGTCCTTCCTACTTGAAAAATAGGGGCTATGCTTACCTTATTTTATTATAGCTAGTAAAAGCACAGAGTATATACTGAAAAATATTTGCCAAACCGATGAGTAAAAAGGACTCAAGATAATTTCTAAGAAATGGTGAATAATATGGTCACAGAAAACTCTTTCTTCATATATTTTAACAATATAAATCCTTGTAAATGCCTGTTTTTCTTCTCTTCTCCTAGATTTTCTTCATTTTTATTAACGTAATTCCTACCTATATTTACTGCTTCTTAGTCTTCATATCATCAAAACTACAGACATATAAAGTGCCTTCATAAAGTTCTCGTATGACTTAAAAACTTTAATGGCTTAAATAATTGGTATGATGAAAATAAGCCTTTAAAAGTATACTATACAATTTTTAAAATAGTTTCAAATCCTGTGACAAATGGAAATGGCTTTCTGTACTTGAGGAAGAGAGCTGCATTCTATGCCTACTCATCTTGAAGTTCATACTTGCAAGCAGGAGAAAGTCCTTCTGTACCAGAGGGATCACTGATTAGCTCTACTGTAACTATAGCCTAATCAAGGTTTAAAACTAAATGAACATTAGGAAGATTATGTATTGAATTTACTCGTCACATTTTGTAGGTATTCATTGACATGTTTCTAGATGGGTAAACTATAACCAAAACATAGAGACAAGGAACAGCTTAACTGATTTCTTTTTGCCAACTATAGTTTTAACAGACAGTTCTGAATCTCCCAACAATTTCCTTTTTTCTTTTGAGACAGGGTCTTGTTCTGTTGCCCAGACTGGAGTGCAGTGACGTAATCATAGCTCACTGAATCCTTGACCTCTCGGGCTCAAGCAACCCTCCTACCTCAGCCTCCTGAGTAACTGGGACTACAGGCACACACCACCAGGCCTGGGTAATTTTTTAATTTTTTGTAGAGACGGGGTTTCGCCATGTTGCCCAGACTGAGCTCAAGTGATCCACCTGCCTCAGCCTCCCAAAGTGCTGGGATTATAGGTGCGAACCACAGTGTAATCTTTTTTATATTAATATGTAATATTTGTATATATCTTAGGGGTACATGCGATATTTTGTTACCTGATATTTTGTTACATGTGTAAAATGTGTAATGATCAAGTCAAGGGATTTAGGGTATCCATCACATTGAATATTTAACAATTCTATATGTTGGGAACATTTTAAGTCCTTTCTTCTATTTGAATTATACAATGCATTATTGCTAACTATAGTCACCACACTCTGCTCTTGAACATTAGAATTTATTCCTTCTTTCTAATTGTATGTTTATACCCATTAACCAACCCTTCTTCACAGCCCCTCACAACACGCCCATCCCAACCTCTGGTATTTATCTTGTACTGTCTACATCCATGAGATCAACATTTTTTTTTTTTTTTTTTTTGAGACGGAGTTTAGCTCTCGTTGCCCAGGCTGGAGTGCAATGGTGCGATCTTGGCTCACCGCAACCTCTGCCTCCCGGGTTCAAGCAATTCTCTTGCCTCAGCCTCCCGAGTAGCAGGGATTACAGGCATGCATCACCACACCTGGCTAATTTTGTATTTTTAGTAGAGATGGGGTTTCTCCATGTTGGTCAGGCCGGTCTCGAACTCCTGACCTCAGGTGATCCGCGCGCCTCGGCCTCCCAAAGTGCTGGGATTATAGGTGTGAGCCACCACGCCTGGCCACTTTTTTAGCTCCCATATAAGTGAGAACATGCCACATTTGTCTTTCTATGCCTGCCTTATTGCACTTAACATAATGACCTCCAATTCCATCCATGTTGCTACAAATGACATGACTGCAATATTTTTTATGGCCAAATAGTATCCCTTTGTGTATATATACCATATTTTCTTAATCCATTTGTCTGCTGATGGACACTTAGGTTGATTCTCTATCTTTGTTATTGTGAATAGTGCAGCAATAAACATGGAGGTGCAGGTATCTTTCTGACATGCTGATTTCTCTTCTTTTGGATAAATACTCAATAGTAGGATTGCTAGATCATACAGTAGTTCTATTTTTAGCTTTTTGAGAAATATTCATACTGTTTTCCGTAATGGCTATACTGATTTACATTCCCACCAACAGTGTATAAGAGTTTGCTTTTCTCTGCATCCTCACCAGCATCTGTTATTTTTTGTCTTTTGAATATTAGCTACTCTAACAGTTACCAAGGTAATATTAAAATACAGCTATATGGCTTTAAAGGGAAGTTGATTTAAAAAAATACAGCTGTGAATAAGAACAAAAAAGTGTAAAATTACCGAAAAATATGTTTCTTTTGTCTATTTAAAAATACAAGGAACCAGCTGGCTCTCACTCTTCCTTTCCTCTAGCCATCATATTTAAACAACTATGAGCCTGGGAAGCTTTAACCTGAAAAATGAAATTTAGCTGCTAGACACCAAAGAAACAACATGAACTAAAAAATGCTGAAAATCCAAGTTGCACTCTTGATTTTGGGAAGCATATCCCCTTGAATTCTTGAGGACAATACAGTGACCCCAGATGGTAGCAACGGCATGAATGTGTTGGCCTGACCCCTCGACTGCCCACAGGAACACAGAGCATCCCAGTGTGATTCTGGTGTAAGCCACCGTGCCTCACCTCCAATACTGTATTTTTTTTTAAACCTCATTTACTCTTTTTTTTTTCAATAGAGATGAGGTTTCACCATGTTGCCCAGGCTGGTCTTGAACTTCTGGGCTCAAGTGATCCGCCCACCTCAGCCTCCCAAAGTACTGGAATTACAAGCGTGAACTACCGTGCTTGGCCCAATGCATATACATATATATATATATATATTTTTTGAGACAGAGTTTCCCACTGTTGCCCAGGTTGGAGTGCAGTGGTGTGATCATAGCTCACTGCAGACTCCGCCTCCCAGGTTCAAGCAATTCTTGTGCCTCACCATCCCGAGTAGCTGGGACTTAAGGCATGTGCCACTATGCTCAGCTAATTTTTGTATTTTTAGTAAAGACGGGGTTTCACTATGATGGCCAGGCTGGTCTCGATCTGGCCTCAAGTGATCTGCCTGCCTCAGTCTCCCAAAGTGCTGGGACTACAGGCATAAGCAACCGCTTCCAGCATTTCTATTTTTGGAAACAGTCTCACTCTATCTCCCAGCTTGGAGTGCAGTGGCGCAATCCTGGCTTGTTGCAATCTCCACCTCCCGGGTTCAAGCAATTCTCATGCCTCGGCCTCCTGAGTAGCTGGGATTATAGGCGCCTGCCACCACTCCTGGCTAACTTTTGTATTTTTAGTAGATATGGGGTTTCACGATGTTGGCCAGGCTAGTTTGGAACTCCTGACCTCAAGTGATCTGCCCTCCTTGGCCTCTCAAAGTGCTGGGATTACAGGCATGAGCCACCGCGTCCGGCCCCAGCCTGTATTTTTAAATAAAGGTTTTCATTTTGTCCAAAGCCAAAAACAATTTAAAAAAAAAGAAAAAAATTTGCAAATATCTACATGTATACATATATGTAAATATATATAAAAAACAATACTCCAAATTCATGACAACTAACCACAAGAGGGCGCTTCCACAATGGAAAGAAACCAACCTTATTTCCTTTAGATACTTATTTGAGTAAGTGTTGGGCACACATTTTCAAACTTTTGTAGAGTAACTCCTATTTCAAATCCTTTATTTTTCCATAGCCATAAACTTGCTAGATACTCATCTTTTAAGGGCGCCTATCCACAACTTAGATTTCAATCTTCTTAACTGGAGAGTCCATGTATCTAGTACTTGGTAAATGAGTCCTTACATTATTTTTTCTTTTAAGAGACAAGGTCTCACTATGTTGTCCAGGCTGGAGTACAGTGGCTATTCACAGGCTTGATCATTGTGCACTACAGCCCTGAAATGGGCTCAAGCAATCTTCCTACCTTAGCCACCTGAGCAGCTGAGACTACAGTGTGTGCCACTATGTCTGGCTTTTTTTTTTTTTTTCATTTAATTAAATTTATTTATTTATTTTGAGACAGGTTCTGGCTCCCATCACCCAGGCTGGAGTGCCATGGCACTACCATAGCTCACTGCAGCCTTGAGTTCCTGGGCTCAGGTGATCCTCCTACCTCAGCCTCCTGAGTAGCTGGGGCTACAGATGTGTGTCACCACTCCCAGCTAAATTTTTGTATTTTTAGTAGAGATGAGGTTTCACCACTTTACCCAGGCTGGTCTCAAACTCCTGGGCTCAAACAATGCGCCAGCCTTAGCCTTCCAAAGTGCAGGGATTACAGGCATGAGCCAGTGTACCCAGCTTCATTTTTCATTGTAGAGATGGGGTCCTCAATATATTGCTCAGGCTGGTCTTAAAACTCCTGGCCTCAAGCAATCCTCCTGCCTCAGCCTCCTAAGTAGCTGGAATTACTGGCTAGTTCTTACACTACTAAATGCAGATTAAATGACAACTGGCCTGGCACAGTGGCTTGTGCCTATAATCCCAGTTACTCAGGAAGCTAAGACCAGAGAATAGCTTGAAGCCAGGAGTTGAGACCAGCCTGGGCAACACAGTAAGACCTCATCTCTAAAAAAATAAATAAATAAACCGAAGACCAGGCGTGGTGGCTCACACCTGTAATCCCAGCACTTTGGGAGGCCAAGGTAGGCGGATCACCTGAGGTCGGTGGATCACCTGAGGTCAGAAGTTCAAGACCAGCCTGGCCAATATGGTGAAACCCTGTCTCTACTAAAAATACAAAACTTAGCTGGGTATGATGGCAGGTGCCTGTAATCCCAGCTATTCAGAAGGCTGAGGTGGGAGAATAGCTTGTACCTGGGAGGCGGAGGTTGCAGTGAGCTGAGATCATGCCACTGCACTCCAGCCTGGGCGACAGAGTGAGACTCCATGTCAAAAAAATAAATAAGTAAACTGAAAAGGCCAGGTGCCACTGCCTGGAATCCCAGCACTTTGGGAAACTGAGGCAGGAGGATCTCTTGAGGCCAAGAGTTTGAGACCAGCCTGGGCAACAAAGCGAGGCCCATCTCTACTTAAAAAAAAAAAATTTTTTTTTTAATTAGCTGGGTGCTGTGGTGGGCACCTGTAGTCCCAGCTACTCGGGAGGCTTGAGGGAGGATCACTTAAACACAGGAGAGTTCAAGGCTGCAGTGAGCTCGGATCATGTCACTGCACTCCAGCCTGGGTGACAGAGCTAGACCCTGTCTCTTTAAATAAATAAATAAATAAATAAATAAATAAATAAATAAATAGAAGCTCAAAGCTGCTGCAGTGAGCTATGATGGATCATGCCACTGGACTCCAGCCTGGGTGATAGAGATCTCCACTCTAAAAAAAAAAAAAAAAAAAGAGAGATGAACTATAAAAATGTCATGTTGTACATACGGTATTATAAATGTACTTCGAGTCATATACCAGGCTTAAAAAAACTTTGCTAGTAAACTAGAGAAACCAGGTTTCTTTCTATCATTATCACTTTTAGCTGCCATATTTTAGCACATTTTTAAGTCTGGCACAAATAATAGTTTTACTTTAAAACAGATTATGGTACAGTCATGCATCACCTAATGACAAGAATATGTTTGGAGAAATGCATAATGCATCATAAGATGATTTCGTGATTGAATGAACATCATAGAGTGTACTTACATAAGCCTACATGGCACACCCCACTATACACCTAAGCTCTATGGTACTGCCTATTGCTCTTAGGCTACAAACTTACATAGTATGTTACTGCGCTGAATACTGTAGCCAGCTGTAACACAATGGTAAGCATTCGTGTATCTTTTTTTTTGAAACAGGGTCTCACTCTGGTTGCCCAGGCTGGAGTGCAGTGGTATGATCTCAACTCACTCAGTCTCCCGAGTAGCTGGGACTACAGATGCACACCACCACCCTCAGGTTTGTTTTTGTTTGTTTGTTTGTTTTTGAGACGGAGTCTCACTCTGTCGCCCAGACTGGAGTGCAGTGGTGTGATCTTGGCTCACTGCAACCTCCGCCTCCCGAGTTCAAGCAATTCTCCTGCCTCAGCCTCCCGAACAGCTGGGACTACAGGCACATGCTGCCACGCCTGGCTAATTTTTTGTGTTTTAGTAGAGATGGGGTTTCACTGTATTGCCCAGGCTGGTTGCGAACTCCTGAGCTCAGGCAATCCACCTGCCTCGGCCTCCCAAAGCTCTGGGATTACAGGCATCAGCCACTGTGCACGGATTTTTTTTTTTTTTTTTTTTTTTTTTTTTTTTTAGTAAAGACGGGGTTTCACCATGTTGCCCAGGCTGCATTTGTGTGTCTTAACATATGTACACTTAGAAAAGGTATAGTAAAAATATAGTAGTATAATCTGAGGGGACTGCTGTCATGTATGCAATCCATCACTGACTGAAATGTCATTATGCAGCACATGACTATATAACAGTTCTATTTAATTACTACTAGAAATAAAAAGTCAGCATCTCTACCTAGAGAGACTTCCTTGATCAGCTCAGCAGCAGCATGGCAACCCTGAACAAGTATCCTGGTCCAGGATGACAGATCCCGATGTGTCTCCACCCTGAAGAGATGCATCTCAATGCCCTGTCGAGAGCCTGTCCTGGTAGCAAATGTAAGGTCAGATCCAAGGGAGGGGGATCGACATCCGGAGCCAGAATGAACCAACCTAGGACCACAAACAGAGCAGAGATCAAAAGTAACTACATTATCAGACAAAAATGTCAGGAATTTGTGCTCATTGATAAGAGAAACTTATAAAAGCAATCAGCAGTTTTTGGATATAGACATTTCAAAGCAAGATTATAGTCTCTGAAATACAGACCATTCTGTTTTCCCATAAAATGACCCCTGGTATCACAGTCAGACAAGATACCAGTCTTGAACTCCTGGGCTCAAATAATCCTCCTGCCTCGGCCTCCCAAAGTGCTGGGATTACAGGCGTGAGCATCTGGGCCTGGCCAAGATACTGGGCTGGATGAACCGTGGCCCTAATTTTCCATGAGCTCCTCTATGCTCCCAAGAGGTTATATGTATCAAAAAGATATGATTTTGATTAGGAAATAAGTAAATTAACAGTAATAACTTCAGAGGAAAAATATGCTTCTGTAAGAAAAAATGGATAGCTAACTGCATTTCAAACATTTCAGCCAAAGAGCTTAAAATATATATATTTTTAGCATCAATCTCTTGTCCAATCACCAAAGAACTTCCAATGGTAGAAGGCAGTGAATATCTCATCTGGGGAGATGCAGCTAGTAAAGAAGCACAGTGAACATAAAGTCGGGTTTTATCTAAAAATTCATGCTGCTTTTGCATTTGACTCTAGAATTATTTGGCCTATGAAGAAATGTTATGTGAAAAAAATGATTCCAAAATAAATAAAACTGTCTTTGTTTGCAAATGACATGACTGTCTACATTTTAAAAATCCCCCAAAATAGACAAAGGAAATCTGGATGCATGCAGTGACTCACACCTGTAATCCCAGCACTTTCAGAGGCTGAGGCAGAAGGATCACTGGAGACCAGGATTTTGAGACCAATCTGGGCAATACAGAGACACCCTGTCTTTACAAAAACAAAAGAAAACAAAAAACAACAAAAAAAATCTCAGCATGGTGGTGTGCATCTGTGGTCCCAGCTACTTGGGAGGCTGAGGTAGAAGGTTGCTTGAGCCCAGGAGGTTGAGGCTGCCATGAGCCATGATTATGCCACTGTATTCCAGCTTTGGCAACAGAGTGAGACCCTGTACACAACTCCTAAAACTGATAAGCAATTATAGCAATGTTGCAGGATATAAGATTAATATACAAGTCAGTTGCTTTGAACAATTGAAATTTGAAATTAAAAACATACCATTTATGTCAGTTACCATAAAATGAAATGCTTAAGCATAAGTCCAACAAAATATGTATAGAATCTCTATGAGAAAAACTTCAAAACTTTCCTGAAAGAAAGCAAAGATGATCTAAATAAATCAAGAGATATTTTACGTTCATGGGTAGAAAGACTCCATATTAAGATGTCAGTTCTCTTTTAGGTGATCTACAGATTCAATGCCATCCCATTAAAATCCCAGCAAGTTATTTTGTAGATACTGATAAACTGATTCCAAAGTTTGTATGGAAACTCAAAAGACTCAGATAGTCAACATAATACTAAAGAAGAACAAAAGTTGAAAATAAATCTGTATACTGGCACCACTCAACTTTCACTTACTATAAAGCTACAGTAATCAAAACAGTGTGGAACTGGCAAAAGAACAAACAAATTGATCAATGGAACAGAATAGACAGCCCAGAGACAAACCCACACAAATACAGTCAACTGATCTTTGACAGAGAAACACAGGTGATTCAAGCCGGGAGTGGTGTCTCATGTCTGTAATTCCAGCGCTTTTTTTTTTTTTGTATTTTTAGTAGAGACGGGGTTTCACCATGTTAGCCAGGCTGGTCTTAAACTCCTGACCTCAGGTGATCTGCCTGCCTGGGCCTCCCTGAGTGCTGGAATTACAGGCATGAGCCACTGTGCCCAGCCAATTCCAGCACTTTGGGAGGCCAAGGCGGGCGGATCACTTGAGGTCAGGAGTTTAAGTCCAGCCTAGCCCACATGGTAAAACCCCGTCTCTACTAAAATACAAAAATCAGCCAGGCATGGTGGTGGGCGCCTGTAATCTCAGCTACTCGGAAGGCTGAGGCAGGAGAATCGCTTGAACCCGGGAAGGTGGAGGTTGCAGTGGCCGAGATTGCGCTACTGCACTCCAGCCTGGGCAACAAGAGCGAGACTCCCTCTCAAAAAAAAAAAAAAAAAGAGAGAAACAAATGTGATTCAATGGAGAAAGAATGGTCTTTTCTTTCTTTCTTTTTTTTCTTAAGATGGAGTCTTGCTCTTCTCGCCCAGGCTGGAGCACAATGGCATGATTTCCGCTCACTGCAACCTCCGCTTCCTGGGTTCAAGCGATTCTCCTGTCTTAGTCTCCCGAATAGCTGGGATTACAGGCTCCTGCCACCATACCCAGCTAATTTTTGTATTTTTAGTACAGACAGGGTTTTACCATGTTGGCCAGGCAGGTCTTGACCTCAGGTGATCTGCCTGCCTCGGCCTCCCAAAGTGCTGGGATTACAGGCGTGAGCCACCGTGCCCAGCCAAGAATCGTCTGTCTTTTCAACAAATGCCGCTACAAATAAGTAGACATCCATATGTAAAAAAAAAAAAACAAAAAAAAAAAAACCAGACCTTACATACTTTTCACAAAAATTAACTCAAAATGGATCTTTGACCTAAGTGTAAAACACAATACTAAAATTTCTACAAAAATTAGCCTGGGATGGTGGTGGACGCCTGTAATCCCAGCTACTCAGGAGGCTGAGACAGGAGAATCGCTTGAACCTGAGAGGCGGAGGTTGCAGTGAGCCGAGATCGCGCCATTGCACTCCAGCCTGGGGGACAAGAGCGAGACTTCGTCTCAAAAAAAAAAAAAAATCTATAACATAGGAGAAACTCTAGATGATTTAAAAGGATATAACATCAAAAGCACAATCCCTGAAGAAAAAAATTGGTAAGTTGGACTTCATTAAAATTAAAAACTTCTGATCTGCAAAAAATACTGTTAAGAGAATGAGGCCGGGCGCGGTGGCTCATGCCTGTAATCCCAGCACTTTGGGAGGCCGAGGCGGGCGGATCACGGTCAGGAGATCGAGACCATCCTGGCTAACACGGTGAAACCCTGTCTCTACCAAAAATACAAAAAATTAGCCGGGCATGGTGGCAGGCCCCTGTAGTCCCAGCTACTCGCGAAGCTGAGGGAGGAGAATGGCGTGAACCCGGGAGGCAGAGCTTACAGTGAGCCAAGACTGCGCCACTGCACTGCAGCCTGGGCAACAGAGCGAGACTCCGTCTCAAAAAAAAAAAAAGAGAGAATGAAAAGACAAGCTGCGGACAAAAAAATTTTGCAAAACACATATCTGATACAGGACTGGTATCCAAAATATATAAAGAACTCTTAAAACTGAACGATAAGAAAACCACCCAGTTAAAAAATGGGCAAAGCCGGCCGCCCCTACTGGGAAGTGAGGAGCCCCTCTGCCCGGCCAGCCGCCCCGTCCGGGAGGGAGGTGGGGGGTTCAGCCCCCCGCCCGGCCAGCCGCCCCGTCCGGGAGGGAGGTGGGGGTGTGAGCCCCCCGCCCGGCCAGCCGCCCCATCCGGGAGGGAGGTGGGGGGGTCAGCCCCCCGCCCAGCCAGCCGCCCCGTCCGGGAGGTGAGGGGCGCCTCTGCCCGGCCGCCCCTACTGGGAAGTGAGGAGCCCCTCTGCCCAGCAACCACCCCGTCTGGGAGGTGTACCCAACAGCTCATTGAGAACGGGCCATGATGACAATGGCGGTTTTGTGGAATAGAAAGGGGGGAAAGGTGGGGAAAGGATTGAGAAATCGGATGGTTGCCATGTCTGTGTATAAAGAGGTAGACAGGGGAGACTTTTCATTTTGTTCTGTACTAAGAAAAATTCTTCTGCCTTGTGATCCTGTTGATCGGTGACCTTACCCCCAACCCTGTGCTCTCTGAAACATGTGCTGTGTCCACTCAGGGTTAAACGGATTAAGGGTGGTGCAAGATGTACTTTGTTAAACAGATGCTTGAAGGCAGCATGCTCGTTAAGAGTCATCACCACTCCCTAATCTCAAGTACCCAGGGACACAAACACTGCGGAAGGCCGCAGGGTCCCCTGCATAGGAAAACCAGAGACCTTTGTTCACTTGTTTATCTGCTGACCCTCCCTCCACTATTGTCCTATGACCCTGCCAAATCCCCCTCTGTGAGAAACACCCAAGAATGATCAATAAATAAATAAATTAATTAATTAATTAATTAATTAAAAAAAATGGGCAAAGGACAGCCAGGCGTGGTGGCTCACACCTGTAATCCCAGCACTTTGGGAGGCTGAGGTGGGCGGATCATAAGGTCAGGAGATCGAGACCATCCTGGCTAACACGGTGAAACCCCGTCTCTATTAAAAAAAATACAAAAAATTAGCCGGGCATGGTGGCAGGAGCCTGTAGTCCCAGCTGCTCGGGAGGCTGAGGCAAGAGAATGGCGTGAACCCGGGAGGCGGAGTGTGCAGTGAGCCCATATCGTGCCACTGCACTCCAGCCTGGGCGACAGAGTGAGATTCCGTCTCAAAAAAAAAAAAAAAAAAAAAAAAAAAAGGGCAAAGGACCCACTTCTTGGTATATATCCAAAAGATCTCAAAACAAGATCTTGAACATATTTGCCCACCTATGTTCACTACAGCATTAACCACAACAGCCAAGAGATGGAAGCAACTTAAATGTCCACTGACAAAAGAAAGGATAAAGACAATTTGGTATAAATATACAATGGAACATATTATTCAGCCTAAAAAAGGAAATACTGTCATAATCTACCACACTTAGCCAGTCACAAAAAGACAAATACTACATGAAGCCTACTTACATGAGGTATCCAAGGTAATCATACTCATAACAACAGAAGGTAGAATGTGGTTATCAGGGATTGAGGGAGAGATGGAAATGGAGAATTGTTGTTCAATAGATATAAAGTTTGTTTTGCAAGATAAAGTTCTAGAGATCTGCTACACACAATGTGCATATAGTAAACACTAATCTACTGTACACTTAAAAATAATTAGATGGTAAATTTTGTGAGTTTTTTAAAATAAAAATTTATCTGCTAAGGCTCTGTCATCCATGTTATGAGTTTTTTTAGTATATGTGCTGCCGAAGCGAGCACACGTTATGAGTTTATTAACACACACACACACACACACACACACACACACACACACACACACTCTTCCCACCTCTGTCCATCAATAAACAATAACCAACCCAACAGCAAGAAGTGTCCTTAGTGCCCAGATTGAAATCACCCCCTCCCCCAAAAAGATGGTAAGGCTTCTTAGGGAATACATAAGACTGCAATATTGGCTGGGTGTGGTGGCTCATGCCTGTAATCCCAGCACGTTGGGAGGCCAAGGCGGGCAGATCACCTGAGGTCAGGAGTTTGAGACCAGCCTGGCCAACATGGCGAAGCCCCATCTCTACTAAAAATACAAAAATTAGCCGGGCATGGTGGTGCACACCTGTAATTCCAGCTACTCGGGAGGCTGAGGCAGGAGAATCGCTTGAACCCAGGAGGTGGAGGTTGCGGTGAGCAGAGATTGCACCACTGCCCTCCAGCCTGGGTGACAGAGCAAGACTCCGTCTCAAAAAAAAAAAAAAAACCCTACAAAAAAAAGTGAAGTATACATATAGGAAAACCATAAGAAAAGTAATTTTCCTTAAGGTCATGAAACTATTCAGTATTTTGCTTTACAGTTTAATCTATTCACTTTTTATATTTTCTTTTTTTTTAATTTTCATTTTGAGACAGGGTCTCACTCTGTCCCCCAGACTGGAGTATAGTAGCACAGTGTTGGCTCACTGCAACCTCCACCTACCCAGCTCAAACAATCCTCCCATCTCAGCTTCTGAGTAGCTAGGACTATAGGCATGCGCCACCACGCCCAGCTCATTTTTATATTTTGTGTAGAGATGTGGTCTCATTATGTTGCCCAGGCTGATCTTGAACTCCTGAGCTCAAGTGATCCTCCCACCTCAGCCTCCCAAGTAGTTGGGACAATAGGCGCGTGCCGCCGTGCCTGGCTCATTTTTGTATTTTGTGTAGAGATAAGGTCTCATTATGTTGCCTAGGCTGATCTTGAACTCCTGGGCTCAAGCGATCCACATGCCTTGGCCTCCCAAAGTGCAGGGATTACAGGCATGAGCCACCACTCCTGGCCTCACTTTTTATATTTTCCCTATTTTAAAGAAGTATTAAGTAGATCAGTGTAACAGAACAAAATATTACCTCATTTATAAGGATTCACTCACCTCACAATGTTTTCTATACAGGATTTTTAAAAATTTGGTGAGGAATGTACATCAAAGAGAAATAAATAAAATCTCTTTAATGTCTAGCTTAAAAATAGCTGAATTTTGACATCTGCTTCAGCATTCTATTGTAATATGCAGTTACAGCCTCACATAAATATGTAGTTGGAAAAGGGAAGAGTATTTTAATAGCCCATTCACATTACGTGGATAGCCTTCTGTCCACAGAACCAAAACTCAACAAGTGGTTTGGTAAAGATTAATTGCAATGTGGAATATGAAACCTTATCAATAGTTTCTGTATCATGTTTACATTAAAAATCAACTGGTTTCCCTTGAAATTTCAATGGATCTTTTTTATGCATGCATAATTTTGCAACACCATATATCATTCATTTGGAAAAATATTTGTTCACTGAGTTACACAGATTTTCCATGTTAAAAATGGTTCATTATAAAAGATAAAAAAATCTCATTTGGTATTACCACTAATCTCCCCAGAAAAGCAAGTACTGAGAAGCTGTCAAGCTCACAGTAGCAGATATGAGTTTTCCAGCATTCTAATTTTTGCTTGAAAGCTACAATTTTATCATTGGCAACAAATACTATCAGTGTTTTCCTCAAGTTACAGACTCATTTTGGTGATGTGACAAATACCCAAGTCTCACTAAACGTGTTTGTCAATCAGTCATTCTTTCAAATAAAAAATGATGTTTACATGAAAAAGCATGTATGGAGTTCAGCTGAGAATTCAATCACACATGTGCTTTTCCTTGAGACAACAGTCATTCTTCAGTATGCAGCAGAAGTGCTCCATGAGTACTTCCCATTTCATCACACAGAATGTTACAAAGATGAATACTCAAGGGTCAAGATTAAATAAAATTAATATTTTTTACTATTTCAGCAGAGACATTTGGAAGTTAAACTGGCATTTTTTTTTCCCTCTGCAAGTCCACGTGGGGACGGATACAATGACTCCCAAAACAGTTTCGTGCCAACTGCCTTGATTCATGCTAAGGTGCCAGCAATTTTACACATCCTCAGTGTAAATATCAACAATATGAAAAAAAGCAAATTACATTTAATATTACTATGAAAATAGCTTTGAACTCACAAGGCCCCTGAAAAGGGGATCCGCAGAGGTCCATGAAGTATACTTTGAGAACTGCTTTACTGAGCTGATTCCCAAAAAACCAACATGCCAATTAAACATTAGCTACCTCAGAAAGAGTTAAGTAAGTTTCAAAATTACTCCACAGAGGATCCAAGTAAGACAAAGTGTTGGTGAAAGCAATAGATATTCTATCATATTCAGTTTGAATGCTAATCCCAAAACAGACATTAAAAAACGTAAAGTCTAAGAGAATTTTTTCCTACAGATTTGATTATGAAATATTTGGCAAAGGGAATCTAATTCAAACCAGATGCTGGACTCTCGCTGAGCAGCGGTTGGTTGGGAACACTGCTAAAAGGCCCCCCTTTTGTGGAGAGGCCAGATGAGTTCATGCAAAGGCATTTTGGCAGCTTTTGCCCCACAAGTCCCATAAGCACAGCACTACTCAATATTCCACATTCTAAAGTCACCACACTTTTTTTTTTTTTTGAGATCTTTTTTCTCTTCCAAAGAAGGCTTATAGGAAAAGACAACAAAATCCATATCCTGAAAAATCCAGAGCACCTATAAAACCAGTGTCTTTCTACCTGTGTCATGTATCTGGCTTTAATCTCAAGAAATGTGTAAAATAAAAATCCTCTTCATTTATCACTTTCATGCTTTACTTATTCCTCATTGGCCTGAACTATCAGCTATTAAAACCCACACACGTACAGAGCTTTGGTTTTGAAGAATCTGTAAATGTGCAATCCAATATAAATGGCAGCTCATGGTTAATTTACATTACTCTAAGCATGTTATTTGATTTTGAACTACAATCAACTCTTAATTTTTCAGGAGTTATCTACTTTTTTTAACATAATAAAGGTCCTTAATTTCTTTTCCTTACCTATGTGTTTATGCAATCCTTTTTTATTCTGTCTCATCCACTCATAAGAACATGGTCCAAAGTATTAACAATAGAATTAGGGAAATTAAACATTCAGCCCCTTCTCATTACTCACTTAAATCTCAAACACTCCCTTTCCCCTACATTAAAAACACTTTCTGGCCTTGCCTCCCTCTGCAGGATACCTTCTGGTCTGGTTTCATCTTCTTGTCTCTCTCAGGGTTACCCTTTACCCGCCTCTGGTTGGTAGAGGATCATTAAGCCCCACTTAATTCTATTGTGCTGTGACTTCAACCAATTCTACCTTGCCAACATGGCCACATGGAAAAACTAAACCTTTCATCTGTCTTTTTTTATTCTAATCCACCAGTACTTCCTGAACAAGGAGTAAAGAATCCCTGTTGTTACATTAATTAAACTTATTAAGAAACAACATGAATTGGTATGGTGGCTCATACTTATAATCCCAGAAATTTGGGAGACTGAGAGGCATGAGAATTGTTTGAGCCCAGGAGTTTGAGACCAGACTGGGCAACACAGCAAGACCTCACCTCCATAAAAAATTAACCTGGCATAGTGGCTTATGCCTATAGTCCTAGCTACTCGAGAAGCTGAGGTGGGAGGATGGCTTGAGCCCAGGAGTTTGAGGTTACAGTGAGCTATGATCCTGCCACTGCACACTCTAGACTGGACAACAGAGTGAGAGTTCGTCAGAAAAAAAAAGAGAGAAGGAAGGAAGGAGAGAGAGAGGAAGGGAGGGGAGAAAAGAAAGGAAAAGGAAAGGGAAGGGAAGGGAGGGAAGGGGAAGAAAAAGGAAAGGGAAGGAGGAAGGAAGGCAGACAATCAGTCTAGGAAGCTCTATAAGACCCACCCATTTAATTAATGGTGAGTTTAATTTGCATGTATGAGCATGTTTGAATTCCTCACCTTTAATACGAAACTTTGACTATCTGTAAAAATTGGTGGCAGATCAAAAAACTGCTCCTTTTCCTTTCTTTTAATTTTTTTGAGACCAGAGGTCTCACTATGTTGCCCAGGCTGGTCTTGAACTACTGGGCTTAAGTGACTCTTCCAGCCTCCCAAGAAGCTGGGATTACAGGCACGTGCCATGGCACCCAGCTAAGAGCTCCTCTTTTTTTTTTTTTTTTTTGAGATGGAGTCTCGCTCTGTCTCCCAGGCAGGAGTGCAGTGACGCGATCTTGGCTCACTGCGAGCTCTGCCTCCTGGGTTCATGCCATTCTCCTGCCTCAGCCTCCCTAGTAGCTGGGACCACAGGCGCCCGCCACCACACCCGGCTAATTTTTTGTAGTTTTAGTAGAGACGGGGTTTCACTGTGTTAGCCAGGATGGTCTCAATCTCCTGACCTCGTGATCCACCCGCCGTGGCCTCCCAAAGTGCTGGGATTACAGGCGTGAGCCACCACGCTGGGCCAGAGCTCCTCTTTTAACAATGACCAAATTAAACTAATTATTATACTTTTTTTTTTTTTTTGAGATAGAGTCTTGCTCTGTTGCCCAGGCTAGAGTGCAGTGGTGCAGTATCAGCTCACTGCAACCTCCGCCTCTGGGGTTCAATCGATTCTTCTGCCTTAGCTTCCCAAGTAGCTGGGATTACGGGCATATGCCACCACGCTGGGCTAATTTTTGTATTTTTAGTAGAGACGAGGTTTCTCCATGTTGGTCAGGCTGGTCTTGAACTCCTGACCTCGTGATCCGCCAGCCTCGGCCTCCCAAAGTGCTGGGATTATAGGCGTGAACCACTGCACCTGGCCTAATTATTATGCTTTTTACAAAGAATTCTTCTTGGGCATAATTTTCATTTAATAATAAATATTATAATTAAAGCAGCTAACACTTGAGCAGTTACAATGTGTCAGGCACCATTCTAGGCAGTTTATTAGTATTAACTCATTTAATACTAACACCCACCCTATCTCATTAGGGTGCACTTAACAAATGAAAAATATGTGGCACAGAAAGTTTCAGTAGCATGCTATCGCTTACTTAGTATAACATTCAGTTTATTAGGAATCAGTCTTAGTCTCTCTTTTCAATCTTGTTGGGTTTAATTATTTTATTTAAATAACTGAATTATTAAAATATAAAACACACCATACAATTTATCCCTTGAAGTACAGTGGTCTTTAGTATATTCAGAATTTTGCAACCATCACCACATTCAATTTTAGCAGACTGTCATCATCTCAAAAAGAAATCCTGTACCCATTAGCTCCCCCGCCGGCAACCACTAATCTACCTTCTGTCTATCCTGGGTTTGCCTATCCTGAACTTTCCATATAAATGGAAAAATACAGTATGTGGTTGTTTCTGTCTGGCTTCTTTCACTTAGCATAATGTTTTCAAGATTCATCTACACTGCAGAATGTATCAGAACATTATTGTTTTTAACTGCAGAATAGTATTCCACTGTGTGGATATGTCACACTTTATCCATTCATCAGTTGATGGACACTTAGGTTGTTTCCACTCTTTGGCTATTGTGAATAATGCTATTATGAACAGTCACGTATGTTTTGATGTGGACATAAGTTTTCGTTACTCTTAGGCATAACTTAGGAATGGAATTGTGGGTCACAGGGTGACTCTATGTTTAGCTTTTGAGAAACTGCCAGACTGCCTTGCACAGCAAGTATACATTTCACATTCTCACCAGCAGTGTATGAAGATTCCATTTTCTCCACGTCGTTGTTCACACTTTTTATTTTATCTGTCTTTTTAATTATAGCCATCCCAGTGGGTGGGAAATGATATCTCACTGTGGTTTTGATTTGCATTTCCCTGATGGCTAAGGATGCTGAACATCTTCTCATGTTCCTATTGGCCATTTGTATATCTTCTTTGGACAAGTATCTATTCATATCATTTTCCCATTTCTTTTTTTTTTTTTTTTTTTGAGACAGAGTCTGGCTCTGTCGCCCAGGCTGGAGTGCAGTGGTGAGATATCAGTTCACTGCAACCTCCATCTCTGGGTTCAAGCACTTCTCCTGTCTCAGCCTCCCAAGTAGCTGGGATTATAGTCCATACCACCATGCCTGGCTAATTTTTATATTTTTAGTAGGGACGGGGTTTCACCATGTTGGTCAGGCTGGTCTCGAGCTCCTGACCTCAGGTGATCAACCTGCCTTGGCCTCCCAAAGTGTTGTGATTACAGGCGTGAGCCACTGCGCCCAGCCCCATTTCTTAATTGGGTAATCTTTTCATTACTGACTTGGAATAATTATCTCTTTTTTTTTTTTTTTTTTTGAGACAGAGTCTCACTCTGTCACCCAGGCTGGAGTGCCGTGGTGCAATCTCAGCTCACAGCAACCTCTGCCTCCCATATCCAGGCAATTCTTCTGCCTCAGCCTCCCGAGTAGCTGGGATTACAGGTGTGCAACACCACACTGGCTAATTTTTATATTTTTAGTAGAGATGGGATTTCACCATGTTGGTCAGGCTGGTCTTGAACTCCTGACCTCAGATGATAGGCCTGCCTCGGTCTCCCAAAGTGCTAGGATTACAGATGTAAGCCACCATGCCTGGCCAAGAATTCTTTATATTTCTAGATACAAGTCTCGTCAGATATATGATTTTCAAATATTTTCTCCCATTCTGTGAGTTATTTTTTCACTTTCTTGATGGTGACATTTGAAGCACAAGAGCTTTTAAGTTTCTGAAAGTCCAATTTATCTATTTTTTCTCTTGTTAACTGTGCTTTTGGTATCATATCTGAGAAGACTCTGCCTAACCCAAAGTCATGAAGATCTACTATATTTTATTCTACGAGTTTTATAGTTTTAGCTCTTAAATCTTGTCTGTATCTTTTCCCTACTTGCAAATTAATACCACTGATAGTACATACACCACCCCATCTCCATCTTTAGTACCAAAGTGCTTTGGTGGTCCATGCCTAATCTACTCTATAG
Organism: Homo sapiens; assembly: GCF_000001405.40. Taxonomy (NCBI): domain Eukaryota; kingdom Metazoa; phylum Chordata; class Mammalia; order Primates; family Hominidae; genus Homo; species Homo sapiens. Next base: position 69,271,877 of record NC_000016.10, on the reverse strand, counting down.
CCAAGAAATTATTTGCTTATGGCATTATAATTTCTAGTATTAAACAAAAGCTCTTCTACGGAACGTGGTAAATTTCTGCTTCATGCTTCCAGGTGCACACATTTTAAAAAAGAATAAAGCTACCCTCCTTGCATTCTATGATCAGAACCAAAGTGTAAGCTGATTCTACAAAATTTAAACTTAAGAGATCTCCACAGCCATATTCCTAAATTCTAAATCTTGGAAAATATAAATTTAATTGTTCTAATTATAATTACTAAGACATGGTTACATATTTTTGTAGGATTACTGTCAAGTTCCTAATGTAACCATGACAGAGAAACTATAACTTAAGTAAATAATTTAATTCAACTAAGATTTATTGATGGCCTACTACACGCAAAGCATTGTGGGAAGTGCTGAGATGACTAAGTCAGAGTTCTTGACTGCAAGGAGGTTATAATTTAGTGGGGATTTAAAAAACCAAATATTAAGAAATTTACAAAAAACAATAGTGTATATCTTATTTTTTTAAAAGAGAAACATAATTAAATTCAGTCTTTCTGCAGGACTATTCTGTCCTGAAGGAATTAATGAGGACACACCTCCCTAATACTGAGGCTCACCAAATCCTTTACTTCATTCTGTGATCTAGGAGCTCCAGCTCTAAATTACGGAGATACTACTGGAAGGCCATGTGAAAAATATATTTTTTATAAAAAGAATAATATATGTAAAGGAAGAATAATATATGTGGCAAGTTAAAGGAAATCTTTTAAAGTGAAACTTTTCCAGTAATGCAAAGAATACTCTGCCTTACATGAATCTTTGTCTCCTCAAAGCAGGAAATCCCCACTATTCCCACTGGGATATTCCAGATAGTTTCATCATTTAGCTCTTTTGACTACTAAATACTTTTCCATGGCGCTCTTCTTTAATGTGTAGTTTTTGAGTTATATCAACACCTGATTCTTTTGTTAAGTCCAAAAAAATTTGAATTTGGATATGTTTTCTAGTTTCACAGTTATGATCCCTTAAAACACCTTGGCTCCCAAGTCTAAATTTCTCTATTCTTTTCCCTTTCAGCCCTCCATATCTGGAATGCTAGAAACACCCTGTGGCTTCAGGTCAAATCAATGTTTATTTCATAGAATCAAAATGATGTGTTCTTACATTAGAAAGAGAAGTTGAAGAATATTTTGGCTGAGTTAAGTGGTTTATCCACAGTACCACATTCTGGTTTAAATGATTTCGTCACTCAGTCAAAAGGCTGCCACAATTTCAGTGGTTTTCTAGTCACAGTCAATAAAATAAAGAAAAAAAAACCCTATAATCTTCATGACTAAGCAAGTCTTGTAAGGGAACAGTTAGGAAGTTCCTTGACAACTTAAAAGGTACACACAAAAACGCTCATTATAAAAACAATTTATTCTGAGCTAGGAGCTGCAAAATTATCAATAAGGTTGTAAAACAAAAAATTTTTGTCTGCATCAACTATATCCGCTACTTAAATGCTCTTTTAGGCACCTAAGATAACAGAATTCACTTTAAAATTCTTTTGTAGATTTAGAGTAGGATAAATATTTTACTTCCTTATCTTTAGTCTTACTTACCTGGTGGCAACAAGTGGGTAGCTGTGGCATGGTGACGCCCAGGCATCTCTTGTCCACGGCATACAGTCATAGAGCAGCAAATCCTTCTCAGTCACAGCCATGAGGACAGGTCTCCATTGCTGTCTTCCACCATCTAGTTTTGCCTGTTACAATGGAAAAATTCAGAAATCAGGGCTAACTATAATCACGTCTTTGTAAAAGTTCCTTCAATGATGGCCTAACACAATGGGTCTCCATTTTGTTTTCCCAACCTGATGGACTTTACATTCAGGAAACATCTCACCAAGTTTACACTGGTAGGGACTCTCCACCGGGAGGTGTGAAGTGGTGTGTGTATTAGAGCTATAAACATTATCTAGTGATACAACATAGTTTTTCCCCATTCCATAATAACTGAACATTGCCAATTCTGTTTTTTCTTTTTTTGAGATAGGGTCTCACTTGGCTTCCCAAAGTGCTGGGATTACAGGCGTGAGCCACACGTCTGGCCAATATTGTCAATTCTGATTAAATATATAGTAATATGTTCAAAATTGTAAGTTTCAGAATGTCTGATGTGTAATATCTTCTAAACATAGGACAGAAACTCCTACTACCAAATAAGTATGTATAATCTAAACATCAAAGTTTTTGATCAAGACTTACAATAATAGAGTTTACATTGCAACCCAATATATACATACATAGATAGTTGAATAAAATATTTTCCAAATAACACAACTCTCTTATTTTGTGCAATGTAATCTGTTAACATCTATCTTTTTTTTTTTCTGAGACAGTCTTGCTCTGTCGCCAAGCTGGAGTGCAGCGGGACAATCGCGGCTCACTGCAACCTTCACCTCCTGGTTTCAAGCAATTCTCCTGCCTCAGCCTCCCGAGTAGCTGGGACTACAGGTGTACGCCACCACGCCCAGCTAACTTTTGTATTTTTAGTAGAGATGGGGTTTCACCATGTTGGCCGGGATGGTCTCGATCTCCTGACCTCATGATCCGCCTGCCTTGGCCTCCCAAAGTGCTAGGATTACAGGCATGAGCCACCATGCCTGGCCCATCTATCGTATTTTTTAAAACGCGGATCACGGTTCACTATGTTGTATTTTTTTTTTTCTTCTTTTTGAGACGGAGTTTCGCTCTTGTTGCCCAGGCTGGAGTGCAATGGTGCGATCTCGGCTTACTGCAGTCTCAGCCTCCCGGGTTCAAGTGATTCTCCTGCCTCAGCCTCCCGAGTAGCTGGGATTATAGGCATGTGCCACCACACCCAGTTAATTTTGTATTTTTAGTAGAGACGAGGTTTCTCCATGTTGGTCAGGCTGGTCTCAAACTCCTGATCTTAGATGATCCGCCCACCTTGGCCTCCCAAAGTGTTGGGATTACAGGCGTGAGCCACTGCACTAGACCCACAGTGTTATTATTTTTTTTTTGAGATGGAGTCTTGCTCTGTTGCCCAGGCTGGAGGGCAGCGGCGCGATTTCTGCTTACTGCAACCTCTGCCTCCCAGGTTCAAGCAATTCTCCTGCCTCAGCCTCCCGAGGAGCTGGGACAATAGGTGCATGCTGCCACGCCCAGCTAATTTTTTGTATTTTAGTAGAGACGGGGTTTCACTGTATTGCCCAGGCTGGCCTCGAACTCCTGGGCTCAGGCAATCCACCCGCCTCGGTCTCCCAGAGTGCTAGGATTACAGGCGTGAGCCAACGCGCCTGGCCTCACTGTGCTGTATTTTTTAAAAATTGTATTAACCCAGAACTTAGCAGCTTAAGAAAACACTTAAACTATGTTCCAAGAGTTCTCCATTGTATTTTATTTATTATTATTATTGTGTTTTTAGACAGAGTCTTGCTCTGTCACCCAGGCTGGAGTGCAATGTCACGATCTTGGTTCACTGCAACCTCCACCTCCCAGGTTCAAGCAATTCTCCTGCCTCAGCCTCCCAACTACCTGAGATTACAGGCACCCACCACCATGCCCAGCTAATTTTTGTATTTTTAGTAAAGACAGCGTTTCACCATGTTGGCCATACTGGTCTCGAACTCTTGACCTCAGGTGATCCACCCACCTCAGCCTCCCAAAGTGCTGGGATTACAAGTGTGAGCCACTGCGCCCGGCCCATTGTATTTTAGAAGTTTATGTTTCAGCTTAGAAGGTACCATTGAATTTACTTGTATAATGCTCAGTTATCTCTAAAAAGGTTTTAAACTTCAAGAAAACAACTACTATTTATCCATATTGTCAAGGATCCAAGGCCAAAAAGCCAAAGACTATATTCAAGAAAAGCCCTGTCATCATCAAAACTTTTCCCTCCTCAGGAGACATTTGAGCAAGGACTGTTCAACAACACTGCATTTTAACACTGATCCTTCAGCTCAGCATCACTGACAGCTTCAAGGAGAATTCAAATTGATGAATCACTTATCGGTTAGAGTGTTGCCTTCAGAGCCCTTTTCACGTGTTTTCCTTAAAGACTTCTGAAGGTAATCTGGACATGACAGAGAACCTTACATCTATAATCTGAAAGTGGCATGTGTGGTTTGGTTCTGTGCTATAACATCTACCACTGGGACGCTCTTCTCTTAGCCAAGGCCACGAGCTAGATCCCCAAAGTGGGAAATTAATTCTAGCCAGTGAAGGGACCAGTGCTCTACCATGTGCTGAAAGCAAAAAAAACAAAACCTAACTCTGAGAATTCAAGCAAAATACTGTAGAAAGAATTATGCATTTCTTATCAGTGAACCTGAGTTTTCCAAGACTATATTAGTCTATGGTTAACTCTCCAATGTCTGGAAGGACAATATCAGCTCTAAAGAGGTTCTCTTAGACTCATACATTTTTGGATCACAGATATCCCAAAAAAATTTCAAGTTTATGTTCACTACTAGGTATTTGTCCCCAAGATTATTACAGACAATATTTCAATAGGTTATATCATATAAAACTCTGTCTTCCCAAAGGGTTAAAATGATAAACTGATTTTGGGCCAGGCATGGTAGCTCACGCCTGTAATCCCAACACTTGGGGAGGCCAAGTCAGGCGGATGAAGAGATCAGGAGATCAAGACCATCCTGGCCAACATGGTGAAACCCCATCTCTACAAAAATTAGCTGGGCATGGTGGCACGCGCCTGTAGTCCCAGCTACTCAGAAGGCTGAGGCAGGAGAATCGCTTGAACCCGGGAGGCAGAGGTTGCAGTGAGCTGAGACTGCGCCACTGCACTCCAGCCTGGAAACAGAGCGAGACTCTGTCTTAAAAAAAAAAAAAAAAGATAAACTGATTTTTAAAAGTAAATGTTTTACTGGCTGGGTGTGGTGGCTCACACTTATAATCTTGACACTTTGGGAGGCCCAAGTGGGCAGATCACTTGAGCCTGGGCAACATGCTAAAACCCCATCTCCACAAAAAATACGAAAATCAGCCAGGCATGATGGTGTGCATCTGTAGTCCCAGCGACTCAGGAGACTGAGGTGGGAGGATCACTTCAGCCCAGAAGGTGGAAGTTGCAGTGAGCTGAGATTGTACTACTGTACTCCAGCCTGGGCAACAGAGTGAGACCCTGTTTCATAAATAAAATAAAGTAAACAAATAAATAATTTTTCCCCTTAAGTTATAAGAGAGAGATTTTTGAAGGCTAGAGTATAAGCATTTGGAAAACCTAAATTAAATGTATTTCTTTCCAAAGAAGGTATTTTGAGCCCTAAAGGAAAAATGCTAATGCCAATAGGAGCAATGTTCAATTTCAAGAAAGAGACCTTTGTTTAACACGTTTCTCAAAGTGTTTACTCTTTTAACTCTTTCAAGTCCTTAGTTTTTAGAGAATATCTTTTCCCTCTTCTACTTACCATTGGAAAAAAAAATGAAAACTAAGTTTAATCATTCTGATTGCCTATTTGCCTTAACTTTTTTTTGTTTTGTTTTGTTTTGTTTTGTTTTTACAATAGACTCTCACTCTGTTGCCCAGGCTGGAGGACAATGGCCCCATCTCGGATCACTGCAACCTCCATCTCCCAGGTTGAAGCGATTCTCCTGCCTAACCCTCTTGAGTAGCCGGGATTACAGGCGTCCGCCACCATGCCCGGCTAATTTTGTATTTTTAGTAGAGATGGGGTTTAGCCATGTTGGCCAGGCTGGTCTCGAACTCCTGACTTCAGGTGATCCACCCACCTCAGCCTCCCAAAGTGCTGGGATTCTAGGTATGAGCCACCACACCTGGCCTTGCCTTAACTTTTAAGGATACTGTTTGCTTTCAGTGAAGTCAAATGCTGTCTGCTCTATATAGTATGTGTTTTTTGGTTATGGTATCAGCATAAGCAGCCTTGGGGATCCCACCATTGAGTTTCTGGCCAGAGACAAAAGGGATACGAATGTTAGGGCTTTAGTTTGCTTGTGTTTGAACACCTACACATGCACAAACCTGGCCAAACTACAGCTTTCTCCAAATTTTATTTCTTTTTTTTTTTTTTTTTTCTTTGGCACGGAGACTCACCCTGTCACCTAGGCTGGAGTGCAATGGTGCAATCTCGGCTCACTGCAACCTCTGCCTCCCAGGTTCAAACAATTCTCCTGCCTCAGCCTCCTGAGTAGCTGGGATTACAGGTGCCCGCCACCACGTCCAGCTAAGTTTTGTATTTTTAGTAGAGACGGGGTTTCACCATGCTGGCCAGGCTGGTCTCAAACTCCTGACCTCGTGATACGCCTGCCTTGGCCTCCCAAAGTGCTGGGATTACAGGTGTGAGCCACCACTCCGGGCCTCCAAATTTTATTTCTAATAAACAGAGGTGGATAGCACTAAAGATGAGAAAATACTAATAGTTATTATTCATTTCCCAAATCCCTTAATCCCTTTTTCACAGGCAATGTACTTCTGGTTCTTTATTTTATTATCACACTAAAAAATGGAGAGCAAAAAGTAAATAACTAATTACACTAACACCAATTGAATGTATATGGTCCTAACTTGAGTCTTTATGCACTTTGAGAGTTAAAAGGCATAAAGTAGTGACTGTTAAAATAAACCTTTTCCTTGGTTGTCTTGCCTTTTCTTTTCTTTTGACAGAGTCTCGCTTTGTTGCCCAGGCTGGAGTGCAGTGGCGCGATCTCGGCTCACTGCAAGCTCCGCCTCCTGGGTTCACGCCATTCTCCTGCCTCAGCCTCCCCAGTAGCTGGGAGTACAGGCGCCCGCCACCACACCCAGCTAATTTTTTGTATTTTTAGTAGAGACAAGGTTTCACCATGTTAGACAGGATGGTCTTGATCTCCCGACCTTGTGATCCACCCGCCTCGGCCTCCCAAAGTGCTGGGATTACAGGCATGAGCCACCGTGCCCGGCCAATAGATGTAATTTTAATCGTAATCACTTAAGTTCTTCCTTATCACTGAAATATGTGCTCTTCTTTATTCTTGAACGTCTTGAATCATCTGATGTTGAGGGACCTCCTGAACTGGATTTTCTTTTTTTCTTCTTTTCTTCTTTCTCAGTTTTGGCTTGCTGGAATGCTGTGGCATAAGGCTGTCAAAGAGTAGGATTCTCCCCTTAATCTTCTCTGTCTTCTACTTCTTCAGTTTCTTCTACTGGTTCAGGAACTTTCTTTTTTTTCTTTCTTCTTTGGAGGTTCACGTACTTCAAGCATATTTTTCGGACAGGCGTAACTTAGGTGTCCACTTTTCCCACAAACATAACACTTAGATTCATCAAAGTAGTTCTGCCTTTGGGTGAACTCGGCTGCTCTTCTGTTGTCAATAGTGATGCTTGCTTTTATCACTCTACCAAATAACCGTTGTTTATTGCCCTAGTACTGTTTTGTGCAGAGTATTTTATCCAAAAATAAAATAAATGCAACCTCTTTACTCTTCCTGGTATCTTTATATTTCATTATAGTAACCTTTACAACTTTGCCATGCTTGGAAAATATGCAGTATATGTCATTATTTGTCAGGGAATGGGCGAGGTGGATACATGCTCTGTGCTTTTACTTGGAGCCAACTCACCACTCATGTCTTCAGGTAGGGCAGACCCAGGAGACCAGAAGAGCGAGAGCCCTCGGCTTAGCTGGGGCTAAACCCTGACTTTTTTGCCCCTCACAATGGCCTTGGCATCACAGGTCCTGGGAAGGGTCAGGTGCAGAGACAAGATAGTAGCAGCAGCAGTGCCTCTTCGCGACTGTGGGAGACCCAGGCCTGGGCATTAATGAGAAAAGCCAAAGGCCAGGTACAGTGGCTCATGCCTGTAATCCCAGCTTTTGGGAGGCGGGAGAGAGGAACGCTTGAGCCCAGGAATTCAAGACCAGCCTAGGTAACAAAGTGAGACCCCATCTCTACACAAAAAATTTTTTTTTTGGGAGGCGGAGCTTGCAGTGAGCCGAGATTGCGCCACTGCAACAGAGTGAGACTCTGGGCAACAGAGTGAGACTCTGCCTCAAAAAAAAAAAAATTACATTTATTTTGTATATATCACTAAAATAAAAAAGTCTTGGCATACAAAGTTAAAAAAATACTCAAATGCTTAAAAAAACTCATTTAATAGATAATACATGTCCTCCATTTGGTGGACTCAAAAAAATTTCCTTTTAAAAATATAACCAGCAGGGTGCGGTGGCTCACTCCTGTAATCCCAGCACTTTGGGAGGCCAAGGCAGGTGGATCACTTGAGGTCAGGAGTTCAAGACCAGCCTGACCAACATGGTGAAACCCCATCTCTACTAAAAATACAAAATTAGCTGAGCATGGTGGCGCACACCTGTAATCCCAGCTACTTAAGAGGCTGAGGCATGAGAATTGCTTGAACCTGGGAGGCGGAGATAGTAGTGAGCCAAGATTGTATCATTGCACCCCAGCCTGGGCAACAAGAGCGAAACTCCGTCTCAAAAAAAAAAAAAAAGAACATACCCAGGCTGGGCACAGTGGCTCATGCCTGTAATCCCAGCACTTTGGGAGGCTAAGGTGGGAAGATCACCTGGGCCCAGGAGTTTGAGACCAGCCTGGGCAACACAGTGAGATCCTATCTCTACAAAAAATAATTTTAAAATTAGCTTGGTGTGGTGGTATGTGCCTATAGTCCTAGCTACTCAGGATACTGAAGTGGGAGGACTGCTTGGGCCCAGGAGGTTGAGGCTGCACTGAGCCATGATTATACCACTGCACTCCAGCTCAGGTGAAAGAATGAGACCCTGTCTCAAAAAAAAAAAAAAAAGTAGAGTGGAATGGTAGTTCCTAGAGGCTGAGGTAAGGGGTAGATGGGGAAAGTGAGATGTTGGTCAAATGGTACAAAGTTTCAATTAAACAGGATGAATAAATTCTGGTAATCTTTTGCATAGTATGGTGACTATAGTTAATAATAATGTATTGGCCGGATCCCAGCACTTTGGGAGGCTGAGGCGGGTGGATGACCTGAGGTCAAGAGTTCAACACCAGCCTGGCCAACATGGTGAAGCCCCATCTCTACTAAAATACAAAAATTAGCTGGGTGTGGTGGCATGTGCCTGTAATCCCAGCTACTCGGGAGGCTGAGGCAGGGGAATCGCTTGAACTTGGGAGGCAGAGGTTGCAGTGAGCTGAGATCGCACCACTCCACTCCAGCCTGGGCGACAGAGTGAGACCTCATTTCAAAAAAAAAATTGTATATTTCAAAATACATTAAAATAAAAAATTTTAAATGTTTTTACCACAAGAATGATAAATATTTGAGGTGATGGATATGTTAATTAGCCTGATTTGAGCATTCCACAATGTATACACGTATCAAAACATTATACCGTATCCCATAAATATACATAATTATTTGCCAATTAAAAAAAACAACACTATGAACATGGAAATTAAACAAAACAAACAAAAAACCAAAAACCAATATAACCAGTTAAACGGTAAAATCAGTCACATAAAAATTAGTATCAACAACCCGGGAGGCCGAGCTTGCAGTGAGCCAAGATCGCGCCACCGCACTCCAGCCTGGCTGACACAGCGAGACTCCATTTCCAAAAAAAAAAAGCAACAAAAAAGAAATATCCCCTACCCTCTGAACTCTCACTATCCAAACTTAGGAACTGATGTGAACCTTTGGATAAATCCCTTACTAACCAAAGCTTTACTATTTACTGTCAGAAACTTAAGAACTGAATATATGCAGATAATGTTGATATCCTTATCTGGTCTACCTGGACATACGAGCCAAAGGATCTGGACAGTGCATGTGTGAAAGGACACAGGTGCATGCCACCACACCCAGCTCATTTTTTTGTATTTTTACATTTTTTGTAGAGATGGGGTTTTGCCATATTGCCCAGGTTGGTCTCAAGCTCCTGGTCTTGAGCGATTCTCCCACCTCAGCCTCCCAAAGTGCTGGTTTTACAGGTATGAGCCACCACACCCTGCCTCATATTTTCTTTTTATTTGCATAAAGAAACTCTCAAAAGATTCAATAGAAAGGAATAAGAGTTGTTACCTTTCCAGGGCAAAAGGCATAACAGGTGGATAGGTAACGGGAATGAGGGCAAGAGTTTTCACCCATTAATTTTTTGTTTGATTTTTCAACCATGTGAACGTGCTACCTTTTTAAAATCATGAGGATTTTGAACAATGCCAAAAGCACAGAACAATTACTATTCAATTCAGTTTTTCAACTAGCATATAAAATATAGAAACAATGATAAACACAACTAAAATGTTAAAATTTTCAAAGTCATAAGTACTTATATCATGACTTTCATTAATTTTTTATTCTAATTATGCTTTATAGAAATGATCACTGTACTAATATTACATTCTCATTTATTATAATTTTATTTGAAATGTTCATAAAAAGTTGAGAAGTGGCAAAAAATAAAATAAAAAAATTACTCTCGCTGGTGACCAAAATTGGCCCCTCAATTACCACAATTACTTGGTACCACCAAGATCACCAGGCACCACCCACAGACCTACCACATCAGAACTGCTTTGGGGACAATATCCTCCTCAAATAAAATCAACCTCAACTTAAAAAAAAAAAAAGTTAGAACTATGTTGGGGAGGAAGGTGGGAACCAGTGGGAAACTGTACTTGAAAAAAAAAAATCAAAAATGAAAGAACAAAATCCTTCCTGTGCTGATTCTGCTTTTTTGGAAACCAGTTATTTAGTCCACTCCCTGGCCCTTTGCACACACAACTAGGATTCAAAACGTAAGTTTCGAAAAGACTCAAAAGCAGTGAAAAACAGAGCTAGCACTTAAACACTCATCTCTGAACCCCCTAGTCCAGTCCTTTTTTTTCAAGCCCCTCTAGCCTAGTTGATGGTGAAGAAAAAAGATGTAACATAATGTCACACGGAACTTTTACTCTCCTTTTGTCAAACCTGGGATCTAAAATAACCTGGGTTTTCAAGTTCTTTTCCTTTAACTCAACATCCACTCAGACTTTCTTGTTTCTCTTTTTTTCACTTTTCAGTTATGGAAGACAATTGTACCTCTGTCTAATTGTAAAGTATTTTGTATATTTTATACTTTTCCCAGAGCAGAGGAATCAACTATAGCCTGCTGCCCCTAGAAGCTCTTCCAGTAGGGAACAAGGGTTGGGAAACTATGACACTTGGGCCAGATCCAGCCAACCACCAGTTTACTTGTCTTTGTAAATAAAGTTTTACTGAAACGCAGTCACACCCATTCATTTTCCTATTGCCTATGACAGTTGTCTTGCTACAACAGAAGAGTCAAGTAGCCGTGACGCTATCTTGCCCTTTACAGAAAAAGTTAGCTGACCCTGATCTAAAATCATGAAAATTATCCTCTGTCATTAAGGACAGAGATGGTAATAAGAACTTCTTTAGTAATAGTATGATAGTGATTACTATGTCAGCTACTTCTGGTTGAGTGGATAATTAGCAACAAATAGACAAAGGTAGAAGGAGAAAAAGGGAGGTGAAACAAAACACTGAAAAACAAAAGATCTGCAAGCTAGATATCCAGGTCCTAACTGCATGGTAAGTATTACAGATATATTAAATGAGGAACCATCCTGGCACTGAATGGGAACCAGGTGATACTCTGCCCTGCCTCCCAGCCTACCTGTTCTGCCAGCCAGGCAATATGCTTCACCTCTTTACTGCCTCCTGCTGTACTGGTTGCCCCAAGCATGGCGTTGAGTTCAGCCAACACCTGTGGGAGGAGAGCCATTATGTTGGTGTGGATAGCTACGAACCAGGAGTGTGCTGTGGCTGTATCTTTGCAGCGTAGGATCAACGTGTTCCTGCTATCAGGAGAATGTAGCTCTATCAATCTGTGTGGAAAAAGAAAAAAAAAAAAGTGAGCTAGGACAGAAGTCACCAAACCTGCCAGGTTTAAAATACATAACTGCAAATCTATTTTAATTTTGCATTCTTCAAATAAATTTGTATACTCAAATAAAGATACTTTCTTGGCTGGGCACGGTGGCTCATGCCTGTAATACTAGCACTTTGGGAGGCCAAGGCAGGGGGATTGCCTGAGCTCAGGAGTTCGAGACCAGCCTGGGCAACACGGTGAAACTCTGTCTCTGCTAATATATAAAAAATTAGCCGGACATGGTGGTGGGTGCCTGTAATCCCAGCTACTCAGGAAGCTGAGGCTAAGGCAGGAGAATCGCTTGACCCCAGGAGGCGGAGGTTGCAGTGAGCCAAGATCACACCACTGTACTCCAGCCTGGGCGACAGAGCGAGATTCCGTCTCAAAAAAAAAAAAAAAAAAAGATACTTTCTCTTAATTCCCTAGAGTCCAGTTCCAAAGAAAACAACACATGGAAAGATAAAAATCAGAGGCCGGGCACGGTGGCTCACTCCGGTAATCTCAGCACTTTGGGAGGCCAAGGCGGGCAGATTGCCTGAGGTCAGGAGTTTGAGGCCAGTCTGGCCAACACAGTGAAACCTTGACTCTACCAAAAATACAAAAAATTTAGCCGGGCGTTGGGGCGTGTGCCTGTAATCCCAGCTACTCGGGAGGCTGAGGCAGGGGAACTGCCTGAACCAGGGAGGTGGAGGTTGCAGTGAGCCGAGATCCAGCCTAGGTGACAGAGCGAAACTCTGTCTCAAAAAAAAAAAAAAAAAAAAAAAAAAAATCAGAAAGACCAACTTGGGCTAGTTACTGAACCTGAGAAAAAATTAAAAAAAGAAACACCAACTGCTGGATCTGTCGTTTCGGTGTTAATGTAATAAGCTGAGGGAACTTACTGTAGAGTCTACAGTAGATCACTTTGCCTTAATTTCTATGTCTAAAAAATGAAAAGCATGCTTGCTGAACCACATAGGCACACTGTAAAGAAGGAACTGATACCCTTTTAAGCATTTAGGAAATTCTGGTATAAAGTAGTGCCAGCTTAAAAAGATGTACTGCCATATAATGAACTGAAATTTACATTATGTGAAATAAATAGAAAATTAGCGGCCAGGCATGGTGGCTCACGCTTGTAATCTCAGCACTTTGGGAGGCTGAGATGGGCAGATCACCTCAGGTCAGGAGTTTGAGACCAGCCTGGCCAACATGGCTAAACCCTGTCTCTACTAAAATATACAAAAATTAGCCAGGCGTGATGGCACATGCCTGTAATCCCAGCTACTGAGGAGGCTGAGGCAGGAGAATTGCTTGAACCCAGGAGCTGGAGGTTGCAGTGAGCCAAGATTGCACCACTGCACTCCAGCCTGGGCGACAAAGCGAGACTCCCTCTCAAAAAAAAAAAAAAAAAAAAAAAAGAAAGAACAAGAAAATTAGCAGAAGATTATTACTCTGTAAAATTTGAAACTGTGTTTGGGTACTTTTATATGATTACTCCTCCAGTGAATTAGGTAGAAAAATAGTTAAGAGATCAACACTATAACTGTTCTGTATTAATGCTCACCAAGAGCAATCTGTATTTCAAAAGTAACCTTTAGAAAATAGCTAAAATATTTTAAATATACATTGAAAAAATTATTTATAAAGCAATCTATTGAATATTGTTTTGTGTTTCAATCAAAGTTCTTGCAAAGATGAATTTTAAAAGTCAAATAAATAAATAAATGACTAAGATATATACTCTGCTGTGAACATATATATCTTTTAAAATGGAAAAAAAAAGCCTTTAGTGTTTTTCATGGTAGGCTACAAATTGACAAACTGCCAATGACCAGGGAGAGAGTTTTCTTTACATTATTTTCTGAAGACAGTTTTTGCTGCCTAAAAGCACTATCATCAGATTCTATGCCACTTGTCAAAAAGATAAGCAATTTACAAGTATACTAGCATTTCTGCTTTGAAGCTCTTTTGTCAGTTTCTAAACCCTTTATAACTCCAAATACTTTAAATTGTCATATTTTGTATTGCAAATATTCATTTTCATTTGAATTCTGGTTGGTCTATCCTTTCTTAAATAAACATTTATTGAGCACCTACTACATGCCAAATATTGTGCTAGGCACTGGTATTGGAGATACAGTGATGAAAAAAGTAGATCATCTAGCTACTTCCAGGCCTACCTACCAGTCTATCCATCTTTTATATGCTGTCAAAGTTCTATGGTAACAGCAAAATAGGACAAAAGTTCTAGAAAATAGAAGACATAAAATAAGAGTTGTGGCTGGGCGCGGTGGCTTACGCCTGTAATCCCAGCACTTTGGGAGGCCGAGGCAGGTGGATAACAAGGTCAGCAGATCGAAACCATCCTGGCTAACATGGTGAAACCCCGTCTCTATTAAAAACACAAAAAATTAGCCGGGCGTGGTGGTGGGCGCCTGTAGTCCCAGCTACTCGGGAGGCTGAGGCAGAAGAATGGCATGAACCCGGAGGCGGAGCTTGCAGTGAGCCGAGATCATGCCACTGCACTCCAGCCTGGGCAGCAGAGCAAGACTCCGTCTCAAGAAAATAAATAAATAAATAAATAAATAAATAAATAAATAAATAAATAAGAGTCATGAACAGCCAAAGGGCTTAAGAAAAGTCCATATTTGAAAGTTCATGTTACTCAGAGGAAAACTTTCAGATAAAAAGTTTTAAGCTATTTGCTTTTTATTTAGATACAGTTCTGATGAGCTCTTTGATTTCCTATTCTATACCTAAACATATTAAGACATAGCTTGGTTCCAGAATTTAGAGGATCTTGAATAGCAGGTTAGGTCTGAATATTAATTGGTAACTTTTTTTTTTTTTTTTTGAGATGGAGTCTCGCTCTTCGCCCAGGCTGGAGTACAGTGGCACGATCTCAGCTCACTGAAACCTCTGACTGCCGGGTTCAAGCGATTCTCCTGCCTCAGCCTCCCAAGTAGCTGGGATTACAGGTACATGCCACCAAGCCTGGCTAATTTTTTGTATTTTTAGTAGAGACAGGGTTTCACCATGTTGGCCAGGCTGGTCTCGAACTCCTGACCTCAAGTGATCCGCCTGCCTCGGTCTCCCAAAGTGCTGGTATTACAGGCGTGAGCCACTGTGCCTGGCCTTAATTGGTAACTATTAATAACATAGAATCATTTAGAATTCTCAACAGGAGGGCAACATGATCAAAACAATTAACTTAAAAAATAATTTTATGAGACATTTGTACACCCATGTTTATAGCAGCATCATTCACAATAGCCAAAAGGTGGAAGCAACCCAAATGTCCATCAATGGAGGAACAGATAAACAAAATGCAGTATATACATATAATGGCATTATTCAGCCTTAATAAGGAAAGAAATCCTAACACATGTTACAACATGCATCAACATTGAGGATATTATACTAGTAAAATAAGCCAGTCACGAAAGAAGAAATAACATATGAGCCTACTTTCATGAAGTATCTAGAGCAAACTCACAGAAAGCAGAATGGTAAGTGCCAGGAGCTGAAGGAAGGGTGAAATGGGGAGTTTTTCAATGAGTAGAGTATTTTAGTTTTGCAAGAAGAAAAATTTCTGGACATTGGTTGTACAAAAATATGAATATACTTAACACTTCTGACCTGTACACTTAAAAATGATTAAGAAATTTCATGTTATGTGTATTTTACAATTTAAAAAAAATTAGGCCAAGTACAGTGACTCATGCCTGTAATCCCAACACTTTGGGGAGGCTGAGGCGGGGAAATCACTTGAAGCCAGGAGTTTGAGACCAGCCTAGGCAACAAAGTGAGAACCCATCTCTACAAAACTTTTTTTTTTGAGACGGAGTTTCGCTCTTTCACCCAGGCTGGAGTGCAGTGGCCCGATCTTGGCTCACTGCAACCTCTGCTTTCTGGTTTCAAGCGATTCTCCTGCCTCAGCCTCCCGAGTAGCTGGGACTACAGGCGCCGGCCACCACGCATGGCTAGTTTTTGTACTTTTAGTAGAGACGGGGTTTCACTATGTTGGCCAGGCTGGTCTCGAACTCCTGACCTCATGATCCGCCCGCCTCAGCTTCCCAAAGTGCTGGGATTACAGGCGTGAGCCACTGCGTCGCCCCCCACCCCAACCAATTTTTTTTTTTTTTTGAGACAGAGTTTACCTCTTGTTGCCCGGGCTGGAGTGCAATGGCGCGGTCTCAGCTCACTGCAACCTCCACCTCCTGGTTTAAGCGATTCTCCTGCCTCAGCCTCCCCAGCTGGGATTACAGGGAAGTGCCACCAAGCCTGGCTAGTTTTTGTATCTTTAGTAGAGTGGGGGATTCACCATGTTGGTCAGGCTGGTCTGAAATTCCTGACCTCAGGTGATCCACCCGCCTCAGCCTCCCAAAGTATTGGGATTATAGGTATGAACCATCGTGCCCAGCCCCAACAAAAAATTTTTCTTTCTTTCTTTTTTTTTTTTTTAAGACGGAGTCTGGCTCTTTCGCCCAGGCTGGAGTGCAGTGTCGTGATCTCGGCTCACTGCAAGCTCCGCCTCCCAGGTTCACGCCATTCTTTTGCCTCAGCCTCTCGAGTAGTTGTGACTACAGGCACCACCACCATGCCAGGCTAATTTTTTGTATTTTTAGTAGATACGGGGTTTCACCATGTTAGCCAGATGGTTTCGATCTCCTGACCTCGTGATCCGCCCACCTTGGCCTCCCAAAGTGCTGGGGTTACAGGCGTGAGCCACTGTGCACGGCCCTCAAATTTTTTTTTATCAGCCAGGCATGGTGACATACATCTGCAGTCCTAGCTACTAGCGAGGCTGAGGCGGGAAGATCTCTTGAGCACAGGAGTTCGAGGCTAGAGTGAGCTATGATAGTACCACTGTACTCCAGCCTGGGTGACAGAGCGAGATCCTGTCTCTAAAAAATAAATAAATAAAATAAAAATAATAATAAAATAATTTTATGGTGGGATGTGAGATGAATTACAATAAAGACAGAAATGGCCTGGTGAGATTTAATTGAATGCAAGAAGAATGAGACTACACACAGAAGTCATCAGTAGGGACACAGATTACTGGGCAGAAATTCTTCCATCCTAAGAGCCCATTGCAGCCTTGACCATACAGGTCTCAAGTGATCCTCCCACCTCAGCCTCCCAGTTAACTGGGACTACCACAGATGTGCACCACCACACCCAACTACTTTAAAAAAAAATTTTTTGTAGAGACAGGGTCTCACTATGTTGCCAGGCTGGTCTTGAACTCCTGGGCTCAAGTGACCCTCCTGCCCTGGCCTCCTAAAGTGCTAGGATTATAGGCATGAGCCACTGTGCTTGGTCCCTCTGTATATTTGGGATACCAGTCCTTTATTGGATATGTATTTTGTAAAGATTTCTTCCCAATGTGTGGCTTGTCTTTTCATTCTCTTCAGTGTCTTTTGCAGGGCTGAAGTTTTAAATTTTAAAGAGGTTCAACTTGTCAAGTTTTTTCTTTATGGATTGTGCTTTTGGGGTTGTATGTAAGAAGTCACCACCAAACTTAAAGGGGATTTTTTAAAAAGCATAATCTTACAAATCCAAGAACAGGAGAGGAGTGACTACAACAAAATTTTGGAAGCTAGTAAAGAGAGGAGTTAAATGACTTAGCTGATTTAAGAAAAGTGGAAAGAGCCAAATCCCAGCCAATCCATGTTGGAGAATCCCTAAGAGGCCGGGGAAGCGGTGGTACCAGTTACCTCTGGAAGTGAGAGTAAAGCATGCAGCTTTACTCTGCGTGGTATGCCTGAAAGCCTGTCAGCATTCTCCACATCCAGTGGCCAGTGACTGCCCCACCCTCATTCTAGCAGAAGATTCAGAATCACCCTCATCCCACCAAACTGGGTGGGGGAGGCAATGATGTCCTTATTTCAGATCGTATATCAGGCTGACTATTTTCTAGAGGGACTATTTATTTCCATCTAGTTGCTTTGGCACTGTAACCAGTATAACATCTTTTAAGCACATGCTAAAAGTTCAGCTGCAAAACCTTGACCAGAAATTTCCTTCACTCCTCCTACTGACCTACTTAGCACTACAGATAGGAATCAGTTCATCCTTCTCGAGGCACAGAATGTTCACCTTCTGAAAGTCTTTACACATCATACAATTCCTAGGACAATCTCTCAGACATTCCTCCTTTGACACAGTCTGAGTTCTGAAAATCCTGATGTCTCAGATCCTAGTTATTAATAACTGGGAGAATGGAAAATAAATCTGTTATAAAATAAAACTAAGCCTGATTAAACACAAGTAGATACCGGGACCACTGGGCTGAAAAAAGATGAGAATAGATAGTGAGTTATTTCCCACTGACAGTTAAACAGCTTTTTTGTTTTTGTTTTTGTTTTTGAGACAGAGTCTTGCTCTGTCGCCCAGGCTGGAGTGCAGTGGCACAATCTTGGCTCAATGCAAGCTCCGCCTCCTGGGTTCACGCCATTCTCCTGCCTCAGCCTCCCGAGTAGCTGGGACTACAGGCGCCCGCCACCACGCCCGGCTAATTTTTTGTATTTTTAGTAGAGATGGGGTTTCACCATGTTAACCAGGATGGTCTCGATCTCCTGACCTCGTGATCCACCCGCCTCGGTCTCCCAAAGTGCTGGGATTACAGGTGTGAGGCACCACGCCCGGCCAGTTAACCAGTTTTTTATGAAAAGAAAAATTTTGCGATTTTTCTTGAAAAGGGATTGTGAAATAGAAAATTAAATTAAAAGAAACAGCAAAGAAGCTCCAAAATAGGACCGATGAGTCTAGGATCCAAAAGAGTCCACCTTTGAAGAAACCATTAAAACTGACAAAGGGGGCCAGGTGTGGTGGCTCACGCCTGTAATCCCAGCACTTTGGGAGGCCAAGGTGGGTGGATCACGAGGTCAGGAGATCGAGACCATCCTAGCTAACACAGTGAAACCCCATCTCTACTAAAAATACAAAAAATTAGCTGGGCGTGGTGGCAGGCGCCTGCAGTCCCAGCTACTTGGGAGGCTGAGGCAGGAGAATGGCGTGAACCCGGGAGGTGGAGCTTGCAGTGAGCCAAGATCGTGCCACTGCACTCCTGCCTGGGCGACAAAGACTCCATCTCAAAAAAAAAAAAAAAAAACTGACAAAGGGGACAAAGTAATTTGTAAAGCCTACTGCTATTTTAAAAGAAAATTCCAATGAAAACTTTGCTAATAAAAATATGGAGACAATCTGCCAGTAATCATTTGGGTCCACAAGGGAGAAGAGGAGACAGCTATGTGTGAAGTTTTGGCCTCTTGTCAAACGAGAGGATTTTCTGAGAAATGCAATTAACATTTTGATCAGATGAATCAAATCAATGTTTAGGTACACAGGATTCTGTAAGTCTAGCTTACTTTACTTCTCCTGTTTAGCAAAGCCTTTGATATAACTTATGTGTTCAACTTAGTAATAATCATATAATTGTACACATTATAAAGGCAAAATTTACCTTTTACATGGAAAATTGCCAATGTGAAGATGACTGAGGCACTGTGAACCAATGCAAAGAACACGGATTTACATTTCCGAAAGGAGTGTTTAAGAACACCTTGTTCTTCCTAAACTTCACACTGCCTACAATACTGATTGCTAAGGAAGGGGCTCATGTTCTCTCCTTGGACTTCATCATTATTTAATAAGTGTTCGCTTTCCAGAATGAAATACGTATAATTACCAGATGCATCAAGATGCATCCAGTGAGGTCTTGAAAACTCAAGGTAGAGGAAGGGAGTAAAATTCCTCTTCCCCTGTACTTACTCATTCTGATCATTAGCACTTTTTACTTTTTCTCAGCTCTATGGAACTAAATCAAAGCAGTAAAGCAGAAAAAAAGGGTATTTCCCTCTAATACCAAACACATTTTTGGTTTAGAAAGTGAAGGCTTTAGATAAGAATGAAGGATGAGCCACAAAAAGATTCCACTACGCACCCATCACAAAGGTAAATATTAAAAAGACTGACACCTTTTGGTGAGGATGTGGAGCAATGGAAACTCTCATATATTGGCAGGAACATAAAATGGCACAATTACTTTGGAAGAAAGTCTGGCAGTTTATTTTATTTTATTGTTTTATTTTTAGTAGAGATGGGGTTTTGCCATGTTGGCCCGGCTGGTCTCAAACTCCTGACCTCAGGTGATCCACCCGCCTCGACCTCCCAAAGTACTGGAATTACAGGCATGAACCACTGTGCCCAGCCTGGCAGTTTGTTGTTGTTTTTGAGACGGAGTTTCACTCTTGTTGCCCAGGCTGGAGTGTAAGTAATGGTACGATCTCAGCTCACCACAACCTCTGCCTACCGAGTTCATGCGATTCTCCTCCCTCAGCCTCCCGAGTAGCTGGGATTACAGGCATGAGCCACCACGCCCAGCTAACTTTGTATTTTTAGTAGAGACGGGGTTTCTCCATGTTGGTCAGGCTGGTCTTGAACTCCTGACCTCAGGTGATCTGCCCACCTCGGCCTCCCAAAGTGCTGGGATTACAGGCGTCAGCCACTGTGCCTGGCCTAGTTTTTTTTTTTTTTTTTTTTTTTTTAAACTAAACATGCACCTATCCAGCAATTCCACTCCTACAAATTTACCCAACAGAAATGAAAATGTTTCTGAGGCCTTTAAATCAGAAGAAAAAAAAAAATAGGACATTACAAAAATATTCAGTAACTTTATTAATACTAACTCCACACTGGAAATTGTTCAAGTGACTATCAATAAAAAACAGATAAACAAGGCCGGGTGCAGTGGCTCACGCCTGTAATCCCAGCACTTTGGGAGGCCGAGGCGGGCAGATCACGAGGTCAGCAGATCGAGACCATCCCGGCTAAAACGGTGAAACCCCGTCTCTACTAAAAATACAAAAAATTAGCCGGGCGTAGTGGCGGGAGCCTGTAGTCGCAGCTACTTGGGAGGCTGAGGCAGGAGAATGGCGTGAACCCGGGAGGCGGAGCTTGCAGTGAGCCGAGATCCCGCCACTGCACTCCAGCCTGGGCGACAGAGCGAGACTCCGTCTCAAAAAAAAAAAAAAACAGATAAACAAATGGATATTTCCTTTAACAGAGCTGAGATAAATTTAAGGACCAATGAGCTCCAAGTTATTTTATTATTTTATTTTTATTTCTTTTTGAGACAGAATCTCACTCTGTCACCTGGTGTGTCCAGGCTGGAGTGCAGTGGCACAATCTCGGCTCACTGCAACCTCCGCCTCCCAGGTTCAAGCAATTCCCATGCCTCAGCCTCTTGAGTAGCTGGGATTACAGGTGTGTGCCACCATGCCTGGGCAATTTTTTGTTATTTTTAGTACAGACAGGGTCGCAAACTCCCAGCCTCAAGTGATCTGCCCGTCTCAGTCTCCCAAAGTGCTAGGATTACAGGCATGAGCCCCCAGCCCTGAGTTATTTTATAGATATTATTTATTCTCATTCTAAAGTACATAGTTGAGCAGATATTATGTCCATTCTACAGAGAAAACAGGAGGACAGAGAAATTAAGGAACTTATTTAAGGTCACAAGGACACTAACAATGCCTATAATAATAACTTGAGAAGTTAATATTGTCTTATTTAATCCTCCTAGAATCTTATTTTATACAGGGGAAATGCAAGGCTTGTGGAAAACAAGTAGCTTGACCAACATTACGAAGCCTATCTTCCTAAATTCTATCTTCTCTCATAACTGAGGTCTAATTAGTTAATGGTTCTGTACATTTTTTCTGCCAAGACACACAGATGTTCACATTCCCATGAGTATAGCCAAAGTTATGCATATTTTTTGCAAACTCCTTGTAATCCTACTACTTTTATGTCTAAAAAACGCATGGAAATGCGAGTATAAGTGGTATCAACATAGGAATAACCTTGAATCTCTTCCAATTTATATTTTACAAAAAGCAAATCATTTGCAAAATTTTTTATTTTTAAAAATTTTTTTTTGAGACAGAGTTTTGCAAAGTGCTGCAATCTCAGCTCACTGCAACCTCCACCTCCTGGGTTCAAGCAATTCTCCTATCTCAGCCTCCCGAATAGCTGGGATTACAGGCGTGCACCACCACACCTGGCTAATTTTAGTATTTTTAGTAGAAACGGGGTTTCACCATGTTGGCCAGGCTGGTCTCGAACTCCTGATATCAAGTGATCCACCCACCTTGGCCTCTCAAAGTGCTGGGATTACAGGTGTTAGCCACTGCACCCGGCCAAATTTTGATATCTTAAGTAAAATTAGAACAAGTTACTTTGCAGCATTAAGACTGAGAATCTCAAAACTAGCGTGGATCTTCTAAGACCTTTCCTTATATGGCATGCCATGGTCGAGTAGACTGATCATTTACTGAAAAGGAAGGTATAATGGTACAATTCTTGTAGCCCCAAACTGCCCTCTCCATTTGGTTCTGAAAATCTATTTCACATCTGACCATCACGAAATGTCTTTAGTGTATAAATATGTCAAAGAGAATTCAGCCCCCAAGTTTTAACAAAGACCAAGGTTAACTGGACTTCAATCCTTAGTGAATGACGAAGTAGCACAACGTTTAGCAATACAGCCAAGTCATATCATCTTCTTCCTTCCTTCTTTGCCCACTCCCACAACCCCGGGTTTCTACAGAAACTTTATAACGTTTTGCCTTTTTCTTCAATACCCAGCTACATCAGCAGCACTACAGGTACCTATTCTCAAAAATTATTTATGGCCGGGAGCGGTGGCTCATGCCTGTAACCCCAGCACTTTGGGAGACCAAAGCGAGTAGATTGCTGGAATCTAGGAGTTGGAGACCACTCTGGGCAATGTAGCAAAACCCTGTCTCTACAAAAAATACAAAAATTAGCTGGGCACAGTGGCATGCACCTGCAGTCCCAGCTACTTGGAAGGCTGAAGCAGGGGAATTACTTGAGCCCAGGAGGCAGAGGTTGCAGTGAGCTGAGACCAGGCCATTGTACTCTAGCCTAGGCGAGGGGAGTGAAGCCCTGTCTCAAAAAAAAAAAAAAAAAAAGAAAGAAATGATTTATAACAAAATTGACTCTATACTTTTCTCAGCCTGACAGCTAGTTGACAAATGTAGTTGCAATTTGTTCCTCTTTATCACATCGTTTCTCCATTCTATTTAATTCTCTAAGGCCCCTAACTTTAAAAAAAAAAAAAAAAAAGCCCATGATTAACAGACCAAGGGCTCTGTATAAATGTATCTCTTTTTTTCTCTCTGTCTCTCTCTTTTTTTTTGTAGAGATAGGGTCTTGTTATGTTGCCCAAGCTGGTCTTAAACTCCTGGCCTCAACCAATCCTCCTGCCTCAGCCTCCCAAAGTATTGGGATGATAGGTGTGAGCCACCACCATGTCTAGCTCAAATGTATCTCATTTGTTTATTTATTTTATTTTATTTTATTTGAGACAGAGTCTCGTTCTGTCACCCAGACTGGAGTGCAGAGGCGCAATCTCGGCTCACTACAACCTCTGCCTCCCAGGTTCAAGCAATTCTCCTGCCTTGGCCTTCCAAGTAGCTGGGATTACAGGTGCCTGCCACCATGCCTGGCTGTTTTGTATTTTTAGTGGAGACAGGGTTTCACCATATTAGCCAGGCTGGTCTTGAACTCCTGAACTGAAGTAATCCACCTGCCTCCGTCTCCCAAAGTGCTGGGATTACAGGCGTGAGCCACCTCGCCCAGCCCAAATTAAATTCTTACTTTATGAAAAGAATATAAAATTCCTTTAAAGATCAAGCTGTGTTGCACTTAGATGATTCAACATACACACAACCTTCCAGAAATAAACCTATATGTAGCACAAAGTAATTTCTACAATGTCTTGAACTTTTAAAACAAAGCCAACAATTTAAATACATCAGATTATAATTTTCAAAATGTGTTTACATAGTAGTCAGTTAAGACTTTTCTTAAGAGACAGGATATTGTTCTGTCACCCAGGCTACAGTGCAGTGGCACAATCCTAGCTCACTGCAGCCTTGAACTCTTGGGTTCAAGTGATCCTCCCACCTCAGCCTCCCAAGTAGCTAGGACTACAGGTGCATGCCAGTATGCCTGGCTAATTTTTTTTTAAAAAATCCTGTAGAGGCGAGGTCTCACTGTGTTGCCCAAGTTGGTCTTAAACTTCTGGCTTTTAAGCAATTCTCTAACCCTGGCCTCCCAAAGTGCTAGGATTACAGATGTGAGCCATTGTGCCCAGCAGAGTTAAGACTTTTTAAACATACTATTTCTTGAGAACCTACTATATGTGCTTGGCTCTGTGAAAGGGCCTTTATAGGTACTATCTCATTTAATCTGCACACTAAGTACCATTATCCCTTTTTTTAAAGATGATGACATGGTGGTGTATGGAAGTGAAGGGACTTGCTCAGAACCCTACTTTGAGCAGGTGACCTAGTTGGGATTCAAACCAAGGTCTGTCTGACTGCAGAGCTCAGTTCATTCCAGCAAACCACATAATATACTACAGAGCAGAAGCTTTAAAGCCTTAAACACCCAAGGAGGCCATTCAGTTTCTTGGTGTCTTCTGTGCTCCATTCCATCCTGATCAGGGACCTGGCTGTGCATTAAGATCAGAGGAGACCATAATAGTGAAAACACATTATAAAAAGTCTGTCCTTAACTATGTCTTTGGGCAAGTTATTTTCATCTTATTTTTTCCACTAATCTCTAACCTAACATTCGGTCTACCAGTGCCACTTCATTGAGTTAATGAAGACAAAGTTATAGAACACATATGATTATAGAACTAGGAGGGACATCAGAAATTATCCAATCTAATTTTCTCATTTTGCAAATGAGGAAACTGAGGTCAAGGGAAGCTAACTTGCCAGAGTCACACTGCTGGTTGATTCAGCCAGAACCATAATGCAGACCTCTAACTCTATACTACCTACAGTATAAGGAATTTCCATCTAAGGAGATATTTAAAAATTTATCTTTAACAAGACTTCTTTTTTTTTTTTAATATATATATATATTTTTTTTATTATACTTTAAGTTTTAGGGTACATGTGCACATTGTGCAGGTTAGTTACATATATATACATGTGCCATGCTGGTGCGCTGCACCCACTAACTCGTCATCTAGCATTAGGTATATCTCCCAATGCTATCCCTCCCCCCTCCCCCCACCCCACCACAGTCCCCAGAGTGTGATATTCCCCTTCCTGTGTCCATGTGATCTCATTGTTCAATTCCCACCTATGAGTGAGAAATGGATAAATTCCTCGACACATACACTCTCCCAAGACTAAACCAGGAAGAAGTTGAATCTCTGAATAGACCAATAACAGGAGCTGAAATTGTGGCAATAATCAATAGTTTACCAACCAAAAAGAGTCCAGGACCAGATGGATTCACAGCCGAATTCTACCAGAGGTACAAGGAGGAACTGGTACCATTCCTTCTGAAACTATTCCAATCAACAGAAAAAGAGGGAATCCTCCCTAACTCATTTTATGAGGCCAGCATCATTCTGATACCAAAGCCGGGCAGAGACACAACCAAAAAAGAGAATTTTAGACCAATATCCTTGATGAACATTGATGCAAAAATCCTCAATAAAATACTGGCAAAACGAATCCAGCAGCACATCAAAAAGCTTATCCACCATAATCAAGTGGGCTTCATCCCTGGGATGCAAGGCTGGTTCAATATACGCAAATCAATACATGTAATCCAGCATATAAACAGAGCCAAAGACAAAAACCACATGATTATCTCAATAGATGCAGAAAAAGCCTTCAACAAAATTCAACAACCCTTCATGCTAAAAACTCTCAATAAATTAGGTATTGATGGGATGTATTTCAAAATAATAAGAGCTATCTATGACAAACCCACAGCCAATATCATACTGAATGGACTTCTTTCAATTATAAAGTAATACATATTCATAGTGAAAAAAGTAATAACAACATTACAGAAAGACATAAAAGGAAGAAAAGATGCCCCCTCTTTCTTTCACCCCTTTAGTCTTATTTGACACCCTAGAGGTAAAGCCATTAACAGTTTCTTGTGTGTCTGTTCAAAATTTTTTCTACACATATACATGTATATATGTAGAATAACTTAAAATGTGGAACCCCAAAAATGCATCTCTCACCTCAGACAGATGTTTTCCTCTGTATAACTGAGTTAACAGAGTCATATAATACTGCAACATGTCCTTAAGTTTGTAAAGCTGTAGGTATGATGTTCTTGTTAGGTACACCTCACCTGTTTTCCAGATCCGGCATGCTTAGGTTTCTAGCAGCAAAGCACATTTTGAGAGGGATGATCTTCCTGTCCTTGGTGCTGTTCTGGTGTTTTGGCGAACCAGAGTCCTCACTGCCACTAAAGCTTGGTGACTGGGGGGCTGCACCTTCCCACGGCAGATCTGATACTAATGATGGCTTCTTGATATATGGTGTTACTTCTCGGATGAACTTGACTATGAACAAAAAAATCAAAGAAGAAGGTTAGTAATTTTGCTTCCTATAATAAATGATAACTAAAGTATTCACATACATGCTATATCTATAACAAAGTGGAGGAAAGAGCTGGGCGCGGTGGCTCACTCCTGTAATCCCAGCACTTTGGGAGGCCGAGGCGGGTGGATCACTTGAGGTCAGGAGTTCAAGGCCAGCCTGGTCAACGTAGTGAAACCCCATCTCTACCAAAAATACAAAAAATTAGGTGAGCGTGGTGGCATGCGCCTGTAGTCCCAACTACTCAGGAAGCTGAGGCAGGAGAATTGCTTGAACCCGGGAGGCGGTGGCTGCAGTGAGATTGTGCCACTGCACTCCAGCCTGGGCGACAGAGCAAGACTCTGCCTCAAAAACAAACAAACAAACAAACAAACAAAAAATGGGGGAAAAAAGTAAGTTAAAGAGCCATGAATCCCCTGGAGATAGATTCTAAGACAGACCCATCTAGGCTTTAGATGATTCAACCTTTAGAAACTTCTCCATACTTCTACCCACTGGTTCCCTGTCTTCTCAAGCCATATAGAACAAACTTAATCTCTCTTCTACATGAGAACTCTGTAATTATCTGAAGACAGATTTTTCTCTTCTCTCTCCTCCCCATACTAAGCTAAGTATTTCTATTTCCATTCAACTCAATCAACTTTTATTAGCTACCTACCAAGTGTTGGGAATTAGGCTAGCCAGTAAAGACACAAGGGCAAATGAGCCATGGATTCTATCCCTCAAGGAATGCCCAGCCTTGCAGGGGAGACAGCTATGTAAACAGGCCATTACAGTTCTTAAAATCAAGTGCAAAAATAAAGTATATTCAAGATAAGGTATGATCTAATAAGCACAAAGCCAACTCAACTGATCCCCCTTGCTTGTTCAAAATACTCTATTTCCATTAATGTGGCCCCAAATGAAAATCAAGCTTTTAGTAGATAGGAAGCTTTTTTAAGTTCAAATTTAAAACTCATAAAATACTTGTTTTACTTCAGTCATGACTACAATTACTGTCACTCGAGGCATGGTGTTCTTGTTTCAAAAACTAGACAAACTGGCTGGGCACAGTGGTACACACAGTTTCTCCTGTGAATAGGTAATACATGCACATAAAACAAAACTCAAGAGGTATAAAAGGTTTTATAATAAAAGTCCAGATTTCTAGCTACCCTGTCTCCATTCCTAGAGGCAACCATTCAAAGAGATGCCTGGTATGCTAAGCATGTATGAAAATAAACACATACACATGCGTGTATATCTGATCATACATATGGTGGTACATTATGCTTACCGTGCTGCACCTTAGTTTTTTTATTTAATAAGGTTGATAGTCTTTTATAGGCCTAATAGTTGATAGCTCATTCTACAGCATGATGTGGTCATAGAGATGCCTTTGGAATCAAGAAGACCTTGTTCAAATCCTAACTGTGCTTGCTATTCAAAGCTATGTGACCGCACTTAACTGTTCTGAGGTCCTCATCTACAAAATGGGAGTAACACTAAGCAAATAAAAATTTCAGGCACATACTAAACATTCAATAAATACAGTAGGTACCTTTCTTTTTCCTTCCCTAAATTAGAAAGTTAGAGAAGAGTTAAAAAATTTTAATGGTAATCAGTAGAAGAGTTAAAGTTATTTTCTTATACGTTATTAAAAAAGATTTACTGAAATTAAGTATAATAATAAAAAATATAACAATTCCAATGCTAGAATTTAGATGTAGTATATCTCTGTGCTTTTTGTGCATAGTTATAATACACGTGCTTCTGGGTAGCTGCCTCAGGTCACCAAGGAGATTTTTTTACCCTAGAAAAATCAGCAGGAGTGCAGTCAGTATAACCCTTGAGCAGCTGACTCAAGCATTTCAATACATACTTCAGCTTTATGCTTTGAAGGACTTTGGCAGAAATTCCTAAGGTTTCCAGTTACTGCAAATGGCAGAGGCATGCTTTTTGAACATTTAAGGCAGTACACTATTGGGCTACCAACTGGAGGAAATTAAAGACATTCTAAATGAATTCTTGAATAATATAGTGGTTAGAAAAGAACCCTTAACGATCTACTCAGTTCATTCAATCACACAGTAGCATCACTGAACTGATTACTACACACATCCTAAAACAAAAACAGACATACACATACAATTTATGTATTGCCTTATTAAAAGAGCAATGAATTTTATCTGAGTTGATGGCAATGCAGTCCATACCCCCATCTAATTAGCCATCCAGAATGGCTGAAGAGCTGTGGATGGACATCTGTTTCTATGTTTGGGAATGGCAAAAAGTTAACAGTCTTCTGTTTCAGTCCTATGTTAAGGCCTTAACCTGGACACGTGGCTGGATAAGCAGAGCCTTTACACCCCCACATGGAGCTTTCAGTTCAACTCAGAATCCACAACATATTTCAGAATCATTTCATTTTTCCTGATAGTTGAAGATAATCCTCAAAATAATTTAATTAAACACTGATGTTTACAAACTGTTTTGAGTGTTCAGATGCTGAAGCTAATTTTCTTTCTTCCATTCATGTATCCCTTTTTTTTTTTTTTTTTTTTTAAGATGCAGTCTCACTCTGTCGCCCAGGCTGGAGTGCAGTGGCACAATCTCAGCTCACTGCAAACTCTGCCTCCTGGGTTCACGCCATTCTCCTGCCTTAGCCTCCCCAGTAACTGGGACTACAGGCGCCCGCCACCACGCCCGGCTAATTTTTTGTATTTTTAGTAGAGACGGGGTTTCACCGTGCTAGCCAGGATGGTCTCGATCTCCAGACCTCGTGATCCACCCGCCTTGGCCTCCCAAAGTGCTGGGATAACAGGCTTGAGCCACTATGCCCGGCCTCACGTATCCCTTTTACTGAACGTGAAGGTGGGCTTCCTCCCACCCCAAAAGCATTACTGTGATCCCTTCTCTTCTTTAGAGTGACAAAAACACATACATGTACTGCACACATGTACCTGTAAAGATGTCTGGAAGGAACTTAATCAAAATATCAATAGTGCTTATATACAGGTGTAGGATTGCATTTTTTTCTTTATGTTGTTCTGTATATTTAAAATTTTTGTTAAGTCCATAGTATTTATTTTAAAAACGTATTTAAGAAATGAAGAAAACTTATTCTGAGACCTTGTTCAAACTCTATCTTAATTTTATTTTTGAGACAGGGTCTCACTCTGTCCCTCAGGTTGCAGGGCAGTGGCACAATCATAGCTCACTGTAACCTCAAATTCTTGGGTTCAAGTGATCCTGCCTCAGCCTCCTGAGTAGCTGCAACTATAGGCACACACCGACACATCTGGCTAACTTTTTAATTTTTTGTAGAGACAAGGTCTTGCTATTTTGCCCAGGCTGATCTCAAACTCCTGGCTTCAAGCAACCCTCCCGCCTTAGCCTCTCAAAGCGTTGGGATTACAAGCATGAGCCACCACCCAGCCTGTTGCTCAAACTTTAAACATGAAAGACATGTAAACGGAAATCTTGAGGCTTCAAAAACTATAATGCACTGGATAGGATCCAAAATCCAACTGATTCTTACTGAATTCTAAGCTCTAATGAATAAGGTTATGAAGAGTTCCATGTTTGGGGCATGAGGCAGCATCTGATTTTAAACTGAATGCAAGTGGCTTCTTTTTTTTTTTTTTTTTTTTTTTTGAGACAAGGTCTGGCTCTATCACCCAGGTTGAAGTGCAGTGGCATGATCTCAGCTCACTGCAACCTCCGCCTCCTGGGCTCAAACCATCCTCCCATCTTAGCCTCCTGA
The DNA here is from genome assembly GCF_000001405.40 of Homo sapiens. NCBI lineage: Eukaryota > Metazoa > Chordata > Mammalia > Primates > Hominidae > Homo > Homo sapiens. Next base: position 69,241,819 of record NC_000016.10, on the reverse strand, counting down.
GTGGCTGAGACTACAGGTGCACACCACCATACCCACCTAATTTTTGTACTTTTAGTAGAGACAGGGTTTTGCCATTTGCCCAGGCTGGTCTCTAATTGGTGAGCTCAAACAATCCACCCGCCTTGGCCTCCCAAAGGGCTGGGATTATAGGTATGAGCCACTGCACCCCACCTGTTAAGTGGCTTTTTTTTTTTTAGTAGAGACGGGGTTTCACCATGTTGGCCAGACTGCTTGCCAACTCCTGACCTCAAGTGATCTGCCCACCTCGGAGTCTCCCAAAGTGCTGGGATTACAGGCTTGAGCCACCACGCCCACCCTGGCTTTTTAAAGCTTATCTAGGCTGGTGCTGAGCATGGTGGCTCACACCTGTAATCCCAGCACTTTGGGAGGCCGAGGTGGGTGGATCACGAGGTCAGGAGTTCAAGACCAGTCTGGCCAAGATGGTGAAACCCCATCTCTACTAAAAAATATAAAAATTTGCCGGGTGCGGTGGCAGGCACCTGTAATCCCAGCTACTGGGGAGGCTGAGGCAGGAGAATTGCTTGAACCCAGGTGGCAGAGGTTGCAGTGAGCTGAGATTGTGCCACTGCACTCCAGCCTGGGCTAGAAAGTGAGGCTCCATCACAAAAAAAAAAAAAAAAAAAAAAAAAAGCTTATCCAGGCCGGGCACGGTGGCTCATACCTGTAATCCCAGCACTTTGGGAGGCCAAGGCGAGTGGATCACTTGAGGTCAGGAGTTCAAGACCAGCCTGGCCAACATGGCGAAAGTCCATCTCTACTAAAAATACAAAATTAGCCAGGTGTGGTGGCGGGCACCTGTAATCCCAGCTACTTAGGAGGCTGAGGCAGGAGAACTGCTTGAACCCGGGAGGCAGAGGTTACAGTGAGCCAAGGTCATGCTATTGCACTCCAGCCTGGACAACAAGAGCAAAACTCCATCTCAAACAAACAAACAAATAAACAAAACGAAACGAAACAAAAACCTTATCCAAAAAGGATACATAATAGGGCAGACACAGCCTACGGCTGCAAACACACATATTTGGATAAATGGATCAACCTCTTTTATAAACATCAACTTCTCATATAATCGTTATGTTCCTTTTTATCTCTAACTCTTACCTTTTCCATGCCCCAACTGGTGATCTTTACTATGAGTTTAAGTGAAACTAAGTTAGTCACACAACATTATTTCCCCTGCTTTTGCAAGCAAGTTTGTTCCTGGATTATTCTCAGAGTGGAATATCTGGCTGTGCATTTTGCACAGGAATGAGTTATGTTGACAGTCACTGTTAAAGTATTCTCTCAGGAGGATTCTCTCCAACCTCATCCCAAGCTCTTCTCTCAAGTCAGGAGGCTGATAAATGACCACCAAAAACACGAGGAAGGAATTGCTTTGCTTTGAGTAAAAAGCCTTTTACATTCTCAACTTGCAGGTGTCTTTCAGCTCAAGTCTCCTGGCCATTTGGGGTTTGAGTAGACTGCAGTCTAGAGTCTGGTGACATGAACCTTGAATGAGTTCAGAGTGACTCTTTCACTCTTCCTCTTCATTCTAAAATAACATAGCAAATTCACTAATTTATTGAGCTCCTACTATATACCAGGAACTGTTTTAGGCATGTAGAATTATTAGCCAGTGAATAAAATATGCAAAAAATAATAATGTAATTAATAATTTAATGAAATTCTAGAGAAATGAAAACTTACATTCACACAAAAGCCTGTACACTAATGTTCTTAGCAGCTCTATTCGTAAGTACCACAGCTGGAAACAACCCAAATTTCCTTCAATGGAAGTGAATGGATAAACTGTGATACAGCTATAGAATAGAACACTATTCAGAAATAAAAAGGAACAAACTATTTATAACTCAGTAACTTGGATGAATCTGAAAGGCATTATACCAGTCTCAAAAGTTGTATGACCCCATTATTGAAAAGAAAAAAATATATGATGAAAAATTCAGTGGTTTCTAGCCAGGCGTCGTGGCTCATGCCTGTAATCCCAGCACTTTGAGAGGCTAAAGTGAGCAGATCACTTGAGGTTAGGAGTTCAAGACCAGCCTGGCCAACATGGTGAAACCCCACCTCTGCTAAAAAAACAAAAATTAGCCAGGCATAGTGGTGCACGCCTGTAAGCCCAGCTACTCAGGAGGCTGAGGCAGGAGGCTTGAACCCAGGAGGCAGAGGTTGCAGTGAGCTGAGATTGCGCCACTGCACTCCAGCCTGGGCAACAGAGCGAGACCCTGCCTTGACTAAATAAATAAATAAATAAATAAATAAAAATAAATTCAGTGGTTTCTAAGGGTTAGGGGTGAGAAGGGATATGATTATAAAGGGATAGCACAACAGAGTTTTCTGAAACCATGGAATGGTCCTGTATCCTGATTGTGGTGACAGTTACAAGAATTTATGTATGTGTCCAGATTCATAGAACTGTATACCTTAAGGGGAAAAAATTCAATTGTACAGTATGATAATTACAAAATAAAATAAGTAAATTATACAGTATATTGGAAGATGTTAAGTGTAATGGGAAAATGAAACACAGCAAGGGAAGGGGTCAGAAATGCTGCCCAGGGTGTCAGTTTGTAAATTTTAAATATGGTAGTTAGGGTAAGCCATTAATAAGATGTTTGAACAAAGACTTTAGGAGATGGGGGAGTTGGCCATGCAAATATCTGGGAGAAACATTCCAGCCAGGGAGACAGTGTTAGGACAGTAACAGGAGTTACTAACAGGAGTGTTAGACAGTAAGGAGACCCAGAGTAACTGGAGCTGGGTAAGTGAGGGGGACAGAGTAGTAAATGGGGTCACAAAGGTAACGGGGCTGGGAGGCAGACCATGTACGGCCTTTTAGGTCATGGCAAGGACTTTGGCTTTTATTCTGAAACAGGAAGCTATTGGGAGATTTTCAGGAGCAAGTGACCACTATGTTGAAAATAGAATAAAAGAAGGCCAAGGCAAAAGCAGGAAGACCAGCTGGCAGGTTAACAGGGATGAGAGATGATAGGAGTTGGACCAGGGGAATAGTAGTGGAGGTGGTGAGAAGTGGTCAGATTCTACATCAGATTACATAAGGGGGTGGCAAAAAGAAGAGTCAAGGATAATGTCAAGATTTTTGTCCCGAACAAGGCTAGAAGGATAGCGTTCCCCTTGACAGCTTTAGAAGAAAGATCAGGAACTTGAGACATACATTAGACAATCAAGTCTAACAGGCAGCTAGATATATAAGTCTGCAGTTCAGGAAATGGGTGTAGGCTAAAAACATAAATTTGGGAGCTATTAGCATATAGTTGCTATTTAATGCCATGAAACTGGATAAGATCACTGTATCAGTCAGGATCCCAGCAGGAAACGATAGTAAGGGATTTAATAAAGGGACAACTTATGAAGATGTGGGCAGAGTGCAGGGAAACCACATGGAAAAATAGAGTGTAGTATCCCATGGCTATTAGCTGTTTCCACATGTAGGCCTGAAGGAAATAGGAAAGAGAGTGGGTACCAAACCCAGAAGAAAAGAGCCCTATAGAGACCGATGTGAGAGGAGCAGTGACTTTCAGTCAATTCAGCCAGATTGCACTGACCTGCGAATTGGGGGCCAAGGGGATAAATGCTCCAACCTCACCCTCCTCCTTCTTTCCCTCCAATGTCCTATTGGGGCTCTACATTGGCCAAACCCAACAAAAACCAAAGGCCAAGGAAGTCTGCTGATGTTGTCCACGCAGGTCAGCGTCCGGGACAGATGGCATGTAGAGAAGGAGCGGACCTAGAAGAGCCAATGGAAGACTTCCAGCACAAGCAAGGAAGTGAGTACGGAAGAGAAAGCAGACACTCCACTATTAAAGGGCTGGGGAGAAAAGAAGGAGGTAGGCAGAAGATCCACGAAACACAAGTGCTCCATAGAAATACTGGCTTAACAGGCATGGTGGCTCATGCCGGTAATCCCAGCACTTTGGGAGGCCGAGGCAGGAGGATCACCTGAGGTCGGGAGTTCAAGACCAGCCTGACCACATGGAGAAACTCCGTCTCTACTCAAAAAATACAAAATTAGCCAGGCATGGTGGCACATGCCTGTAATCCCAGCTACTCGGGAGGCTGAGGCAGGAGAATCACTTGAACCGGGGAGGCGGAGGTTGCAGTGAGCCAAGATCGCACCATTGCACTCCAGCCTGGGTAACAGAGCAAAACTCTGCCTCAAAAAAAAAAAAAAAAAGAAAGAAAGAAAGAAAGAAAAAAAAAGAAATGCTGGCCTAAAATAGTACCAAGTTTATCCAAACTGAAAAAGCACTCCCTTGACCTGATGAACCCAGACTTGGCTCTTCCCTCCCTTCACCATTCCTTGAAAATCAAAACAAAACAATTTCTGCTTATTGTTTCTATTTTCTCCTTTCACTCCTTAATCTCTTCTGAATTAAAACAGCATTCTAAAGGGTTATCAATGTTTTCTTACCCAATCCAAAGGCCCTTTCTCAATCCTTATGCTCGACCATTCCAATATGTATGGCAATGCACTCTACCAGCTGTTTTGTATTCCTTCTTTCTGGCCATTTATTTTTTAAGTGCCTTTTTTCTCCTCCTATCCCTATAATCCAGGTGTTTCCTAAGGCTCTGATTTTAGCACTTCTCACTTTATCCTCTCATCCCTGTCAGCTTTCTGCTGGATCTCCAGTTTGACACAGCTCTCTAGAACCAATATCTCCTGTTGGCCCCAATCCCACCACCTGGGTGCTGCCCCATCCTTCAGATTCAACATATCCAAACAAGAACTAATCTTCATTATCCTTTATCCCCTGCTCCTGTGCTCACTCTTGTAGTTATAAGGATTAGCATCATCATCTTTCTCGCCACCCAGGATCTAAACCAGTACTATAGTTAGCCTGGTGTGAAGCACACTCTTCTGTATTTTATTAAAGGTTGCCCAGGTGGTTAATTCTCATGCTCGATCAAGGTTTGGAAAATGCTTCTCTAAACCTTTGCAGACCACTCTCTGTCCCTACCCGCTACATCTAATCAGGTGCCAAATCACATCTGAAATTGTTCTCTAGCCTACCTACTCCCCTCAGTTTCCACTGCCAACATGCCTTGGTTAACTCAGACCAGCCACTGTAGTGGCTGCTGCTGCTGCTGCTTTTTTTTTTTTTTGTAATTGTAAAATATACACAACATAAAGTTTACTATTTTAACCATATTTTTTACATGTACAGTTCAGTGCATTAAGTATTCACATTGTTGTGAAACCACAACCACCAGCCATCTCCAGAACTTTTTCATTTTCCCAAACTGAAACTCTATACCCACTAAACAATTACTCCCCATTCCCCTATCCCCTGGCAACCACCATTCTACTTTCTGTCCTTATGAATTTGACTACTCTAGGTACCTCACATAGGTGGACTCATACAATAGTTGTCCCTTTGTATCTGTACTGGCCTCTTAACTGATCTCCTTGCCCAGACCCTCTTCCCTTCTCTCATGCCTTTACACAAGGTTACCAGGTTGATTGTCCTAGACCCCAACTCATACCAGGCCACTCCCGATTTAAAAGAGTCTCTATGGTTTGCTACTGCCTAAGGAATGTAGTCTAAAGTCTTGTGTATAAATTCATCTTTCCAACCATCTCTTCTCTTCTGTCCCCTCAAATATCTTACTAAACTGCTTGCACAAGAAAACCCACCAAAAGATTTCAAGCATAACCACAGGCCACCACAACCCAGTAAACTACTTGCAGAAAGGTATACTCTGACTTTTCCTGTGTCCTTATTTATATTGATTCCCTCACTTCTTCACTTCCATGTGTCCAAATCATACCCATTTCCCAAAGCACATCTCAAATTCCACCTCTATTAATCCTAATGCGAAAGTAATGGGAGCTTACTAAGATGTAGCACAGATAAACCAGTAATTCTATATATATCTAATGGGACTGCATCCACACAACTCCAAGAACAGTTGTAGAAGTGGTAGCTAACGGGTTCAAACTCACCACAATTCCAGGATATTTGAAGAAACTTAGTACAGCAGCTGATGTGCCCCTGATATTGGTCAGACAGAAATTTCCTCATTATAGGCCTGAAAGCAGAGAAAAAAATTCCTGGTACTATGTTGTTAGCCCTGGGGATACAGCAGTTTGAAGCTGTCATATTGGTGCCAGGGTTTTTTGTTTTGTTTTCTTTCTTTCTGCTCCCCACTTCCCGCCTTTCTTCCTTTCCCTTCCTTTTAGTTCCCCCCTCCCCCACTTTGGTCTCATTTCTAGGACTCTCGCAGGTATTCTGAAGGACATTTACAGTGATTAAAGTCTCTAAAAAACTCCACCTTTCTCCACCTATATAGAAACTACAGAGAAAAGCCCAGAGTTCTGAAAGGCAATCACATTGGCTAATGCTTGAACAAAATGTTACTCAATATTGTTTCAATAATATGGATACACACTATAGGGGTTTTGAGATAACCCCTTAACATTTATGCTTAGGATAGTTCTAGGCCCAGGAAGTGAACAAGAAGGGAAGACACCCATTCACCTATTCTACGTAAAATTAAAACTGGCTAAGATGTTCCAAACCACTCATCGGAACCAAGTTGAAGTCCGGGAACGGTGGCTCATGCCTGTAATCCTACCACTTTGGAAAAAAAAAAAAAAATTAGCTGGGCATGGTGGCGTGCGCCTGTAATCCCAGCTACTCAGGAGGCTGAGGCAAAGAGCATTGCTTGAAACCAGGCGACAGAGGCTGCAGTGAGCCAAAATTGCACCACACACTCCAGCCTGGGAGAGACTCCGTCTCAAAAAATAAATAAATAAATAAAGAACCAAGTTGAGAGCCGGGCGCAGTGGCTCACACCTGTAATCCCAACATTTTGGGAGGCCAGAGCGGGTGGATCACCTGAGGTCAGGTGTTCGAGACCAGCCTGGCCAACATGGTGAAACCCCGTCTCTACTAAAAGTATAAAAATTAGCTGGGCATGGTGACGGGCATCTGTAATCCCAGCTACCTGGGAGGCTGAGGCAGAAGAATTGCTTGAACCTGGGAGGTGGAAGATGCAGTGAGACAAGATCATGCCACTGCACTCCAGCCTAGGTGACAGAGTGAGACTTGGTCTCGAAAAAAAAAAAAAAAAATACCAAGTTGTATAACACATAATGTCTTCTGCATCTCCGTACTCTGGTTTTGTTCCTTTCCTTATCAGTTGTTTGAGAACAGCCATTAAAGCTAATCTTTATTGGCTGGCCTTATTCTTTCCTTTCAGATAATTAAACTGGAAATACTGAAAAGAAAAAGAAAATAAATACAAAAATTCCTAATTACACTGTATTTTCTTCCAGACTTTTTAGTCCCACACTTAACAAAGGAACAAACATTTCTCCATGTTATATAAACTCTTCACAACTATCATTTAAAAATAGCTATATAGTATTCCATATTGTGTGTTTACCATAATTTATTTAGGCATTCCCTAATTATTGGCCACTTAGTTTTTTGGGTTCTTGTGAGACAAAATCTCACTCTCTTGCCCAGGCTGGAGTCCAGTGGTACAACCACGGCTTACTACAGCCTCAATCTCCCAGGCTTAAGCGATCCTCCCACCTTAGGCTCCCTAGTAGCTGGGATTACAGGCACACACCACAGCACCCAGCTAATTTTTGTAACTTTTTTGTAGAGACAGGGTTTCGCCATGTTGCCCATGCTGGTCTTGAACTCCTAGGCTCAAGCAATCTGCTGCTTCGGCCTACCAAAGTGCTGGGATTATAGGCGCAGTCACCATGCCTGGCCCTTGTTTTTTTCTTTTTTCCTTTTTTTAAAAGAGACAGAGTCTCACTTTGTTGTCCAGGTCGGAGTGCAGTGGCACAATCATAGCTCATTCTGTTGTCCAGGCGGGACTGCAGGGGCACAATCATAGCTCACTGCAGCCTCAAACTCCTAGGCTCAAGGGATCTTCTTGCCTCAGCCGCTTGAGTAATTAGGACTACAGGTATGCACCACTGTACCTGGCTAGTTTTTTTTGTTTTTTGCAGAGACAGTGGGGTCTTGCTATGTTGCCAAGGATGGTCTTGAACTTCTGGCCTCAAGTGATCCTTCTGCCTTAGCCTCCCAAAGTGCTGGGATTACAAGTATTGAGATACCACACTTGGCAAGGGAACTTAGTTTAGTTAACACTACACTGAACATCTTTTTCAGCAGAGAAATTACTGGGTCAAAGTAATATTTAAGCATCATGGTAAGTACTGCCAAATTCCTCCCCCCTAAAATCTGTATCATTTTTATGCTCCCACCTGCCATATATAAGCACATCCATGTCAGTACACTTGCCAACATGAAGTAATCCCACTTAAAATAACCCTTGCTATTTTAATAGGTGAAAAATGGTATATATACCCACCCAATCTTGATCTCCTGTCTCAACAAATGCAGGATATTATTATTTTCTTCTACTTAAAACCAGGAAATCCATGTCTCTTAATGCTTTTATTTTGTCTGAAGAACTGGGAGGGGTGATTTGTGATAACAGTGGAGAGTCACAGGACAGTCACCAGAACCTCATATCTCACACAAATTGAATTTGAGTTCTTGATGTACCAGCATATCTAAAGTCACACTTAATTTCCCTTTATTGCCTTGTCATTTAACTCTGTGAAGTTAGTTCCTTTCCTCTTGCTAGGCATGAGGGGGGAAAAGTTGTCAACAAGAAAACCAAGCATGCCCTAAGAAGCAGTAGTGTCTCCCAGATTTCTAAGATGTGATTTAGGTTTATGGTGATCTTGGAATTTTCAGTTCAGTTCATTATCCATCTTTCCTTCTCTGTTCCAACCTAAGCTCTGGTCCAAATCAATAAAAGTAGGAGAAATATCCTTTTTTGAAGATCTCAAATTACTACTGGGATAACAAAAAAATTCAAGTATAATTTTAAACCTCTGAGCTATAGTGAAATAAGTCCAAAGAAACCAAAAAATAAGGTAGCTCTGAAATTTGTCCCCAGCAATTAAAATTTCAGGATTTAAAAATTATGGCCTTTTGGCTGGGGGCAGTAGCTCACACCTGTAATCCCAGTACTTTGGGAGGCTGAGGTGGGCGGATCACGAAGTCAAGAAATCGAGACCATCCTGGCCAACATGGTGAAACCCCATCTCTACTAAAAATACAAACATTAGCTGGGTGTGTTGGCGCACGCCTGTAGTCCCAGCTACTCGGGAGGCTGAGGCAAGAGAATCGCTTGAACCCGGGAGGCAGAGGTTGCAACGAGCCAAGATGGGGCCACTGCACTCCAGCCTGGCAACAGAGCGAGACTCCGTCTCCAAAAAAAAAAAAAAAAAAAAAAAAAAAGGCCGCACCGTGGCTCACACCTGTAATCCCAGCACTTTGGGAGGCTGAGGCGGGCAGATCACAAGGTCAGGAGATGGAGACCATCCTGGCTAACATGGTGAAACCCCGTCTCTACTAAAAATACAAAAAATTAGCCGGGCGTGGTGGCAGGCACCTGTAGTCCCACTTACTCGGGAGGCTGAGGCAGGAGAATGGCGTGAACCTAGGAGGCAGAGGTTGCAGTGAGCTGAGATCACACCACTGCGCTCCAGCCTGGGTGAAAGAGCAAGACTCCATCTCAAAAAAAAAAAAAAAGAAAAAAGAAAAAATTATGGCCTTTTACAATGAATTTATACAAACCGGCAAAAAAAAGCCCCAGTATTTTTTAGGCCTCATCGAAGTCTAACTTGAATATCTATTACTTTTATACAAAAGTATTAGCCTTCATGCTTTTATATATAGAAATGTAGAATAACAAGCAAGACTGAAATAATTTGGGGCTTTAGACTATCTACTGTATAAATTCCCCTTGGTAAACTTCTTTAACTACTGATCTAATATGGTAAACTAGTTCTTGGTCATTTATAAAGTAAAAATTTCTTAATTGAATTTAAAAAGTGTTTTTTCTTTGGAATGTTTCCTCAAACTACAAAAGAATATGCAAGCTTCTCAATTTTTTATAAAAAATGTTTTAAATATCTTGAGTTGGCATTTTGAAATGTTTTTGTAAGGAAGACAGCTACCAGTAAATTTCCCTGTGGAAATTGCCATATAGTAGGTGTGTTTGTTTAAAATTCTTTATATAATTAATTGAAAATCTGGGAGACACTGCATCTGAACAATCACTTCAAATTACATATTTTTCTTTGGTTTTTAGGATTAAGATTTATATTTATTTTCTAGGCTACATCTGTTTTGTTTGTTCATTTGTTTTGAGATGGAGTTTCACTCCTGCTGCCCAGGCTGGAATGCAATGGCATTATCTCGGCTCTCTGCAACCTCTGCCTCCCAGGTTCAAGCAATTCTCCTGCCTCAGCCTCCCGAGTAGCTGGGATTACAGGCATGCGCCACCATGCCCAGCTAATTTTGTATGTTTTAGTTGAGACGGGGTTTCTCCATGTTGGCCAGGCTGGTCTCCATCTCCCCACCTCAGATGATCCGCCTGCCTCAGCCTCCCAAAGTGCTGGGATTACAGGCATGAGCCACCTCGTCCGCGGGCCACATCTTTTTTAAAAGTCAATTCTACGCTTTATACTTCTCTCCCCTAAAAAGCAGCACTGCTTTATGTGAAACAATGTTACAACTTGTTTTGTATCCTTCTGCTTACTTCAAAACACACAAAGCAAATGAGAAGATTGTTGACAGTGACAGTAAAAAAGTTTAGACTCTATATAGGATTAGAAAAGATAAGACTTTATTTAATTTCATTTTCACTAAGCCAGCCGCAATGAGAAAGGCAGTTTGCATAAGAAACGGGTTGGTGCTGGGCGCGGTGGCTCATGCCTGTAATCCCAGCACTTTGGGAGGCCGAGGCGGGCGGATCACGAGGTCAGGAGATGGAGACCATCCTGGCTAACACGGTGAAAGCCCATCTCTACTGAAAATACAAACATTAGCTGGGTGTGTTGGCACACGCCTGTAGTCCCAGCTACTCGGGAGGCTGAGGGAGGAGAATGGCGTGAACCCGGGAGGCGGAGCTTGCAGTGAGCGGAGATCATGCCACTGCACTCCAGCCGGGGCCACAGAGCAAGACTCTGTCTCAAAAAAAAAAAAAAAGAAAGAAACGGGTTGGTTAGGAATAATTTATATTCCTTTTAGTCTCCTGCTCAAATATTAGAGGCTACTTTTTGAAAAAATGAACCCGGCCAGGCGCAGTGGCTCATGCCTGTAATCCCAGCACTTTGGGAGGCTGAGGTGGGTGGATCACAAGGTCAGGAGTTGGAGACCAGCTTGGTCAACATGGTGAAACCCCATCTCTACTAAAAATACAAAAACTTAGCCAGGCGTGGTGGTAGGTGTTTGTAATCCCAGCTACTCAGAAGGCTGAGGCAGGAGACTCACTTGAACCTGGGAGGCAGAGGTTATCGTCAGCCGAGATTGCGCCGTTGCACTCCAGCCTGGGAGACACAGCGAAACTCCGTCTCAAAAAGAAAAAAAAAAAAGACTCATATACTATAAAATTAAGGGTATCAGAATTATTGGTAAGTGATTAAAGCAAGCTCTAAGTTTTATATATTAAAAAAAGTATATATAGATCAGTATGTTAATAAAGTGCTCAAGAAAATATGCCAATTTGCTAATAGTGGTCACATTTGTGAGTGCAATTACAGGAACTTCCATTTTAGAAATTAAGCATTTCTATAATGTTTGGACTTTCTATAATAAACATGTGCTCTGTAATAAATTATTATAAAGTTAACTTAAATACATGCCATCGGGCCAGATGCAGTGGCTCAGGCCTGTAATCCCAGCACTTTGGGAGGCCAAGAAGGGAGGACTGCTTCAGGCCAAGAGTCCGAGACCAGCCTGGGCAATATACTAGGACCATGTATCTACAAAAAAATTTAAAATTAGCCAGGCATGGTAGCACATGCCTGTAGTCCCAGCTACTCAGGAGGCTGAGGCAGGAGAATCCCTTGAGCCAGGAGTTCAAGGCTGAAGTGAGTTTTTTTTTTTTTTTTGAGACAGGGTCTTGCTCCTGTCACCCAGGCTGGAGTGCAGTGGCATGATCTTGGCTCACTGCAACCTCTGCCTCCCGGGTTCAAGTGATTCTCCTGCCTCAGCCTCCCAAGTAGCTGAGACTACAGGCGTGCGCCACTATGCCCAGATAATTTTTGTATTTTTAGCAGAGACGGGGTTTCACCAAGCTGGTTGGCCAGGATGGTCTCAATCTCTTGACCTCGTGATCCGCCCACCTCGGCCTCCCAAAGTGCTGGGATCATAGGTGTGAGCCACCGCACCAGGCCTGAAGTGAGCTATTACTGTACCACTACACTTCAGCCTGGGTGACAGAGTAAGACCATGTCTCTTAAAAAAAAAAAAAAAAAAAATTCAGGCAGGCCACAGTGGCTCACACCTGTAATCCCAGCACTTTGGGAGGCCAAGGAGGGTGGATCACTTGAGCCCAGGAGTTCAAGACCAGCCTGGGCAACATGGCAAAATCCTATCTCTACAAAAAATTAAAAAAATAGCCAGGTGTGATGGCACGTGCCTGTAGTTCCAGCCACCCAGGAGGCTGAAGTGGGAGGATCATCTGAGCCTGGGTGGCTGAGGCTACAGTGTCTTGATCGTGCCACTGCACTCCAGCCTGAATGACAGAGTGAGATCCTGTCACTAAATAAATAAAGTGCCATCAAATAATAATGAAAAAAATTATTAGAAAAGTAATTTCAGAAATAGATTCAATAGCAAAACAATACAACGTCGGGGGAGTCACTCTTTAATAAATACTGAAGAAATAAGGGGGTATCAGTATGGAATTGCCTTACATCTGTATCTTATACCCTACAATGAATTTGCATTAGCCTACGATTGATGCTCTCTGGATATTTTTTGTAAAATCATTAATGCACAGCAACAAGCTTTAAAATCAAATGAACCTCAGCTCAAGTCTTGATATTACCGTTTATTTGTTGGGAGGTTTGAAGATTACCTCTGAGCCTCAGTTTTCTCATTTGCAAAACATAATATACCATCCTTAAGTGCTGTTGTGGGGGATTAAATGACATAATGTGTGAAAGGTACACAGGCCTGTGCTTGAGGGTTGTAGGCACTTAGTATGTGTATACTTACTTAGTGTGTATGTATACATATACTTAGTGTGTATGTACATAATTAATAGAATATGCTTCAGAGAGAGTATAGTATAGTGGACAGAGTCAAATATGTGAAACTGAACAGATCCAGATTTTAATTCCAGTTCTGCCAATTACAAACGTTGTGATTTTGGACAAATAATTTCACTTTAAAAATCTCAGTTTATAATTTATGAAATTCTTTTTTTTTTTTTTTTTTTTTTGAGATAGAGTCTCACCCTGTTGCCCAGGTTGGAGTGCAGTGGCATAATCTCAGCTCCCTGCAACCTCTGCCTCCCAGGTTCAAGCCATCCTCCCACCTCAACCTCCCAAGTAGCTGGGATTACAGGTGTGCACCACCATGCCTGGCTAATTTTTGTATTTTTAGTAGAGATGGGGTTTCACCATGTTGGCCAGGCTAGTCTCGAACTCCTGACCTCAGGTGACCCACACTCGTCAGCCTCCCAAAGTGCTGGGATTACAGGCATCAGCCACCGCGGCCGGTCATAATCTATGAAATTCTAATACTAAACCTAATACTAACTTTACCAAGTAACTGAGATGTTAAAGAAGCTTAACTAATAAAAGTAAACTGTTTAACAGTGTCTGAAAGACATTAGGCACTGAACATAACCTACAGAGTGAGCTTATTATGTACTATATCACTAAAGAATATCTAGACGTGGTAATTAAGATATCTCCAGAAAAGCTGGGCATAGGGGTGCACACCTGTAGTCCAAGCTACTCAGGAGGCTGAGAGGGGAGAATCGCTTAAGCCCAGGAATTTGAGGCTGCAGTGAGCTATGATCATGCCACTGAACTCCAGCCTGGGTGACAGAGTGAGACCCCATCTTACTTATCTTAAAAAAAAAAAAAAAAAAAAAAAAATCCAGAGAAACAGCAAGCTAACCATTCTTTGTCTCCCCTTCAGGAAAGGACCAATTTTTATAGAATATAACCTTCCTCATCTATATTCCTCTAACACTCTACATATCACTGACATGGCATCCGCCATATGTCACAGTTTTTGTTTTGTCTGTCTTGTCCACTTGACCAATGGGACACTGAAGGGATTAAAACTCAAGACACTATAAAAGTCAACAATAATTACAACACATCACTTCTACAGAGTTTATTCATAGTTTTTTAAACTTTTTTCCTAGTCACCCTTCAGAACTGTGTTGCGGTTTGTGTAGAGCCATTAGGCCTTGAATACATTATTTTGCACATTCATAAGGCAAAATTCATGTCTTTTTCCAGTTACACCCAATATTTCTGTGACAGTGGCTTGAAATTAATTATAGTTGCTTCTAACCTCTTAAAGCAAGGTGAACCCCACTCTATATGGCATCACTGTAACAATACGCATACAAAGGTGTAGCACAAATAAATTTTATACATTGGTCAAAAATTGTCAGTGCATTGAGAAACAGTTCATAGCTGGAATCACTAATGCACAGAAGATGTACAGTCAATATTGATTAGATGAATTATGAGAGATTCTGCACAAATACAGATATACTTTTACAGTCCTAATTTGTCTGTCCTAGTGAAATTCTCAGAAATATTTCTGGCATGAGTAACACAATTCAGTTAAATGTTGTTGCTAATTGCTCTAGATTAAGGATTCTTGCAACTGTTTGAATAAAAGGCCCTTGGTCAGCCCCACTATGTGCTTGTGAATATTTGGGAAATGGTCACTCTCTCCATATACTGAAGGTTGTCACATAGACTCTATATGTATAATCTTATCTGCTGAGGGGTTAATTCAGCTAAATTTCTTATTAAAACAAACCTGCCATAAAAGCAAAATTCTCCTTAGTAAACAATTATAAGCTTAAACAAATGGCTTCTGAATGAGCAGTTTGCTCCTGCAGTAACATAAAAACATAACCTTAGGGCCATGCACCATGGCTCACACCTGTAATCCCAGCATTTTGTGAGGCCAAGGCAGAAGGATTGCTTGAGCCCACAAGTTCAAGACCAGCTTGGGCAACATAGCGAGACCCCGTCTTTACAAAACAATTTAAAAATTAGCCTGATGTGGTGGCATATGCTTGTAGTCCCAGCAACTCAGGACACTGACGTGGGAGGACTGCTTGAGCTTGAGAGGTTGAGGCTGCAGTGAGCCACAATCCCACCACCGCACTCCAGTGTGACAGTGGGAGACCTTGTCTCAGAGAAAAGCAAGAAAGATAAATGAAGTCTTATCTATCATAAGGAGCCAATAATGGATTAAAATATTCTTATTAGAAAGTCAGTCCTTGCCTCAGGAACCCAACATATAGGGTTTTATCTATTGCTAGCACATATGATAGGAAACAAAGTTTTTTTTTTTTTTTTACTCTTAAGAATCATAGGGTGGGCATGGTGGCTCACGCCTGTAATCCCAGCACTTGGGGAGGCCGAGGCAGACAGATCACCTAAGGTCAGGAGTTCAAGACCAGTCTGGCCAACATAGTGAAACCCTGTCTCTACAAAAATACAAAAATTAGCTGGTCATGATGGCGGGTGCCTGTATTCCCAGCTACTTGGGAGGCTGAGGCGGGAGAATTGCTTTAACCCAGGAAGCAGAGGTTGCAGTGAGCCGAGATCACGCCATAGCACTCCAGCCTGGGCAACAGAGTGAGACTCCTTCTCGAAAAATCAAAAAACAAAAAACAGAAGAACTGGGCATCTCATGCCTTTAATCCTAGCACTTTGGGAGGCCGAGGCGGGCAGATCACTTGAGATCAGTAGTTTGAGACCAGCCTAGCCAACATGGTGAAACCCCATGTCTACTAAAACTACAAAAATTAGCCAGGTGTGGAGACGGGCGCCTGTAATCCCAGCTACTCAGGAGGCCGAGGTAGGAGAATCACTTGAACCCAGGAGGCGGAGGCTGCACTGAGCCGAGATCACATCACTGCACTCCAGCCTGGGTGACAGAGTGAGACTCCGTCTCCAAAACCAAAAAGAGCTACAATGTTCCCCCCTTTTCAACAACTCTCTCCTATGTGCAAAGCACGTGGATCTTTAAAATGTTTGACACACAAATCTTGTCCTCAAGTTATTTACTTGAGGAATAAAAGGAAGACATGTGTCCCCTAAAATAGGCCAACTAATAAAGTAGAAATTATAATAAGGCAAAACATGATACATGCTATAGAGGTGTAAATACAATGTTACACATAATTGGATGTAACAGCAGCAAATAAAATAAAATCACTGAAAAATATAAAAATACTTACTAATGTTTTTCCACTAGACAACAAAACTTCCACGAGACAACGAAATTTCCACTAGACAACAACAAAAAAACCATAGCAATTCAAGCGCAAGGAAATCGTTATCCGTATTTTTGTTGCTAAGTGGATATGTTCTGGACTAGCTGGATAAACCGGATGCTTTGTTTTAGATCAGCACCCTGAATGATAAACTATAGACGGAAATACAATATTAACCCAGCACAATAGCTGTGTTCAAAGGGTCAGCAACCACTCCATCCTGAACATCCAGTTAGAGTCACCACTTAGGAACAAGAAAGTCCTCCAAGTTTCCATGTCTTTAAATACTTGGTAATTTTCTTTTCTCTTTTTTGTATAAAAGAAATCCTGTAAGTTACTGCCAGGCCTTCATTGTTATTAGAGCTTTTCAGACCAAATAGGCAGAATTAACTGAGTTCAGGGAAAGAGAAAAGACAAAGATGTCTTCGTGTTCTTTCCCTCTTCATTCTTACATAACACATACTAATGAATTCCACTGTAGTAAACTCAGAACCGTCAGAGTTAATAGCAATCAACTACTGCATGTTAAGTAATATTGTGTGACACTGGTCAACCCACATACTGTAACTTTATCTGCTGATAATTTGTTTTATTAATTTTCTTAATGAAAAAGTAATAAAAACAAAAGCTGGAACAATTTGAGCATCAAAATAAGTAACAGTAATACAGGATTATAACCCACAGAATAAAATAAATATCCAAGAGTCCACAATAATATAAATAATGTAATAAATACATAAATGGAGGAGAAGGGCCAGCTCTTTCTTACAGAAGAATTCTCATTAGTAAGTGTAGTAGGCATGAGATAAATAGAAAATCATCATTAAAACACTATAGTAATCATTGTTGCAGGCAAGATCCAATGATTTATGCTAAAATTACTGGGCAAAAGTTTAAAGAATAACTGTGTGTTTGCATAATCTCACCATATTTTCCAAGATACTTATTAATTACAAAGGAAACAGTGGCTCACGCCTGTAATCCCAGTACTTTGGGAGGCCAAGGCAAGCGGATCATGAGGTCAGGAGTTCGAGACCAGCCTGGCCAACATGGTGAAACCCCGTCTCTACTAACGATACAAAAAATCAGCCGGGCGTGGTGGCGCGAGCCTGTAATTCCAGCTACTAGGGAGGCTGAGGCAGGAGAATCGCTTGAACCTGGGAGGCAGAGGTTGCAGTGAGCCAAGATCGCACCACTGCACTCCAGCCTGGGCAACAGGGCAAGACTCCGTCTCAAAAAAAAAAAAAAAAAAATTGCAAAGGAAAAATAGTAACTTTATGTGGAGAAACATGACAGTAATCAAGGTTTATATGACTAGATTAAGAAATATTGAAGTCATATCCCACCCCTGCCCAATATGATACACTGAGAATGATACATCACTTCTCTGGTTTCCTTCCCAAGAATGAGTAACCTCCATATATTCATGATGAAATAAGACAAACCCAATTGAGGGACATTCTACAAAACCACTGACCAGTATTCTTCTAAAGTGTCAAGGTCATAAAAGAAAAGACAAGACTGAAGAACTGTCGGCCGGGTGTGGTGGCTCACGCCTGTAATCCCAACACTTCGGGAGGCTGAGGCGGGTGGATCACGAGGTCAGGAGATCAAGACCATCCTGGCTAACACAGTGAAACCCCGTCTCTACAAACAAAATACAAAAAACTAGTCGGGCATGGTGGCGGGCACCTGTAGTCCCAGCTACTTGGGAGGCTGAGGCAGGAGAATGGCATGAATCCAGAAGGCGGAGCTTGCAGTGAGCCGAGATTGGGCCACTGCACTCCAGCCTGGATGACAGAGCGAGACTCCGTCTCAAAAAAAAAACAAAACTGTCACAGATTGGAGGAAACAAAGGAAACATGACAACGAAGTGTAATGTGGGATCCTGGAACAGAAAAAGGACATTACTGGAAAAATGGGTGAAAACCATAAAGAGACTGTAGTTTAATAATATCATACTAATGTTGGCTGGGTGTGGTGGCTCATGCCTGAAATCCCAGCGCTTTGAGAGGCTGAGGTAGGTGCATTACCTGAAGTCAGGAATTGGAAACCAGCCTGGCCAACATGGCGAAACCTTGACTCCACTAAAAATACAAAAATTAGCCAGGCGTGGTGGCTGGGGCGCCTGTAATCTCAGCTACTTGGGAGGCTGAGGCAGGAGAATCGCTTGAACCCAGGAGGCAGAGGTTGCAGTGAGCCAAGATCACACGACTGCACTCCAGCCTGGGCAACAAGAGCAAAACTCTGTATCAAAAAAAAAAAAAAAAAATTCTTAGTTTTGATAATGGTTATGCAAGATGTTAACATTCGGGGAAACTGGAAACTCTGTATTATTTCTATAACTTTTAAGTCTAAAAGCAAAAGAATTGTAAGTAATAAGAACAAAACGGCTGGGCGCAGTGGCTCACAAGTACTTCAGGAGGCCGAGGCAGGTGGATCACCTGAGGTTAGGAGTTTGAGACCAGCCTGGCCACTGTGGTGAAACCTCATCTCTACTAAAAATAAAAAAAAATTAGCTGGGCATGGTGGCATGTGCCAGTAATCCCAGCTACTCGGGAGGCTGAGGCAGGAGAATTGCTTGAACCTGGGAGGCAGAGGTTGCAGTGAGCCAAGTTCGCACCACTGCACTCCAGCCTGGGCAACAAGAGCAAAAACTCCCATCTCAGAAAAAAAGAAAAGAAAATAACAAATCACAGAAAATCTGGAAAAGAGATAAAATAGTCATCTTTATTACTAATAAAACGTATCTTTCCTTCTAGTCTTTTTGTCTATGTATTTTGTGTCTAGGCATTTTAATAGCTATAATCATACATAGAATTTTTATCTTGCTTTTTAACACATCTTATAAAATCTTTTTTTTTTTTTTTTGAGATGAAGTCTCACTCTGTGGCCTGGGCTGGAGTGCAGTGGCATGATCTCAGCTTACTGCAACCTCCACCTCCCAGGTTCAAGTGATTCTCCTACCTCTGCTTCCCAAGTAGCTGGGATTACAGGCACACACCACCACGCCCAACCAATTTTTGTATTTTTAGTAGAGACGGGGTTTCACCATGTTGGCCAGGCTGATGTCGAATGC
Organism: Homo sapiens; assembly: GCF_000001405.40. Classification (NCBI taxonomy): domain Eukaryota; kingdom Metazoa; phylum Chordata; class Mammalia; order Primates; family Hominidae; genus Homo; species Homo sapiens. The sequence goes on along the minus strand of NC_000016.10, from coordinate 69,222,384 downwards.
CTGACCTCAGATGATCTACCCACCTTGGCCTCCCTAAGTGATGGAATTCCAGGCATGAGTCACCGCACCAGGCTGGTAGCCTTTTAAATATTACTTGATTGTGCTTTGTAAAAGCTATACTTATCATTTAAAAGACAAATATTAAAAAATTTACAGTTGATATTTTTTATGTTGTACGTCAAGGAAAAGCAGAAATAATAGAAAATAACTATTGCAAGGAACTTGCGGTATGAGATAATTAATTTAAAACGATGCCATAAATAATTGTGATTTAAAAACCAGTTTGCTTTTCTGGACTATCTAGGAAAAGATCTTTTGGAAGTTTTAAAACAATGTTGTTCATGGCAAATAATACCTAAACATTTGAGTTTAAATGTCAAGTATGCAGTGTCAACAAAGACTCAAGCTTTGTGCTATTTTGCAACCAGAGGCTTCAGTAGGTTTTGTTTTGCTTTGCTTTGTATCTATCAGCTCATACCTGAGTTCCATGAGTCTTCTAATAGAGACAGGTATTATAGGTATTAACCAAGATCTGAATTCAAGCCCTTGATACACCACTTATTTGCAAAGAGAATTGTTCTACACTGACATAACAAATTTCCTTTTTTTGAGAGAGAGTCTTATTCTGTCATCCAGGCTGGAGTACAGTGGCATTATCTGGGCTCACTGCAACCACCACCTCATTGGTTCAAGCAATTCTCGTGTCTCAGCCTCCCGAGGAGCTGGGATTACAGGCGTGCGCCACCATGCTTGGCTAATTTTTGTATTTTTAGGAGAGAGGGGGTTTTGCCATGTTGATCAAGTTGGTCTCAAACTCCTGACTTCAAGTGATCTGCCCACGTCAGCCTCCCAAACTGCTGGAATTACAGGTGTAAGCCACCACGCCCTGTCTGACATAATGAATTTCTTATACAGAAGTTTCAAGATTTTTGGTAGAAAATTTCCAGACATTCTATTAGTTTCTTATAAGTAAAACAGAGAAAACAGTACCTATAAAACTCAGGAATGAGATAAAAATTTCAGAGAATTTTTCAAAAGAAACACATCATCCATCACTAGAAAATCATGTATCAAGCATTTATTACATTGTAGAAGCAATGTGTTAGGTGTTCAGGAATTTAGGTTTAGAAGGAAGTGGGACATGTAAACACTAAATGCAATGGAGTATGTAAGTGTGAACTATCAGTATTTGTTACTACAAAGTTTACTTTTAGTTTTGAATGTTTTAAACCTTTGTATTCATTTTTTTTAAAACATGAAATGGCCACAATAAGCGTTACTATATTGTATTTGTAAACGTTCTTCAAATCTGACTTTCTTACCAGAATCAAAAGGCTACATACTGTGTGAGTCCACATATATGACAATCTGGAAAAGGCAAAACAATAAAGGCAGAAAACAAAGTAGTGGTTGCTAGAGACTGGCTCTTGTTGGAGAAAAGGACTAACTACAAGTGAGGAACAGGGGAACTTTTGGGGGTGATAGAAATATTATGTATCTTAATTGTGGTGACAGTTATAGACCGTATATACCCATCAAAACACATAGAACTGGGCCAGGCACAGTGGTTTATTCCTGTAATCCTAGGGCTTTGGAAGGCTGAGGCAAGTGGATCGCTTGAGGCCAAGAGTTTGAGACTAGCCTGGGCAATATAGGGAGACCTTGTCTCTAAAAAAAATTTTTTTTAATTAGCCAAGCATGTGGTGGCATGCATCTTTAGTCCCAGCTACTAGGAAGGCTGAGGCAGAAGGATTGCTTGAGCCCAGGAGTTCAAGGCTGCAATGACCTATGATTGTGCCACCGCACTCCAGCTTGGGTGACAGAGTAAGACCCTGTCTCAAAAAAAAAAACAAAACATGGAACTGTACGCCTAAAGAGTGGATGTTACTGTATGTAAATTATATCTCAATAAATCTGACTTTCTTGGCCAGGCGCAGTGGCTCACGCCTGTAATCCCAGCACTTTGGGAGGCTGAGGCGGGAGGATCAGAGGTCAGGAGATCGAGACCATCCTGGCTAACATGATGAAACCCCGTCTCTACTAAAAATACAAAAAATTAGCCGGGTGTGGTGGCGGGCGCCTGTAGTCCCAGCTACTCGGGAGGCTGAGGCAGGAGAATGGCGTGAATCTGGGAGATGGAGCTTGCAGTGAGCCGAGATCATGCCACTGCACTCCAGCCTGGGCAACGAGTAAGACTCTGTCTCAAAAAAAAAAAAAAAAAAAAAAAAAATCTGACTTTCTTGCATTGGAACATACATTTTCTAAATACTTACATAAAACCATCAAGAGGCTTAAGTAAGTTATGGGTACCTTCGCTTAAAAATGCAAAACCTGGAGTTGGGCACAGTGGCTCATGCCTGTAATTCCAGCACTTTGGGAGGCCAAGGCAGGCAGATCATGAGGTCAGGAGATCAAGACCATCCTGGCCAACATGGTGAAACCCCCGTTTCTACCAAAAATACAAAAATTAGCTGGGCGTGGTGGCACGTGCCTATAATCCCAGTTACTCGAGAGGCTGAGGCAGGAGAATTGCTTAAACCAGGGAGTCGGAGGTTGCAGTGAGCCAAGATCGCGCCACTGCACTCCAGCTTGGTAACACAGTGAGACTCCATCTCCAAAAACAAAACAAAACAAAACAAAACAAAACAAAACAAAACAAAACAAAATAAAATAAAATCTGGTTTCTATGACTATTGCGTACAAACTATTAAATAATTGAAGAAATTTACAACCAAATGAGACGGACTTTTTAAATATACTAGAATCATATTCACTGCCTCAGAGAACTGAGTTATTTTCTTTCCCCCTCTTGCACTATTACTGACTCATAGCATGGACTTGAGCAAATTATTTAGTCTCTAGGCTTGTATTCTAATCATATGTGTAGTAATGACTATTAACTGCCATTACATGCACTTAAGATTCTCAGCTAAACATAAATCATCACATTCTGCAATACTATTTGTTCTGCCTTTGGAGGGACTGCCTCATATTCCAGAGATATATTAGAATGTTCTTTGAGTTGACATCTCCAGTGATCCAGCCATTAAATTAACATCTCCCTATTCCCCAGCTCTTCCATGATGGCCCTTGATGGTCCTGATCTAATTTTCCTTAGGTTATTTAATCTTTCCTAATATCAATCAACTGTAGTTCCATGGTTCATAATATGGTATTTATGGCTAAACAATGAAAAGTTCCTGAACCAGACCTGATGTCTTACAGGTACTGCAAACTTAACAAGTATGTATTAGACACTTGGATGGCTAATCCAATACCCACTCCCAATCCTCCTCTCTCTCCTATCTATCTTCACCATAAAGTTAAATACTCACTTCTCCAATGCCCCTTGCAGTTACTGGTAACCATTCCACTAGTTATGGCCAACAAGATGTAAGCTAAAATCTGTAAGGGGCATCTGGGAAAGCTTTTCTTGATAAAGAGGACAGACCCAACCAGTATCTTTCCCTTTCCCCTTCTTCCTGCTTTGAATTTATGCCTCAAGGCAGCTTTGGATAAGATGTCTGGAGTTGCAATCATGAGATAAACAACCTTATTATGAATAACAGAACAAACATGATTATCATAGAGTGCTGCATCAGTCCTAAAAGAGTCTACCTTCAGACCTCTTATGATTTGAGATTTTAAAAAATTGTTTGTAACAGGCCAGGCACAGTGACTCATGCCTGTAATCCCAGCACTTTGGGAGGCCGAGGCAGGTGGATCACGAGGTCAGGAGATCAAGACCATCCTGGCTAACACAGTGAAACCCCGTCTCTACTAAAAATACAAAACATTAGCCGGGTGTGGTGGCAGGCGCCTGTAATCCCAGCTACTCGTGAGGCTGAGGCAGGAGAATGGCGTGAACCTGGGAGGCAGAGCTTGCAGTGAGCCGAGATCGTGCCACTGCACTCCAGCCTGGGCAACAAAGTGATACTCCATCTCAAGAAAAAAAAAAAAAGAAGAAGAAGAAAAGAAAATGGAACCATCAATGCTTTGAAAACATCAAAGAATACTGTCATTTTAGAACTATCTACATTTAATTCCAAAATTCCATGACAAATATTCTTGTCAAGTAATATTAAGTTAATACTATAGAGCAGCTTTGGATATGTGGAAGTTTGCCCTTGCAACTGACAGCCAATATGTGTTAATATTAGCTTCCTATAATCAGTAAGCATGCTTATCCTGTGATTATATTTATCTTTATGCATGCTAAATCCTCCTCTCTCTCCTGGAGATTATTCTAGGAAAGAAGAAAGATTCACCACTATAATACATATACATGAATTATAGAGCTATACCCAAATATAGCCTAGTTAAATTACCATACTTAGAGAAGATTAATGAAATAACTATTAACTCCAAGTGTATTGTGTTTACCACCTGCCACCACACACACAAAGTGTCCTGTGCACAAAGACAATAGATAACAGAATTTCAGAGCTACAGGAGACCTCAGTAATAATTCAGTCCAACATGTTCATTTTTACCTAAAAAAAATTTTTTTTCAGGCAGCTCTCTCAACCAGGATAAGTTGAGAGACTCCTACAACATGCTTATTTATAAAGATATTTAAACTGAAACCTAAGAAATCTGAGGCCTAAAGAAATCAGAAAACTTCTTCTAAGTCACAGCCAGCCTACGGCAAAGCCATGGCTAAAAACCCTTGTCATCTGCTCCTGAATTTATCTCCAATCTTCCATTTGTTTTTTTAAGATAGCATAAAATCATAAAGCACTATTTGTATAGATTACTCAGCAGCCAGTACAAATGAGTCAGAACTCAAGCTTGCTCACTGGGTCTTTATAGTTAAAAACTGAAGTAGTCAGCTTTTATCTAAGATTAACACAAAAGTCTCACCAGTTATGAGAGTAAGTGAGCATTTTAAAATTTTTAATTTTATTTTTTTGAGACAGGGTCTTGCTCTATTATCCAGGCTGGAGTGCAGTGGCTCAATCACAGTCACTACAGCCTCAATGTCCTGGGTTCAAGCAATCCTTCCACCTCAGCCTCCCAAGTACCTGGGATTACAGGTGCATGCCACAATGTTCGGCTAATTTTTGTATTTTTTGTAGAGACAGGGTTTCACCATGTTGCCCAGGCTGGTCACGAACTCCTGGGCTCAAGTAATCTGCCCACCTCGGCCTCCCCAGTGAGTGAGCATTTTAATTCATGTTTTAAAAATGGGAAAAAAGGAAAAAGAAAGGCCAAACATATGCCTTGGCTAATAATCTAACAGAAGGCTACATTTTATTACTTTACCGTTAACGTACTGTAAAGATTCAGGCCACAGTCTTTTCACTCAGAAATAACTCACTTTTTCTATGTCAGATATCCAGACTTTAAAAAAAAAATGATCAGGGATCAATATTTAAGTCAGTAGGCTTCCCACTCCAGAAGCAAATGGTCGTTTTTGAGCCATTGGAAGTACTAAGGAGCCTGGACAGTCATAGCCACACTCTCCTTCCCACTCATGGGCTTTGCAGCAATGACAGGGGAAGAGCATGGTTAGAAAAGTGGCACAGCAACCCCAGCCAAACTAAAAGTAGATAAATGGCACCAGAGAAGAATACTATTTTTCAAAAGAAGGTTATTACTTTTTAGAAGAGATTGTGCTTCCCATATGTCCATCCCTTCAGAGCTTACATCCATGTAAGTGGTTTAATTCCATTACTTCTATTTTTTTTTGGGGGGGGGGCAGGGTCTCACTCTGTCACCCATGGGGCTGGAGTACAATGGTGCAATCACAGCTCAATGCAGCTGTGACTTCCCATGTATAAGCGATCTTCCCATCTCAGCCTCCTGAGTAGCTGAAACTATAGGTGCACACCATGCTCAGCTAATTTTTTTTTTTTTTTAATTGTAGAGGTGGGATTTCATCACGTTGCCCAGACTGGTCTTGAACTCCTGATCTCATGCAATCCTCCCACCGTGGCCTCCCAAAGTACTGGGATTATAGGCGTGAGCCACCATGCCCAGCCTGATTTCAATTTCTTTATATATAAAATCATAATACCTATCCTTAGGGAATTATTATGAAGATTAAGTGAATTAACTTGTGAAAAATAATTTTAAAAATTGTGAAAGCCATACAAATTTCAGGTATTACCATTATTACCTAATTCAGCAGAACTTGACATTTTCATGGATTTCAGAAATTGACAGAGTACATGGTAAAGAGCAGGAGCTCAGTAAGTGTTTACTGAATGAATTAACAAAATAATTAGAACCTCCTTCCAAGAAGTATTATCTTATATACATAATGGGCTGGGTGCAGTGGCTCCTGTCTGTTAATCCCTGTATTTTGTGAGGCCGAGGACAGAGGACGGCTTGAGCCCAGAAGTTCAGGACCAGCCTGGGTAACATGGTAAGACCTCCCCACCCTCATCTCTACAAATTTTTTTCTTTTTAATTAGCCAGGCACAGTGGTGCATACCGGTGGTCCTAGCTACTCAGGAGGCTGAGGTGCAAGGATCACTTGAGCCTGAGAGTTTGAGGCTGCAGTGAGCTGTGATCACGCCACTGCACTCCAGCCTGGGTGACAGATCAGGACCCTGTATCAAAAACAAAAGAAAAACCTCTGAGCCTTTCTGTATCTGATCTATGCATGCAATAGAACTGCTGTGAGGGTTAATGAGATAAAGCGCATAAAGCAAGCCAGGACTCTAAAGAAACATGTTCCTCTCAGCACCTTCTTAAATATATGAACCTGTCACACTAACATCATAAAGGCCAGAAAAAAGCTGAAAATTCAAGTTATAATAGCTTTGGTACCGCACACACATCCACAAATCTTTAAAACGCCCCAGTGCTCTAATTTAATAATTAAGTTTTTAGTTTCTGTTGGTGGAAATCCTGGAAGCAGAAGAATGGTAAACAAACATTATCTCAGTAACAATGCAAAGAAGTACCTGGAATGAGTAGGAGAACATACACGTATGAACCATAATGGCTTCTTTAATAGGAAACATCTCACTTTTCTTTTTTTATTTTTAGAGACAATCTTTGTCACTTAGGCTGAAATGCAGTGGCACAATCCTACAGCCTTGAATTCCTACAGCCTCAAATTCCTGGGCTCAAGGGATCCTCCCACCTCAGCCTCCCGTGTAGCTGGGACAACAGGCATGCATCACCACACCTGGCTAATTTTTTAATATTTTCATAGAGACAGGCTCTCACTGCATTACCCAGGATGGTAAGTAACCCTTACTTAAAGTTAAAATAGGCCGGGCACAGTGGCTCACGTCTGTAATCCCAACACTTTGGGAGGGAGTGGGTGGATCGTCTGAGGTGAGTGGATCATCTGTGGTCAGGAGTTCGGGAACAGCCTGGCCAACATGGTGAAACCCCATCTCTACTGAAAATACAGAATTAGTCAGGCATGGTGGCACATGCCTGTAATCCCAGCTACCTGGGAGGCTTAGGCAGGAGAATAGCTTAAGTCTAGGAGGTGGAGGTTGCAGTGAATCGAGACTGCACCACTGCACTCCAGCCTGGGTGACAGAACGAGACCATATGTCAAAATTAAATTAAATTAATATTAAGATAAAAAACAGGCCAGGCACGGTGGCTCACGTCTGTAATCCCAGCACTGTGGGAGGCTGAGATGGGTGGATCACCTGAGGTCAGGAGTTCCAGACCAGCCTGGCCAACATGGTGAAACCCCATCTCTACTAAATATACCAAAATTAGCCAGGCGTGGTGGCAGGCGCCTGTAATCCCAGCTACTCAGGAGGCTGAGGCAGGAGAATCACTTGAACCCGGGAGGTGGAGGTTGCAGTGAGCCAAGATCGTGCCACTGCAATCCAGCCTGGGCGACAGAGCGAGACTCTGCCTCAAACATACATACACACATATGTACATATAAAATATATGTTTATTAGAGTTGTATATATGTTGAAGCCACAACACACTACACAAAAACTCTAAAATAAGACCAGGTGCAGTGGGTCACACCTATAATCCTAGCACTTTGGGAGGCTGAGGTGGGCAGATCACTTGAGGTCAGGAGTTCAAAACCAGCCTGGCCAACATGGTGAAACTCTGTCTATATGGAAAAATACAAAATACAAAATACAAAAAAATTAGCCAGGCGTGGTGGTGCACACTTGTGATCCCAGCTACTTGGGAGGCTGAGGCAGGAGAATCACTTGAACCTGAGAGATGGAGGTTGCAGTGAGCCGAGATCACACCACTGCACTCCAGCCTGGGCAACAGAGCGAGACTGTCTCAAAAAAAATAAAAAAAAAAAAAATAAAAGGCTGGGCGTGGTGGCTCACGCCTGTAATCCCAGCACTTTGGGAGGCCGAGGCGGGTGGATCACGAGGTCAGGAGTTCAAGACCAGCCTGGCCAAGATGGTGAAACTCCATCTCTACTAAAAACTACAAAAAAATTAGCCGGGCATGGTGGCAGGTGCCTGTAGTCCCAGCTACTTGGAAGGCTGAAGCAGGAGAATCACTTGAACCTGGGAGCAGAGGTTGCAGTGAGTCGAGATCATGCCACCGCACTCTAGCCTGGGCAACAGAGTGAGAGTCTCAAAAAAAAAAAAAAAAAAAAAAGAACTCTAAAATGATAGTATTTATCAGCTGGGCACGGTGGCTCACACCTGTAATCCCAGTACTTTGGGATGCTAAGGCGGGTGGAACACAAGGTCAGGAGTTCCAGACCAGCCTGGCCAGCATGGTGAAACCCCATCTCTACTAAAAATACAAAAATTAGCCGGGCGTGGTGGCACGCGCCTGTACTCCCAGCTACTTGGGAGGCTGAGGCAGGAGAATCACTTGAACCCAGGAGGCAGAGGCTGCAGTGAGCCAAGATTATGCCACTGCTCTCCAGCCTCAGTGACAGAGTGAGACTCCATCTCAAAAAAAAAAATAAGAAGAATAACAGTATTTATCATAGTACAGACTATTAGAATGAAAAATTTTTTCAAAGTATATAAGAACATAAAGAAAAGTGGGTGTGAAATTCTCATAGTAGTGGACAATTATCAACCCACTGAGTAAGCATTTTCTGAAGAAACCTATCACAGGCAAAATACTGAGAATAAAACACATTCCATGTGTTTTATTCAAGAAGCCAATATATAACAGAGGACACACATGAAATCACCCCTTTTACTACCAATTTAACATGCAATATGTGCCAAAAAGAGGTAAGTGCTTTGCTTTAATGTGTATAATTAATGAAATGTGTATAATTTCATTTAATCTCACAATAACCTTATAAAATGGGCACGTTATTACTCCCATTTTACATATAAAGAAACTGAGGTCTTAATGATTAAAAAAAGACTTGCCACTGTCACTCTGCCATTAAATAGCAAAGATGGAAAGATCAAGCATGTAACCATTACTATACTCTACTAATGAATAAATAATTATGACTCAGTATATTAAGCACTATTATAGAAATACATACAAAATATACAAAGTAAAAAAATAACATAGGCTGGGCAAGGTGGCTCACGCCTGTAATCCCAGCACTTTGGGAGGCCGAGGCGGGCAGATCACCTGAGGTTGGGAGTTCAAAACCAGCCTGATCAACATGGAGAAATCCTATCTCTACAAAAATACAAAATTAGCCAGGTGTGGTAGTGCATGCCTGTAATCCCAGCTACTCAGGAGGCTGAGGCAGGAGAATCGCTTGAACCCAGGAGGCGGAGGTTGCGGTGAGCCAAGATCGTGCCATTGCACTCCAGCCAGGGCAACAAGAGTGAAACTCCGTCTCAAAAAGAAAAATAAAGGCTGGGCGCGGTGGCTCACGCCTGTAATCCCAGCACTTTGGGAGGCCGAGGTGGGTGGATCATGAAGTCAAGAGATCGAGACCATCCTGGCCAACATGGTGAAAACTTGTCTCTACTAAAAATACAAAAATCAGCTGGGCCTGGTGGTACACGCCGGTAGTCCCAGCTGCTTGGGAAGCTGAGGCAGGAGAATCGCTTGAACCCGGGAGGCAGAGGTTGCAGTGAGCTGAGATCACGCCACTGCAGTCCAGCCTGGTGACAGAGAGACTCTGTCTCAAAAATAAATAAATAAATAAATAAATAAATACAAACACAAAGGCATGCTCAACTTTGAAGTGGGGGTGGTAGGGTGGAGTCAGTCAGGAAAGGTTTCACATAGGACACCTTGATCATTAAAAGACAAGTAGAAGAGTCCCAGGCAGATAACCTAGAAATAAGCCTGCCTGGCTAGTGTTACAGCACAGAGGCAAAGACTTAGAGGCAAGGGGAAAAAGAAACATTCAGACAAATGAAAGTAGCTAGGAAAGGCTAGAGTGTAGGGTTCAAGGTGATAGATAATCAGGGAGTTACTGTTGAAAGGTTGTTGATAGTCAGTTAAGGGTTGTAAGATATCATGAAAGGTAGTCTTGGCTGTTAGGGATTATTCTTCCTTAAAGAGCTACCAAGATAAGTACACAAAGGAAAGAAGTACCCTAAAACCTATAAAAGACTTTTTCCTTAAAGCAGAGCTTAAGATCACCACCAAAATACAGACTGCAAACTTCAGAGGATAATGAATAAGGGTTTATTTTTGAAGAACTTAAAGAAAGGACACAACGTATATCTCACTCATGTATCAAACACATCACAACCCTGTGACCAGGACATTAGTATAAGGTGTTTGCTAAGGGAGTCCCACCCTCAGGTAATAACACATACTCTAGTAAAGGCATTTTCTGTGCATTCCAAAGACAGCTGCTCAGGTTATCCCAAATTTGGCCCTAGCTTTAATATATAAATCCACGTAAAACAAACAAACCAATTAACAACAGAAGGCACATAGGAAATATTTTTCACTTCCGCCTGTTTTTCTTTTCTTTCCCTTTTTTTTTTTTTTTTTCCCTTGAGATGGGGTCTCATTATGTTGCCCAAGCTGGACTCAAACCTCAAACTCCTGGGTTCAAATGATTCTCCCACCTCAGCCTCCTGAGCCAAGTAGCTGGGTCTACAGGTATATGCCACCATGCCTGGCTTTGTTTCCTTTTTTAAATTCAAGTTTATGTTGAAGAGTAACTAAAGAATTATTAAATGGTATTAGGATATTTACATTTGAAATGGTTAATAAAACAACCTTAAATACATACACTCAAAAGTACTGGGCATGAAATTAAAATTATAGAAGTTGTTTCTCTCCAAAGTGTCCCAGAATATTACCCTAAGCTTTGGTCCAATTAATAGATTTTTTTTCATTGCTTTCAAACAATTTTATATTTATTGGGGTTTTTTTTAATCAGCCCATTAAATTTTAAAAATTTAATTTTTTTAATTAACAGAAATTGGACACTTTTGGGAGGCCAAGGTGAAAGGAATGCTTGAGGCCAGGAGTTCAAAACCACCCTGGGCAACACAGCAAGAACCTGTCTCTACAAAATATATATATATTTTTGAGACGGAGTCTCGCTCTGTGGCCCAGGCTGGAGTGGAGTGGTGCAATCTCGGCTCACTGCAACCTCCGCCTCCCAGGTACAAGCGATTCTCCTGCCTCAGTCTCCCTAGGAGCTGGGATTACAAGCGCGCCACCACGCCTGACTAATTTTTGTATTTTTAGTAGGGATGAGGTTTCCCCATATTGGCCATGCTAGTCTGGAACTCCTGACCTCAGGGGATCCGCCCACCTCAGCCTCCCAAAGTGCTGGGATTACAGGCGTGACCCGCTGTACCCGGCCTACAAAATATATTTCTTAAAAATTAGCCAGGCAGGGTGGCACATGCCTGTAGTTTCAGCTACCTGGGAGGCTGAGGTGGGAGGATCCCTAGAGCCCAGGAGTTCCAAGCTGATCACACTACTGCACTCCAGCCTGGGCAACAGAGCAAGAGCCTGTCTCTAAAAACATAATATGGCCGGGCGCGGTGGCTCATGCCTGTAATCCTAGCACTCTGGGAGGCCGAGGCAGGTGGATTGCCTGATATCAGGAGTTCAAGAACAGCCTGGGCAACATGGTGAAACCCCGTCTCTATTAAAATACAAAAAATTATCCAGGCATGGCAGCACGTGCCTGTAATCCCAGCTACTTGGGAGGCCGAGACAGGAGAATAGCTTGAACCTGGGAGGTGTAGGTTACAGTGAGCCAAGACTGCGCCACTGCACTCCAGCCTGGGCAACAGAACGATATTCCATCTCAAAAAACCAAACCAAAACAAAAAACCGTAATACATTTTTTTACATTTCTCTACTAAAAATACAAAGTTAGCCAGGCATGGTGGTGTGCACCTGTAATCCAACTACTTGGGAGGGTGAGGCAGGAGAATTGCTTGAACCCAGGAGGCGGATGGTGGTGAGCTGAGATTGCGCCATTGCACTCCAGCCTGGGCAACAAAAGCAAAACTCCGTCTAAAAAAAAAAAAAAAAAAAAAAAATTAAATAACAAAAATCAGAATGTCAGAATGTCAAACTTACCAAAATGAAGAAATTACAATAATGGGGATCTCTAAGATTGTGCCATGTCTACACTATCTTGCTAAACTTTTAGCATTTTGAATGGGAACTTTGTGAGTATACTACAAGATCTATATAGTTTAAACATCTTGAGGTGGGGGACTCATTCGGTTATATAAGAAAAAGGTATCTTTGTACTATATCTCTCCTTCTAAATTAGATATAAGTTTAAACTCAGCATGAAGAATTAAGGAGCAAATCTCCTAACTCATTCAACAAAAACATATCTTGAGCAAAATCATGTGCATTAAAGTAGACTAAAAACATATAAAATATAGCTACTAAAATATGAGCTACTGTGATAGCTACAAAAACTGTTTAAAGTATTTCCACCAATGGCCAGATTTCAAACAAGCACCTCTGCAACACTGACTAATACGTAGGGGATGTTCATTCAATGTCTACTGAATTAAATACTGGTTGAATTACCATAAAGCAGAGTATTTCAAGATAACAAATTTAATCTGATGTCAAACTTCTATAATACAGAGAGAAGCAATGATATAACACTTCTAGACAGAATTAAACATACCAAGCTTATAGTAAAAGGCATGTATACACACAGATAATAATGGAATTGGTAGAAGCAGCAATACAGCAATGATAGTTCAGGCTAATTTCAAAATCTTCCCAAACAGCATGGGAAAGAGAACCTAAAAGTTGATATAAAACATTCAAAAATTTGGCCAGGCATGGTGGCCAGGCACTTTGGGAGGCTGAGGCAGGCGGATCATGAGGTCAGGAGATCGAGACCATCCTGGCTAACACGGTGAAACCCGTCTCTACTAAAAATACAAGAAAATTAGCCGGGTGTGGTGGCAGGCACCTGCAGTCTCAGCTACTCAGGAGGCAGGAGAATGGCCTGAACCTGGGAGGCGGAGCTTGCAGTGAGCTGAGATCGGGCGACTGCACTCCAGCCTGGGCGATAGAGTGAGACTCCATCTCAAAAACACACACACACACACACACTCAAAAATTCATCTAGTTTCTCAATCACCTCTTTGTTCATACAACAAACAAATATTTGAGTAAGGTACTATGCTAGGTACAGAAGGAAATATGTATATTTCTGGTTCTCGTACTCCAGATTTTTTTTTTTTTGTATTTTTAGTAGACACTGGGTTTCACTGTGTTAGCTAGGATGATCTTGATCTCCTGATCTCATGATCCGCCTGCCTCGGCCTCCCAAAGTGCTGGGATTACAGGCGTGAGCCACCGCGCCCAGCCTAGATGTTTTTTACCTAGTAAAATAAGCAAGGTTTTGTTAAAATATTTGTTTTATTCTTCACTGTTTTAAAGAGCTTTTCTTTTTTAATTCTGTGCCTCTGGCAAATACAGAATCTGTCTCTGAACCTCTTCTACACTAGAATGGATAAATTGTGAAAAATTCAAAATATGCAGTATAACAATGAGAAACAATAAACTACAGGTATACACAGCAAATGGTTTAAGCTCATAAAAGTAAGCTAAGGAAAAGAAGCCAAACACAAAAGAGTACATACTATACTATATCTTTTACTTTTTTTTTTTTTTTGAGACGAAGTTTTGCTCTTGTTGCCCAGGCTGGAGTGCAGTGGCACGATCTCGGTTCACTGCCACCTCCGCCTCCTGGGTTCCAGAGATTCTCCTGCCTCGGCCTCCCTAGTAGCTGGGATTACAGACATGCACCACCATGTCCGGCTAGTTTTGTACTTTTAGTAGAGACAGGGTTTCTCCATGTTGGTCAGGCTGGTCTCAAACTCCTGACCTCAGGTGATCCGCCCACCTCGGCCTCCCAAAGTGCTGGGATTACAGGCATGAGCCACCGTGCCCGGCTTTTTTTTTTTTTTTTTGAGATGAAGTCTCACTGTGTCACCCAGACTGGAGTGCAATGGTGCTATCTCAGCTTACTGCAACCTCTACCTCCCAGGTTCAAGCAATTCTCCCATCTCAGCCTCCCAAGTAGCTGGGATTACCAGCGAGCACCACCATGCCTGGCTAATTTTTGTATTTTTAGTTGAGATGGGGGTTTCATCATGTTGGCCAGGCTGGTCTCGAACTCCTGATCTCAGGTGATCCGCCTGCCTCAGCCTCCCAAAGTGCTGGGATTACAGGCATAAGCCACCACCCCTGGCCTATTTTTTTCATTTTTACATGAAGTTCAAAAACAGGGAAAACTAAGCTACAGTATTAGAGGCTACACTTGGATGGGAGGTGAAGTGCCTGAAAATGTGCATGAGTAGGATTTTAGGTTTTGATAATGTTTCCTGATCTGGGCACTGCTAACAAAAGTATTGTCAGCCTGTGAAAATTCATCCAGCTGCACGTTTTTATGATCTGTGCACTTTTCTGAAGGTATGTAATAAATCAAAAATTATTTTTAAAATACACATTTAAACTGAATCTCGACAATGTCAATTTTCTTATTTTCTTATCTACTTTATAATTGGTCAACATAAAATGTAAGATAAAATCAAATTTTGATTTTGAAAAATCTATACTTTGACCAGGCGCGGTGGCTCACGCCTGTAATCCCAGCACTTTGGGAGGCCAAGGCAGGCGGATCACCTGAGGTCAGGAGTTCGAAACCAGCCTGGCCAACGTATAGTGAAACGCCATCTCTACCGAAAAAATACAAAAATTAGCTGGGCGTGGTGGCACACGCCTATAGTCCAAGCTACTCGGGAAGCCGAGGCAGGAGAATCACTTGAACCAGTGAGGTGGAGTTGCAGTGAGCCGATATTGCGCCACTGCACTCCAGCCTGAACGACAGAGCAAGACACCATCTCTCAAAAAAAAAAAAAAAAGAAAGAAAGAAAAGAAAAGAAAAGGAAAATCTATACTTTAAAGCCTCTAAGAATTCCTTTCATATTTTGAAAGAATAAAAATGCAAGGCCAGGCGCAGTGTGGCTCATGCCTGTAATCCCAGCACGTTGGGAGGCTGAGGCAGGTGGATCACCTGAGATCAGGAGTTCAAGCCCAGCCTGGCCAACATGGTGAAACCCCATCTCTACTAAAAATACAAAAAATTAGTTGGGCATGGTGGCAGGCGCCTGTAGTCCCAGCTACCAGGGATGCTGAGGCAGGAGAATCACTTGAACCTGGGAGGTGGAGGTTGCAGTGAGCTGAGATTGCGCCACTGCACTCCAGCCTGGGCAACAAGAGCAAAACTCTGTCTCAAAAAAAATAAGTATATAAAAATAAAAATGCAGCCAATTCCTTATTAACAAAGGCTTATAGAAGATATTTTCTTTTTTTTTTTTTCTTTCTGAGATGGAGTTTTGCTCTTGTTGCCCAGGCTGGAGTGCAATGGAGTGATCTTGGCTCACAGCAACCTCCACCTTCCAGGTTCAAGCGATTCTCCTGCCTCAGCTTCCTGAGTAGCTGGGATTACAGGCATGCACCACCACGCCCGGCTAATTTTGTATTTTTAGTAGAGATAGGGTTTCTCCATGTTGGTCAGGCTGGTCTCGAACTCCCGATCCACCCACCTTGGCCTCCCAAAGTGCTGGGATTACAGGCGTGAGCCACCGCGCCTGGCCTAGAAAATATTTTCTTGTAGGGAAATTAGAGACTAATTACCCACATCTTGATCAAATAGTATATCTACTGGAGAGAAGAGTAATAATGATCGCTAAACAAAAAGCTAAAAGGTAGAAGGAGGCAGGGAACAGTGACTCATGCCTGTAATTCCAGCTCCTTGGGAGGCTGAGGCAGAAGGATCACTTGAGCCCAAGAGTTCGAGACCACCCTAGGCAACATAGTGAGAACCCTGTCTCTACTAAAAAAACTTTTTTTAATTAGCCAAGTGGTGGCACGCTCCTGTAATTCTCGTTTCTTGGGAGGCTAAGGCGGGAAAATCTCCTGAGCCCAGGAGTTAGAGGATGCTGTGAGCTATGATCGCACCACTGCACTCCAGCCAGGGTAGACAGAGCAAGGCCCAGCCTTGCCTTTGACAACAACAACAAAAAAGTGGGAGCAAAGAGTTCCTACATTCCCATCACTTCCTAACAAGCACATAGCTGAGTATAGGACCTCAATGGAAAGGATTTCATGAACGTACAGTGGGTTATTTTTAATAATACATTGGTTGCATTTAAGTATTTTTAAGAAGCATTATTAGAAACTTCTGTTTTATTTCAGGAAAAGTTATCTATTCCACCTTTTCCTCTTTCAAATCCATCTAAAGTTACCAGAACCTTAGACTTCTTTGTCTGGGATCACTAGGGGGCCATATGTGAGAAATATGAAAGAAGCAGGTTGGAAATGCCTAATGAAGGAAAGAGAAAATGGGAAAGAAAATAGAAGAAAAAGCCATTATGTCATGCCCACTAAACAGGATGCCAGAACACAAATCCAGGGATCAATGGACAAGAGAGGGAAGGAAAGAAACTAAAACTGAAGACCTTTATTCTTGCCTTACAAGGGGCCACAAGAGGTATCTGTTAAATATGAATTCTGTTGGGCTGGGCAAGGTGGCTCACACCTGTAATCCCAGCATTTTGGGAGGCTGAGGTGGGCGAATCACAAGGTCAAGAGTTTGAGACCAGCCTGGCCAACGTGGTGAAACCCCGTCTCTACTGCACAATGTGCACATGTACCCTAAAACTTAGAGTATAATTAAAAAAAAAAAAAAAAAAAAAAATTTGCCAAGCGTGGTGGCGCGTGCCTGTAGTCCTAGCTACTTGGAAGGCTGAGGCAGGAGAATTGCTTGAACCCAGGAGGTGGTGGTTGCAGTAAGCTGAGATCGCACCACTGCACTCCAGCCTGGGTGACAGAGCAAGTCTCAAAAAAAAAAAAAAAGAATTCTGTTAACAAAGTATTTCCCAGGATGAAATTGAGGGCAACTGTACACAAAGTACACAACATTTCCTCCCTTAAAGTCTAGGGAAGTAAATTGGGTCATGTGTATGAGGACTCTTGTTTGCTAAGGAGTTCTACTCTGCATACACAGCCAACTTAAAATATAACATTAGGGAAACAAAGATCATCAGTATAAAAATACTATGGTCATATGCAATGCACACAGCAGTAACATTACTGAAACTCTTGAATAAATAGTTTTCATTTTCACTTCCATGAGTGCATTCACCAGTGGTTAAACTAGCAATTTCATTTAAGTAGAAAAGTAATTTGATGCCAAGAAAGATGTGGCAAACTGGAGTGGAAAAATACTCATGTAGGCCACAGACTATGCAATTGGGATAGATGGTACTGAAGGGGCAAATGCTGCAGATTTCCATACACTGGCAGATCAACTGAAAATATCTTGCTTCCATTTAAAACTCAATGTTCTTAGTATGTTTTAGTTTTCCCAGAGCTTAAACTCCACAGTCAATTCATTTAGGTTGTGGAAATTAACTTGAGATCTTTTCTTTCCACAAAGCAAAATTAATGAATCATCTGTCCTTGTGAAAAATTTGTGATTCTGAAAGAATTTAAAATTCATGTTGGGAAAGGCCTGAGGTACTGTATTTAAAAGGGATTGTGGCAAAGCCTGACTTCTTAATAACTACTGTCTCAACATGTTTTTCTTTTGAGGAGCAATAATATTCCATATATGGAATAAGACCTGATGGCACACAACCCAAAGATTCTGGTGCCCAGTGGGAGACTTCTGGTGCTTCTAGCAAGCCTATGGAAGCAACTGCAGCTGAGCAGCAGTGCTGTTCACTTCTGCTTCCTCATACTACAAGTGAAGAAGAGTACTCACCAGTCTTTAGCTGATCAGACAATATTAAGAGGAAGTTCTCAATAAATAATAGATTCTGGCCAGGCACAGTAGCTCACGCCTGTAATCCCAGCATTTGGGAAACTGAGGCTGGTGGATCGCTTGAGGTCAGAAGTTCGAGACCAGCCTGGCCAACATGGTGAAACTCCGGCTCCACTAAAAATACAAAAATTAGCCAGGCGTGGTGGCGGGTGCCTGTAATTCCAGCTCCTTGGGAGGCTGAGGCAGGAGAATTGCTTGAACCTGGGAGGTGGAGGTTGCAGTAAGCCGGGATCGCGCCACTACGCTCCAGCCTGGGCGACAGAGCAATACTCCATCTCAGAAATAATAATAATAATTGGGAGGCTGAGGCAGGAGAACGCTTGAACCTGGGAGGCGGAGGTTGCAGTGAGCTGAGATCGTGCCATTGCACTCCAGCCTGGGCAAGAAGAGTGAAACTCCGCCTCAAAAATAAGAATTATTATTATTATTAATAAACAAGCAATGGATTCCCACTGCAATAAAAAAGGGAAAGGGAGGGTTTATGGAAACTGTTTTAAATGGAAAAGAAAGGCAAAAATCCAAAGGTTAATACTATCTGTAAAAATTCCAGAACCACACACAGTGGCTCAGTCTGTAATCCCAGCACTTTGGGAGGCTTAGGTAGGAGGATCACTTGAGGCCAGAAATTCAAGGCAAGCCTGGGCAACAGAGCAATATCCTGTCTCTGCAAAACAATTAAAAAATTAGCCAGGCATGGTGACATGTACCACTAATTCCAGCTACTCGAGAGGCTAAGGCAGGAGGATTGCTTAAGGTCAGGAGGTCAAAACTAGTTACAGTGAGCTATAATCATGCCAGTGCACTCCAGCCCAGGAGACAGAGTGAGACCCTGTCTCTTAAAATAAACAAAACAAAACAACAATAACAAAAACGCTGGGCGCAGTGGCTCACGCCTGTAATCCCAGCACTTTGGGAGGCTGAGGTGGGCAGATCACCTGAGGTCAGGAGTTCGAGACCAGCCTAGCCAACACGGCAAAACCCCATTTCTACTAAAAGTACAAAAATTAGCCAGGCGTGGTGGTGGGCGCCTGTAATCCCAGCTACTAGGAGGCTGAGGCAGGAGAATTGCTTGAATCCGGGAGATGGAGGTTGCAGTGAGCTGAGATCGCGCCCCTGAGCTCTAGCCTGGGCAACAAGAGCGAGACTCTGTCTCAAAAAAAAAGAAAACAGGCTGTGCACAGTGGCTCACACCTTTAATCCTAGAACTTTGGGAGGCTAAGGTAGGAGGATCAGTTAAGGCCAGGAGTTCAAGATGAGCCTGGGAAACATGGCAAAACCCTGTATCTACAAAAAATACAAAATTTATCAGATGTGGCCAGGCGTGCTGGGTCACGCCTATAATCCCAATACTTTGGGAGGCTGAGGCGGGCAGATCACTTGAGGCCAGGAGGTCGAGACCAGCCTGGCCAACATGGCGAAACCCCATCTCTACTAAAAATACAAAAATTAGCCAGGCGTGGTGGCACATGCCTGTAGTCTCAGCTACCTGGGAGGCTGAAGCACGAGAATTGCTTGAACCCGGGAGGCAGAGGTTGCAGTGAACCAAGATCATGCCACTGCACTCCAGCCTGGGAGACAGAGCGAGACGTCGTCTCAAAAAAATAAAAAATAAAAAAAAAATTACTGAATGTGGTAGTGTGTGTCTGTAATCCCAGCTACTCAGGAGGCTGAGGTGGGAGGATCACCTGAGCCTGGGAGATGGAGGCTGCAGTAAGATATGATCATGCCACTGCATTCCAGCCTGGGTAACAGAGTGAAACCCTATCTCAAAAAAGAAAAAAAAAAATTCTAACAGTTCATAAAGTTCACAGCCTACATTTAGTATGAATAGTAACTACCATACTATTTTCCATTATAAACTAAGAATGTATGTTTGTTCAAAGTAATGCCTACTAACTAGGGACATGTGAGGAGTTACTCCTTGTTTTCTTTATAAGCCTTAAGATGAAAGTTAGGAAGCACATGAACAATGAGAAAGCCTCCAAGTCAGAGAACAGAGGAGACAGGGCCAGAAACTCTAGCCCCTTCATTAAACAGTAAGTGACTGCAAAGAAGTTTGCCTCAGTCACGGTTAAATGTGAAGGGATAACTGAAAGGCTGGGGACAAAAAGGTACAGCTAAACATCACAGACACTCAGGTAATGGCTGAAATTATAGGTGCAGATGAGCTAAACATCAGGTGTAAACAAGGAGAATGAGTCAGGGCCCTATCAGCTTGTGTTGCTTCACTGGTCTGCTCCTAAACTAAGCAGCATTCGTTTCTCCAGACATGCAGACTGATATCCTGAAGCAATTTTCCATCCAGGTATGAAGCACAGAAGAAGAGGACAATTAACAATTTTAGAGGCACTCAAAAAAAATAATAATAATACTATTGAATTCTCATGTTTTAACCAAACTCAAAATTATTACCCTCCAAATACGAAATCTAAAATAACTATTCAAACTCTTTTTTCTGACAATCTGAGAATAATTTCTCAAACATTTTTGGTTTTTTGGTTTGCTCTGGGCTTTTTGTTTTGTTTTCTGAGAAGTATTGTTGACAATAATCTAACAAAATTAACATTCCTTTCAGCTGTACACTGTATCCAAACCTGGCTAACACCCAATGATTTAGCAACGTTACCCACCCTCAATTTTAAACACACATCTCTTTCATAAAGAATTTTAGATTTCTTCAAATGGATAAAATACCTTACTAAGCAGTATTAAAGGATTTTATGTCCCCGCCTCCCTAATCCTTTCCATTTTGCTATGTTTTTTCCTATTCAGCACCACATCAACATCACATAAATAAGTTGGCCTGCTGCTTTAAATACAGATCTACATTTAAGAGAGTTTTACAAGTTATAAGATGGCAACTTTTTGGCTTAGTGCATTCTCTCCCATTTATTGGTGTTAATGAGGAGTCCTTCTAGTTCAGTGACATTAATACTATTTCAATGCTAGCAATATACAAGGTGCTTAAATAAAAGGTAAAGAAGCCATCAAAATCCATTAAATAAGCATCTGTTCACATGTAATATTTATTATTTCAGGTGGTAACTTTTAAGCCAGGATGCTGTTTTCCTATGGCTTTCCTGAATGTTCTGCTTTCAAACCAGGCCCCTGGAGGCCCTGAAAGTGTGATGAGGAGTAATTATTTTAAAAAGCAGAGAAATGACTCGATTTGTCTGAGTTTTCAGTGACATATAAACGAATTGGCTGCAGCAACTCGGTAAAGTGTTTGGTAAAAGTTACAGAGCAGTCTTCTGCCATTACCCCACAAGAAGAAAATAATGAGGATCTCTCAACTTTATCAGTCAGGTGAGGGTAAAGTAAAAGCAAACAAAAATAGAGTCAATATACAAACATTACTTCAAGATGGATCACAGGGCCAGACTCGGTGGCTCACACCTGTAATCCCAGAAATTTGGGAAGCCAAGGCTGGAGGATGACTTGAGCTTAGGAGTTCAAGACCAGCCTGGACATTGTAGCAAGACCCCCATCTCTATTTAAAAACAAAACAAAAATAAAATAAATAAACGAAACAAAACATAGTACAATATAATGAAAACTCATGTACTCAATTTTATCACTGTTAACATTCTCAGTTTCACTAACAAAAAACCCCCATGAACCTCTCCTTGACGCCATTTATCTTCCTCCTGCTCTAGCAGTTATATCCTAAATTTGATGTATCACGAATGTGTTGTTTTTCTTGTATTTCAACCCATGGGCCTGAAAAATAAAGCATATTCCAAAAGCATTCATACCTGTAATCTGATGTGTATTCCACCCTTCTAGTGGAAGGATGGTACAGTCTGGAGGAGTAGAATGCCTGACAGAAAAATAATTTCATACTAGCGTGCTGATGCTAAGAAATAGGTATTACATTTCTGTAAAAGAAATTGATTCCCCATTTTGTCAAAATACGCCTAATATCTAAATTCCTAAACTCACTGTAAGCAAATGTGCTTGACAACAATGGCCAACACAAATAAGTATATTTATGTTAAAAATGTCCCCCTCCTTTGGGAGGCCGAGGCAGGCGGATCACGAGGTCAGGAGATTGAGACCATCCTGGCTAACACGGTGAAACCCCATCTCTACTAAAAATACAAAAAATTAGCTGGGTGTGGTGGCACGCATCTGTAGTCCTAGCTACTCAAGAGGCTGCGGCAGGAGAATCGCTTGAACCCGGGAGATGGAGGTTGCGGTGAGCTGAGATCGTGCCACTGCACTCCAGCCTGGGCGACAGAGGGAGATTCTGTCTCAAAAAAAAAAAGTCTCTGTCTTCCCAGTAATAGCATGGATCTAAAATAAAACATTTTTTAAAAGTCCCCCTTTCTCCTGATTTTTCACACTAAAAAGTGGAAGGAATTATTTGGCATCTAAGTCTTAAACTTTGGCCTTTTTTTTCAATTTTCATTAAGATTGCAAATCTTCATTATGAGAGTCTTGCCCATTCACTAAAGAACAAATGAAGACACCTCAAGGTACACAATAATCAGTGACAAAATTAACTGCAATCTAGATTGCTCAATATTTCTCTCTTTGCTAAGTGATTCATCTGCGCTTAAGAGAAAAAGATCGCCTTTTTTTTTTTTTTTTGAGGCAGTGTTTCACTCTGTTGTCCAGACCTGGAGTGCAGTGGTGCAATCATGGCTCACCAAAGCGTCCACCTCCCAGGCTCAAGTGATCCTCCCACCTCAACCTCCCAACTAGCTGGGACTACAGGCGTGAGCCACTGCGCCAGGCCAACATCGCTTTAATTAATGCTGCCTGTGTAGATTTGAAGGCGATTAGCTGCTAGTTAAAATGAAAGGTGGAAGAGCAAAAGCCGATTTATCTGCAAATCTACAACATAAAATATTTTATCTGGCACTTCACATCTTTAGCACAACAAATGAAGCTCACAATAAGGTATTGTAAATCTTGAGGTTCCATCTGAATCATCAAACTAAGATTCAATTATAGCTAAAATATTTTTAGTGTTAAAAATCATTATTATAGGCCAGGCGTGGTGGCTCACGCCTGTAATCCCAGCACTTTGGCAGGCTAAGGCGGGTGAATCACCTGAAGTCAGGAGTTCAAGACCTACCTAACCAACACGGAGAAACCCATCTCTACTAAAAATACAAAATTAGCTGGACATGGTGGCGTGCGCCTGTAATCCCAGCTACTCGGGAGGCTGAGGCAGGAGAATCACTTGAGCCTGGGAGGCAGAGGTTGCAGTGAGCCGAGATCGTGCCATTGCACTCCAGCCCGAGCAACAAGAGTGAAACTGTCTCAAAAAAAAAAAAAAAAAAACATTATTATATTCTAAATCTCTGACAATCCATGCATTTGCGTACAGTCAGTTCATATTAACTCTTCATTCTCTATTTCATATTTAGAATTGTAAAATATGAGCTGGAAGGGATCTTATTTTTAATAGGTAAGAAACATACTGCTTATAATGCTGAAATTATTTTTTGCCAAGGTCACACAAAGTTAACAGCCATCCGAAATGTTTTGCTGTATTTTTTCCCAAGAAAAATCAGGTAATTTTTGTAACTACATCCAGATGTTTGGAGATGTCTTAACAATCTCAAAGATTTCTTTTCAGACCCAAGCACAGAAGAAGTAGGAGAGGATATGAGAAATAAAGAGAATAATGGGAGGAAACATGTAAGTGGTAGAGGAATAAGAATGGACTACATCTTCCTACCAACCACACACAAACTCCTTAAAGAGAAGCAGAGGCAGAACGTGCAATGAAGACATTTCTCTTGTCAAAAATACACATGTGAAAAATAGGCCAGGCATGAGGACTCACATCTGTAATCCCAGCACTTTGGGAGGCCGAGGCTGGTGGATTGCCTGAGCTCAAGAGTTCAAGACCAGCCTGGGCGACATGGCGAAACCCTGTCTTACCAAAAGTACAAAAAACTAGCTGGGCGTGGTGGTGTAGGACTGTAGTCCCAGCTACTCAGGAGGCTGAGGCAGGAGAATCGCTTGAACCCGCGAGGTGGAGGTTGCAGTGAGCTGAGATTGCCACTGCACTCCAGCCTAGGCGACAGAGCGAGGCTCTGTTCCCCTACCCCCCAAAAAAAAAAAAAAAAAAAATCAACTCTGTTACATTGTAAAGGACAACAGAGATCAATATCAAAACATCTCTGGTGAAGAATGGTTTCCAGAATTCACTTTAGTCTTTCATTGCTGTTTTTAGCAGAATTTGTATTTGCCCAGAGCCAGTTTAATTTTTTCAATTACTTTGTGTTCATTGTAAAAAATATGTATTTTTATCCTAGAATGTAATTAATAATCTTTGAAGAGACAATACAGAATCCATAGTACTCAAAAAAATTATCTACACTACTAGTGGTTTTCTAAAATGTTGCCATCCCTTACTGCAATGAAAACAGAGCTAACAATGTAAATACTTTTACTGGCCAACAATTACAGCAAAATGAGGCAAATCAAAGACATTTAGTGTTCAGTAAAACAGATTTTGTTTCATTTGGGCAAAGATTTACTTGTAAAGATGAATATACTTTGGAGAATGCTACTTTGTTAAAACTGGTGTTTTCCAAAAGTAAAATAACATAGTAATATATCAAAAGTAAAAGCAGTAACAAAAAAGTTTGGCTAGAATAATTACAAAAGAAAAATTAATTTTTACATTACAAAACAGTTTGCAGATAATGAATACAATTATTACAAGATATTTCAGAAGTCAGTTATATTACTAATAAAATATTTAAACTATTTTTAAAAAGGGGTACAGAGCCTTGAAAATGGGCTATTTCATCAAATCTGTTTGCTGAAGTTTGAACATCACTGCTTGTTCCAGTCTTTGCTCTCTAGACATGCCTTTCCCCTCTAAACATGCCCTCCATCCTTCCCACCACCCACACCTATTCCATGTCCCACCCTTCTCTCACTTGACCCAAAATACATTCCTACTACTTGCTCACTTATTCCAAGTTCTCTCAGCATTTGTCTACCACTTATAATGTATGAAATACTTTGGATTCACTTATGTGCAGTTTATTAGTATTTACAAACCCATTTTGGGTACTTCTTAAAAGTAAAATCTTTGGGGCTTACATATTCTATTTCTCTCAGAGTGTCTAACAGAGTGTAGTTATTCAATATGAGTTGATTAATTACATACAGCTTTAGGTCCAGCATGAAAAAAAAAAATGAGGAAAAGACTGAGAGACATTAACTGGATAACCTCCAGATAGATGCAACAACACAGAATCCAAAGCACAATTTTCCTGAAAATTAAGCCAATCATAACAATAAATCCTGTCTTTAGACTTGCTAGCTTCTTAACCCAAACTGATCCACCAGAGAGGCAGTCTATTATAATGGTTAATATCAAAGGCTGTGTAGTTTGATAAATCTGAGTAACTAATCTTGCCTCTATCACCTACAAATTCTATAACCTTGCACTGACTGTTTAATCTTCCAGGACTCAATTTATTTATATTTTATATGGGGATGATGCCACCTGACTCACAGGGCTGTTAAAAGAATAAGTTGTGGCCAGGTGCGGTGGCTCACGCCTGTAATCCCAGGACTTTGGGAGGCCAAGGTGGGCAGATCACAAGGTCAGGAGTTCGAGACCAGCCTGACCAATATGGTGAAACTCCATCTCTACTAAAAATACAAAAATTAGCCGGGCATGGTAGCGCGTGTCTGTAATCCCAGCTACTCAGGAGGCTGAGGCAGGAGAATCGCTTGAACCCAGGAGGCAGAGGTTGCAGTGAGCCGAGATCACACCACTACACTCCAGCCTGGGTGACAGGGCCAAACCCCATCTCAAAAAAAAAAAAAAAAGAAAAAGAAAAGAAAAACAAAGTTGTGATCATAAAGAGCTTAGCAGAGTAAGCTCTCCATAAGTGTCATTATTATCTATTTTGATTCCTTTTGTTTTTAAAAATGTACAACTTAGCCACTTTTGTTTTTTCTCTTTTTGAGACAGGGTCTTGCTCCATTGCCCAAGCTGGAGTATAGTGGCTCAAACATGGCTCACTGCAGCCTCAATCTCCCGAGCTCAAGTGATCCTCCCACCTCAGCCTCCCAAGTAGCTGGGACCACAGGCACTCGCCACCTCACCTGGCTAATTTTTTACATGTTTTGTAGAGACAGGGTCTCGCCATGTTGTGCAGGCTGGTCTTGAACTACTAGGCTGAAGTGATTCCACCTGGACCTCCCAAAGTGCTGGGATTACAGGTGTGAGCCAACATGCCCGGCCAAAATTATTTTAAGCCCTATAGCCTGTTATAGTGTACATAAGTTAACCTAGCAACCACCCCACTCCAGATTTTATAGTCTGGTGAGGCTGCCAACCTCAATACACAAGGGATGGGCACGTGACACAGGTCTAGATTGCAGTCTCCATCATTTTGGTAATAGTGATAGGTCCGAGGAACTGGCAAAGCAGAACTATTGGAGTCCTTCCTATCTCCAAACTGATAATGTGAGTGGTAAAAGAACCCTCCAGTTTTTCTTACAGGGGTTAGTTATTAAGTTAAGGCAATATGTTCCTAGAGCTGCAGGCACCATCTTAGCTGACTATACAGAATTAGACCCTCCACAGCAGGAGATGTTGCAGCCAAGATAATTTGAGCCTTTGGATCCCACTGAACCTAAACCTAGATCCACCCCCGGTCTCAGGAGTTACATAAGGCAATACATTCCACTTCTGCTTAAATTAGTTGGTTTTGGGTTTCTGCAACCAAAATAATTCTTACTAAAAAAAAAAAAAAATGCAAACCAGGAACAGTAATTAGTTCATGCCTGTAATCCCAACTACTCCAGAGGTTAAGGCAAGAGGATCACCTGAGCCCAAGAGTTCAGGGCTGCAGTAAGCAATGATCATGCCATTGTACTCCAACCTGGGCAACAGAGTGAAACCCTGTCTCTAAAAAAAAATAATAACAACAAATAGATACTTTTTAAAAATTAAAAATAAATCATATACGTCTATTTTGATAAACAAAGATTTTTCTCCGTCTCTGACTTCAAAAGCTGCCCCTGAGCTCTATATACTTTTGTTGAGCTCTATATACTTTTGTTGTTCTACCTATAAAAATATGATCTCAATGCAGTTACAAACTTGCTTGAAATTCATAGAAATGTGATGTTCAAAATACCAATAAAATACTGAAAATAATTTATTATTCACTTGACATGTCAAGCATTTTTTAAAAGCTCCAACAAGCTCACCTGTACCTAAGCAAATTTATTATTCTGACTTTTGTTTTACAGCTGTCTATAATGTTTCTAAATCTCTTAATATGGTGGTTTCTCCTTTAATCTATATTATCTTCTGATGGTTTTAGAGCAATGTAATGAATGTCTGCTATTTATGCCTGCCTAGCATCCATTCCCCCTTCTTCTGTTAACATCACCTTAATTCTCCTTTGAGAAACCCCCACTTTCAGTCCATGTGGTTCTAGGAAAATTGCCCCATTCCCTGGGTACAGGTCTGAGGTGACCTGATATAGGCCTGGCCAAATAGAACATCTGGTACCCCTCAGCCACATGATTGGAACATGGATGAGTAAGGCCCAGTATTTTTGGCTGGAATGACTGGGAAAGAGATATTACAAAGACATCAGTTCTCTCCAAATTAATTTATGGATTTAATATAATTTTAATCAAAATCCCAGAGGATTTAAGAATGATAAAATCATTCCAAAATTTATCTGGGGAAATAAGTAACTATACTATACCAGCCGGCAATTGTCTATTGTTACTTTTCAAATTTTTCTTGGCTGGTACAGTCCACTTGAATTACCAGATATTAAATGTTACAGCTACAAAATACAGTGTGGTATGTTACAAAACACTAAAATGGAATACAATAGAAACTCCAGAATCAGAGCAGAGAATATAAAAAGTGCTATTCAAAAAGGTATATTTAAAATCAATGAGAAAAGGACAGGTCATCTCATCCCAAGAGGGGCAGATGTATAGCATGCATATTGCACCCCATCCTCAGGCACACTCATTGCAGATATCACTAATTAAGCATAGCACTTGCTACTGCTGAACCCAGATATGGCCTTGAATCCTTCCACATATGGCACTCTAGGCAGCCACCAGCAAGCTATCAGACTAAGCATGCAAGAGGATTATTTGACAAATAATACTGAGGCAATCAGTTAACTATTTGGAAAAACAAATAAAGTTAAACCTCTACTGCATACCATATGCCAAAATAAATTCTACATAGATTAAGAAGTTAAATGTAAGAATTGAAACCATAAAAGGACTAGAATAAAGCTGTTGCAAAAGACATTCTCAGAGAGAAACAGAGAAACTGCAATGACAAGAAATGGGAGACAGAGCAACTGTCCTCAGCACTGCCTTGGGTTTGTGACATTTCTGAGGCGCAGCTCTTCCTGAAGTCCCGAGACCTGTCTGGTTCTTTATAACATCTCCATCCTTTTATCTGAACTAGTTTAAATGGGTTTCTGTGTTTTGAAACCCAAAGAGCCTTGAATAAGGCATGTGCATTTTCTTTCTTTTTTAAAATTTTTGTTAGTTGATCAATTCATCTTACCATAAATAAGTCTGGGCTGGACATGGTGGCTCACACCTGTAATCCCAGCACTTTGGGAGGCCGAGGCAGGCGGATCACCTGAGGTCAGGAGTTTGAGACCAGCCTGGCCAACATGGAGAAACCCTGTCTCTACTAAAAATACAAAAATTAGCCAGGCACGGTGGCACACACCAGTAATCCAAGCTACTTGGGAGGCCGAGGCAGGAGAATTTCTTGAACCCAGGAGGCGGAGGTTGCAGTGAGCCGAGATGGTGCCTCTGCACTCCAGCCTGAGCAACAGAGCAAGACACTGTCTCAAAAAAAAAAAAAAAAAAAAAAAAAAAAGTCTATACCATCTGAGTCTCTTTCAATGAAAAATTAAAGCTTCCAATTTTTCTAAGTGTAAGGTGTAACTTTTTTTTTTTTCATTTTTAAAATACAGATGGGGTCTCACTAGGTTGACCAGGATGATCTTGAACTCCTGGCCTCAAGTGATCCTACTGCCTCTGCCTTCCAAAGTGCTGAGATTACAGGAATGACCAACCACACCTGCCTAGGTGTAACATTTTACATGCATGACAGATTAAATTCAAAAATACACTGCTCAACTTTCTCATCTATTTCATTAAGTTTACTTTCCATAACACATTCAAGATAACTTACAAATTTTAAAGCAAGAGGGTCCGAACACAGCAAAAAGAAAAATGTAGAAAAACCAAAGCAAAAAGAAAATTGCATTTCACATATTCTCAACTAATTATAGCATTCTAGCAATGTCTTGGGGGTCAGAAATAAAGCCAAGTTTGAATTTTATATTTCTTTTATTATTTTAAAAGGCAAATCTATGACACCATAATCACTAGCACTTTGTTCATATATAAAATTATTTCACGAGTTTTGTTTTTACACTAAAATCTAACACAAATTTTATTAAGGAATCAGTGCATTTTCCTCAGAAAGACACTTAAATAAAGTAACCAAATCAATTGTATTTCTCCAGGCACAAAATATTAAACATAACTGACCATACCATCATTTCTCCAAAGGAATTCAAAAGCTCTTTTCTCTAATCTAGAAAAAAGAACCTTTAAAGGAAGAATATGTTCTCATTCCATGTGACCAGATACAGTATACTGTTTATAAACTAAAATTTTTCTTCGCAAACCCCAGAGACAGCAGACAGTTACATGGCTTAAGTGCTTTACAACAAAGCTGAACAGTATGAGGGTAACACTCTCCAAATTATTTCACTTTTCCACTGATAAACTCACTGCAGAAGATTCTCTGTAAGTATCAAATTTTTGGATGCACAGGCAGTTGGAAGGAGACTATCTAGGTAGGAAAAACTTCTCAGTGGACTCTGCTATGTCCCCTGACAAGCATCAACTGCTTTAAAGTATCTCTTGAATTGAATCCTCCTCTCTATTCCCACTGCCACTACCACCACCGGCTCCAAAGGTGATCACCTCTGGCTTGGATTACTTTTCACTACAACAGCTGCTGTTTTTCCCACCTTCGGTCTTTCCTCTTTGCACTGCATCCAGTGCTTCCACTGCTGCCAACCCAAAATTCTGTTCCCATCAC
Organism: Homo sapiens; assembly: GCF_000001405.40. Lineage (NCBI taxonomy): Eukaryota > Metazoa > Chordata > Mammalia > Primates > Hominidae > Homo > Homo sapiens. The sequence continues at coordinate 69,192,079 of NC_000016.10, read as the reverse complement.
ATCACTTCCTGGATCAAAAATGAATTGCATCAGTTTCCCACCTCTTCTATCTCTTCAACCTCTCACTCTTTCTGTTGGTTGGGCTTTTCTCTTGCTATACAAATCTGTCCCAATTATTTTCCCATTTAAAACAAAACAAGGCCAGGTGCGGTGGCTCATGCCTGTAATCCCAGCACTTTGGGAGGCTGAGGCAGGCAGATCACGAGGTCAGGAGATTGAGACTATCCTGGCTAACACAGTGAAACCCCATCTCTACTAAAAAATACAAAAAATTGGCCGGGCATGGTGGCGGGCGCCTGTAGTCCCAGCTACTTGGGAGGCTGAGGCAGCAGAATGGCGTGAACCCGGTAGGCGGAGCTTGCAGTGAGCTGAGATCGCACCACTGCACTCCAGCCTGGGCAACAGAGTGAGACTCTGTCTCAAAAACAAAACAAAATAAAAAAACACCAGTAAATAAAACCTTTCTTGGACATTTCATTCAACTTTACTTACTGGCTTTGCTTTTTTTTTTTTTTTTTTTTTGAGACAGGATCTTGCTCTGTTGTCCAGGCTGGAGTACAGTGGCACAATCACCACTGTAGCCTCGACCTCCTGGGCTCAAGAATCCTCCCACCTCAGCCTCTGAGTAGCTGGGACTACAGGTGCATGCCACCACACCCAGCTAATTGTTTTATTTATTTTTTTTTTTGAAGTTTTTGTACAGATAGGGTCTTGCTATGTTGCCCAGGCTTGTCTCGAACTCAGCCTCAAATGATCTTCCTGCTTTGGTCTCCCAAAGTGCTGGATTACAGGCATGAGCCACCACACTTGGTTTTTCTTTTTTTCTCTTTTCTTTTCTTTCTTTCTTTTTTTTTTTTTAAAGCTAGTCAAGTGAAGCAGTGAGAGTGGAGAAGGAACAAATAATCTGTAACTAGTTGTGATCAATTAGTTGTAAACACCACTGCACTCGGACCAGCGCAAACTCATTCTTAACCTAATCACCTAAAATAATTCTTATCATCTATTCTTCTTCAGGTAAAAATGGAGCCCTGGATGTTATTTTAACGACTTGCCATCCTTCCTGTTTTGAGAGTGTCTTTGTTAACTGGTGGCATACCTTCGTGACCCGGTCCTACCTTCCTCATTCAGACCTGTGCTGTTCATTGCTGTATTCCCAGTCCCTTAAAAAGTACTCAACACGTGAATTGCAAAATGAATTAACAACTTTGAGGGAGGTGTTATTATCATCCTGGCTTTACAGATGAGGAAACTAAGGTTTACTTAGCAAGATTAAGTAACTTGCCTAGGGGTTACAAACCACTAGCCAGAAACAAACCCACATCTGACCACAAAGTCCTTGCTTCTACTCTACCCTACTGGCTAGAATAGCTTTTTAATGTCTTGCACTTCTGTGTCTTTACTGGTGGCAGCTCTCTTCTAAAGGGGAAGCTCAATTTAAGCTTCATCAACCTGGGCATCCTCAACCTCTGATTCCCATGATGGACCTATATAGACCTCTGTCTCCTTTGGGTTGTGCAAACTTCTATTAAAACAGCACTTTTAGCCCTCTGCTGTACTTATTTACTTCTCCGTTTCCCCACATCTCAACTCTAAACTTCCTGAGGACAGGAATCAGGTATCTTCAAGTGCCTCTGGCATGAGTTAAGAGTTAAGTAAATATCTGATGAATGAATAAATAACTCCTGCAAATCCCTGAGATAAAAAGGAAACTTTTAACTCAATTCCTTAACCACAGGCAACCAAAGACTATAGCTTTCCCTGGTGTGGGATTGGCAAAAGTGTGCCTGAAATTCCCTGCCCACACCACAAAAAAGCATCACTGTGAGATGATACGGCAGTTTTTCAAGTTTTCAGACATCTAATGGAAGGACAACATGGTACAGCCTGAAAACTTTAAAGACTAAACTTAAAATCTGTCTTTTAAAAGTGGCCTACCTGGATGGGACACCAGCTCTCAATTTTAAATAATGTTTGACTGGTTCAATTAAATCATTGTTTTCAGTGGTTTTACATATTTTGAGTAATTTTATTTTTACACCCAGTGGCTTGAAAATGCAATGTCGTAAATCTACTATATTGACTTCCTCACTACTTATAAGAACAAAAACTGCTTGTCTTGTACAAAGTGGGAAAATAAAGTAGAACCTGCATGTTAGGTAAAAAGGCATTCAATAAACATGTTATTATGCGGCCATCTTTCTAAAAGCACACGTGGCCTATTTTAGCCCAATAAAGACTGGGAAGCATTTACTGCAAGGTTTTCATTTTACTGGTCTGAATACTAGGTTCAAACTATACCTATACAAAAAGTAGGTTGGTTGTTTGTTTTTGAGATGGAGTCTTGCTCTGTCATCCAGGCTGGGCATCCATGCTGGAGTGCAGTGGTGAGATCTTGGCTCACTGCAGCCTCCACCTCTGAGGTTCAAACGATTCCCCTGCCTCAGCCTCCCTAGGAGCTGGGATTACAGGCATCTGCCACCACGCCTGGCTAATTTTCGTATTTTTAGTAGAGACGAGGTTTCGTCATGTTCTCCTGACCTCAGGTGATCTGCCCACCTTGGCCTCCCAAAGTGCTGGGATTATAGGCATGAGCCACCACGCCTGGCCAAAAGGTTTTTTGTGTTTTTTTTCTAAATATGGTGTACAAGGTTCAACTGTCTGCCCATCACAACTGAGGACTACATAAATAGTACTAAATTCAATATTCTGGATGTAAGAATTTATAACCAAATGCTTAGCTAGACCAACTTCAAGGTACACGTTTAGAGTAACAGTTTTTTTTGGACACACACCCAAACCACAATCTATAATTTTACTCCTTCTATTAACACTAATTTCCGAGCAATGTCTAGCCCCACCTAGACATGCAATATAAATAAGGTTTATAAATAGGATATTATAAAGGTGGGACACTGGAACTTCACAACTGGTGTACATGAAATCATTTCTGGTAAATCAGTATTTTTCCAAATATTCACAAGCTGATTTATAAGAAAGTGAAAATCCATTGTGCCAAGTTGGACTTCTGGCCTCTCGGTTTGACGATTGGTCCTTCTTCACCAGCAGCCCCCAGCCCTTCCCTTCTGTCCTTCCTCTGCCAGGAATACCCTCCTGACTCATCCCTGCCTGCCTATGTCCATCACTTCTTGGAGACCTGGCTCAAGATTCAGCTTCGGGAAAAAGTCCTCCCTGGCTAATTCCATCTCCACTAACTATTTTCTAACTTTGCATTCCTTTGGCATTTAAGTATAGTTTCACGACGTAATCACCAACTTCATTCCTTTCCTCCCTATAAGTTGTTTTGCATTTTTCTATCATTTCTCCAACTAGAGACCAAGTAGGGACAGCATCTTCTTTTATATTCTTTTCAACACAGCTAGCCATAATCACCAGTGAAAGAAAGCTGACCGCTCAAAAATTTCTGAAGAAAGCAGCTGACTTTTCGTTTATAATTTACAATACTCTATCACCTCCAACATGCATGAGTCCTTAGAGGAGAGGAATTTTATTTTTGCCTTAGTTCAAATTCATCATGAAAGATCCAACTTACAGATCACATACATATAACTTAACGTAAAGAATAATCCTGGTTATTGAAACCTATCTTGTGATTTGCCATTTCAAGTTTCTTACAAAAACCCCAAGAGTCTTGAAGCAGCGCGCCTGTGAGTGGTAGGAAGCTGGCAGCAGACTTGCAAAAGGGGCAAAACTCTAGTTGGCAGTAAATGTTCAAACACGTGAGCCTCCACTGTTAAACAAGGTTCGTTAACCACACAGACTTGCTGTTTCAGCTTTCTGGCTTCAATGAAATGCTATGATCTCCTTTGGTTATTGTTGAGAGCCAATGATGGGTTAAATTCCCATAAATTAACCAGCGCTTTGGTGGTTTGCCCGAGCATACCGCTGGCATCGGTGAAGATGGACTTTTTTTTTTTTTTAATAGACCCGCCCGCCCCGAGGAGCCAGAGGTGAGTGAGTTAAGCGCCAACCCGGCACTTCTCAGCGGGCAAACGGAGACAGACCCACTCGAGCCGTTCGCTCTCCCTCAAGTTCTTAGTGTCAGCTTATCGGGCCGAGGTGGGGCTTCATAGGCAGCTGCTTTTTACTCAATCTCAGCCGAGTCTTCCCTAGGGGCTGCAAGCCACACTTCGGCGGCTGCCCAACTTTTCCTGCAAGAAGCATCCGTTTTTCCACACTGAAAGCTCCAGAAACCCGGGTTTGGAGAGAGACGGGGAGAGAACCGGCTCGCCCCGCCGGCGGGGCAGGAACAAAGTGAGCTCCCGCGAGCCCAGGCCGCCGCGGCCTGCCCACCCTCCCGCCCGGCCCCGCTCACCCTCCAGCAGCACCTCCTTGCCCGCGCGCTTCAGCGCCTGCACGGCCTGGTCGTGGGTGGCCTGGCGCAGGTCGGTGCCGTTCACCGACAGGATGGCGTCGCCCAGCCGCAGCGCCCGGCTCTGGTCGGCAGCCAGCCCGGGGAAGATCTTGGAGATGAGGATCGGCATCCGGTTCTCGCGGCCGCCCTTGATGCTGATGCCCAGGCCGCCCGCCTCTTGCTTCACCACCCGCACCCGGCGCACGGGCGGCGACGCGCCCGCCTCACCCGCGGGGCCCCGAGGCGGCGCCGGCGGGCTCGGGGGCCCCAGGCCGCGGCTTGGGCTCCCGGGCAGCGAGTCGCCCGCGCCGCCGCCGTTTGGGAGGCCGTTGAAGGCGGCGGCCGCGGGTCCCAGAGCGGGCTCCAGCTCGGCCGCGGCGGCGTCGCCCGTCAGGCTCAGGCTCTCCCCGCTCAGCTCGGCCACCACTCGGACCCAGCGCTCCCTCAGGAGCAGCTCCACCAGCCCCGCTTTGGTGGCCCGCGTCCACACCGCCATGGCCGGCCCCGCTCCAGCCGCCGCAGTCGCCGCAGCTACCCTCATTCCAGTCAGGCAGCCTCGGCGCTTCCCTCTTCCCGCCCGGAGGGGCGGGCCCGGCCCCTCCCCCGCACGATTCATTATTCATGAGGCCACGCCTGCCTCTGGAGGGGCGGGGCCGGCGCAGCCGCTTCCGGGAGGTGCAGAAGTTGTCCGATCACTCGCCTCTCGCCGGACGTGGGCAACCCGAATGCGGTGGGACTGCATTTCTCCTCATCCTTCCATTGGCTCCCCACGGACCCCCCAGAAACTCCTGACCTCTACCGTGCAATTCACGGGAGCTGCCCGGGCACGGAAAGCAAAATCAGCTTGGAGAAACACTTCTCAAGCCTGCAAGACCCGGTGGCACGTTCATTCTTGCATTGATTGGTTCGTACCCTGTGTACTGAGCGCTTAGCCCTGTACTCCGGCTCCTTTTGAGGCCCTGTACTTAAGCTCAATAGTACCAACAACAGCTGAGAGTTTGCGGTCTAGTGGGGAAGGAAAATGCAGAACCAACCAACTAGGTGTGATACTATGTGGTTAAGTGACATGCAGAAGACGTCCCCAGAACAGCATAAAAGGAACATTTGGTTAGGCCTGGGGTCAGCTTCACAGAGGTAACAACGGACGGTGAACAGCTCAAGCAAAGGTCCAACAGCATGATCCAAGCCTTTGTCAATGTTTTGTAATCTCGTTTACTTGCCTGTAATTCAAGAGGGAACCATGTCTTCTTAAACCCTGAAGCCACAATTGGCAGGCCTCAAGGATATTTGCAGAATGATGGTGTCTTAGGGTTCTTCAGAGAAACCAACCAATAGGATATATAGAGATATATAAATTTATTATTATTACAAGGGACTGGCCACGAGATTATGGATGCTGAGAAGTCCCACGATCTGCCATCTGCAAACTGCAGGCCCAGGAAAGTTGGTGGTGCACTTCCAATCCAAGCCCAAAGGCCTGAGACCCAGAATCAGTGGTATAAACCTGAGATTGAAAGTCTGGGCCGGGCGCGGTGGCTCAAGCCTTTAATCCCAGCACTTTGAGAGGCTGAGGTGGGCGGATCACCTGAGGTCACGAGTTTGAGACAAGCCTGACCAACATGGAGAAACCCCATCTCTACTAAAAATACAAAAAATTAGCCGGGCGTGGTGGCACATGCCTGTAATCCCAGCTACTTGGGAGGCTGAGGCAGGAGAATTGCTTGAACCTGGGAGGCAGAGATTGCGGTGAGCTGAGATGGCACCATTGCACTCCAGCCTGGGCAACAAGAGCAAAACTCTGCCTCAAAAAAAAAAAAAAAAAAAGAAAGAAAGAAAGAAAGAAAAAGAAAGTCTGGGCCGGGTGCAGTGGCTTACACCTGTAATCCCAGCACTTTGGGAGGCCAAGGCGGTGGATCACCTGGGGTCAAGAGTTATAGACCAGTCTGGCCAACATGGTGAAACCCCGTCTCTACTAAAAATACAAAAAATTAGCCAGGTGTGGTGGCAGGCGCCTGCAATCCCAGCTACTCAGGAGGCTGAGGCAGGAGAATCGCTTGAATCCGGGAGGCAGAGGTTGCAGTGAGCCAAGATTGCACCACTGCACTCCAGCCTGGGCAACAAGAGCAAAACTCCATCTCCAAAAAAAAAAAAAAAGTCTGAGCCACACGCGGTGACTCACGCTTGTAATCCCAGCACTTTGGGAGACCGAGGCAGGCAGATCACTTGAGGTCAGGAGTTCGAGTCCAGCCTGGCCAATGTGGTGAAACCCCCGTCTCTACTAAGAATACAAACATTAGCCAGGCATGGTGGTGGGCCCTTATAATTCCAGCTACTCGGGAGGCTGAGGCAGAATTGCTTGAACCCAGGAGGTGGAGGTTGCAGTGAGCTGAGATCGCACCAGTGTACTCCAGCCCGGGTGACAAAGCAAGACCCTGTCTCAAAACAGAAAGTCTGAGAAGGGGGTGAGGGTGGGAGTTGGGGTGGGGGGACAATGATGTAAGTCACCATCCCACTGCCAAGGCCCGAGAGCCAGGTTCACCAAAGTCTGAGGGCAGGAGAAGATGGATGTCCCAGCTCAGGCAGAGAATGAATTCCCCCTACCTCTGCCCTTTGTTTTGCTCAGGCCCTCAACTGACTGGATGCTGCCTGCCCACATTGGTGAGGGTGATCTTCTTTAGAGTCTACCGTGGAAATGCTAATCTCTTCCTGAAACACCCACACAGGTATACCCAGAGGTTATGTTTTACTAGTTACCTGGGGATCCCTTAGCCCAGTCAAGTTGACACAAAATTAACATCATAGATGGTTACTTAGGAAGATGCTAGAATTCCAATGTGAACAGAGCATAGGGTCAGTGGAAATGGGAGGATATGAGTGTGAAAAGCATCTTTTTTTTTTTTCTGAGACAAGAGTTTCACTCTTTTTGCCCAGGCTGGAGTGCAATGGCGCGATCTCGGCTCACTGCAACCTCTGCCTCCCAGGTTCAAACGATTCTCCTGCCTCAGACTCCCGAGTAGCTGGGATTATAGGCATGTGCCACCACGCCTGGCTAATTTTGTATTTTTTAGTAGAGACAAGGTTTCTCCATGTTGGCCAGGCTGGTCTTGAACTCCCGACCTCAGGTGATCTGCACGCCTCGGCCTCCCAAAGTGCTGGGATTACAGGCATGAGCCACCACGCCCAGCTGAAAAGCATAACAAAATATCGAGGAGTTTGAACTTGACTTTATAGATCTTTTTTTTTTTTTTTTTTTGAGATGGAGTCTCATTCTGTCACCCAGGCTGGAGTGCAGTGGCTTGATTTCAGCTCACTGCAACCTCCACCTCCTAGTTTCAAGCAATTCTCCTGCCTCAGCCTCCCGAGTAGCTGGGATTACAGGCGCGTGCCATCACACCAGCTAATTTTTGTATTTTAGTAAAGGTGGGGTTTCACCATGTTGGTCAGGCTGTTCTTGAACTCCTGACCTCATGATCCACCCGCCTCGGCCTCCCAAAGTGCTGGGATTACAGGCGTGAGCCACCGTGCCTGGCCGCAGATCTGACTTTCTTAGCCTGGAGGCCATGGCCTTTTGTTGGGGCAAGTGTACGTGGGCATTCCCAAAAATTGTATGCAAAATTTGGTCTCTAAGGTATTTTTTTGAAGCCTGTGATTCATCCAATTGGCAGGAAGTTTCCCTGACCAAAGGCCATGAGCCACTGCTGTGCACATTGCAGAGCCTGCAGTGGCTTTTATTCAGACATGAATGATACAACCCACCCACCTCCTCCAGCTTCATGGACTAGAAGAGCTAAGAAAACTGAGGGCCAGAGAGCCAAAGACCAAAGACCATGGCCCAAAGTCCATAGGAAGGAGGCAGAGACAACTCAGGACTACCAGCCTCTGGATCCAGGGTTATTTTCACTATACAGTACCCTTCAGACCTCAAAAATAAGGGTCCAAGCTGGGCACAGTGGCTCATGCCTATAATCCCAAAACTTTGGGAGGGTGAGGCAAGCAGATCATTTGAGGTCAGGAGTTCAAGACCAGCCTGACCAACATGGTGAAACCCCATCTCTACTAAAAATACAAAAAAAAAAAAAAAAAAAAATTAGCCAGGTGTGGTGGTACACACCCCTATCTCAGCTACTCAGGAGAATGAGGCACAAGAATCTCTTGAACCCAGGAGGCAAAGGTTGCAGTGAGCCGAGATCGCACCGCTGCACTACAGCCTGGGCGACAGAGCAAGAGTTTGTCTCAAAAAAAAAAAAAATTAAAAAAATAAAAAATAAACTAAGGGTCCAGAAAGCACACTGTTAAGAAAGCAAGTGCTCAGCAAAATCATGAGGTCAAGGTGTCCTCTAACTTTTCTTCAGCAGTAGTAGCAAAAAATCCCTGTGTTTTCATGTGGGCAGGGACAGGGGCAAGCAGAGGGAATGTGCACCAATTCCTGTAAAAGGGGCTGTAAACTTGCTTGCTCATGAAGTGCACGTTGAGGCTCGTAAACCGTGGCCGTGCACCACTCTGTGAATGCATGTTCATGTGCAGGCAGAAACTTCTGAAGAGCCTCCTGTAACAGAAGTTAAAATAATAAATGTAGAGGCTGGGAAGTGTCCAGAGCCCAAATGAAGAAAGAATTCAAAATGAGAAAAGTATCTTACCAAAAAAAAAATCATTACAGCAGAATCCTCTTTGCGATTAGTGGAGTCGGATTTTCCAAGCTGCAAATGTCAGCAAAAGCTCAACCCTCCAGCCCTCTCCTAAATCAACTGCAGAGGCCAGCTTGCTGTTCCAGCAGGTCCCAATGTGCCCAAGTGCACCTGCGGTCACAGACGTTCTGGCTCTGCTCCAGCTGAGGCGTGAGCCCCCAGAGGCCTGAGTTATGTGAAATTTCTGCTTATTAGAGAGTGTTTCGCAGCTGATTCCTTAGAGTATGAGTGCTATTTTTAACACTTTTGCATTTGTAATTACCCAGGAGTTGGGCACTTGAGGACACCTTTATTAGCAGAAGGGAAGTGCTGGGAATTCTCTGCAAGACTATCAAGACCTTTTTGCCAATAGAGTTGGAGTAAGTCACAGATCTGCTAACTAATAGTGAGGGCACTTACATAAGACAGCAAGTTATATAACAAAATATTTAACCCTGGAAGTAGCTAATGGAGATAGATTGGTATTGGGATTACTTGATAATTTTTCCTTTAAAGATTATTTTCAGGCTGGACATGATGGCTCATGCCTGTAATCCCAGAGCTTTGGGAGGCCGAGGCGGGGGGATCACGAGGTCAGGAGATCCAGACCATCCTGGGCAACATGGTGAAACCCCATCTCTACTAAAAATACAAAAATTAGCTGGGCGTGGTGACATGCACTTGTAGTCCCAGCTACTCAGGAGGCTGAGGCAGGAGAATCACTTGAACCCGGGAGGTGGCGGTTGCAGTGAGCCGAGATCGTGCCACTGCACTCCAGCCTGGGCGACAGAGCAAGACTCCATCTCAAAAAAAAAAAGATTATTTTTAAATATGTCCATAAAAAAAAAAATCCCCCAACTGTCAAGCTGTATCTGCAAGGCCTTCCATCAGAACCGAAATGAACTTTTCAACATTGCCTTTCATCACTACCTTCAGATGAGCCCAACTCATTCAGTCAATGTGTCCCAATGATGTCTTGCACGTTGTCTAAGTCCTTCTTTCCAGACACCTCCTGCCTCCTCCGGCCGAATTCCCTTACCACCTAGCAAGCTTTCATTTCAGCTTTGCCTGACTCCTCAGTTCATTGGGAATTTTCCTTTGAACAATTTAATTCTGTTCCTGGCTTGTTTGGCCAAGTAGATTATAAACTACAGGAGGGCAGGGACCACCCATCAACTTATATTTATTCCCCACTATTCCAAAAAGATTACCTTGCAGAGAAGGAACTCATTAAACATATGATTGATTGAGATTCAGTGCCTTCTGCGCTATAGTCCTTTCAAATAATTCCTCTGAAGGTTATTGGTTCCTTGCAGAGTGAAAATTACCATCTAGGAAATCTCAAGGAGTCAGTGGAAATCTACTTACTGTGGATAATGAAATCTGAAATAAAAAGAGCGCACATCTGTTTCCACAGTTTCTTAAGGACAGTGAGACAAGCTATGATCACTCTTTGAAGAGTCATGTTACTTTACCTCTAAAAAAAGGAAATGGCGGCCAGGCACAGTGGCTCACACCTGTAATCCCAGCACTTTGGGAGGCCGAGGCAGGCAGATCGCTTGAGGCCAGGAGTTTGTGACCAGCCTGGCCAACATGATGAAACCTTGTCTCTACTAAAAATACAAAAATTAGCCTGGTGTAGGGGTGCATGCCTATAATCCCAGCTACTCAGGAGGCTGAGGGACGAGAATCGCTTGAACTGAGGAGGCAGAGGTTATAGTGAGCTGAGATCACGCCATTGCACTCCAGCCTGGGCAACAGAGTGAGACTCTGTCTCAAAAAATAAATGAAAGGGCCGGGCACGGTGGCTCACGCCTGTAATCCCGCACTTTGGGAGGCCAAGGCGGGTGGATCACAAGGTCAGGAGATCGAGACCATCCTGGCCAACATGGTGAAACCCCGTTTCTACTAAAAATACAAAAATTAGCTGGGCGTGGTGGTGCATGCCTATAATCCCAGCTACTCGGGAGGCTGAGGCAGGAGAATCGCTTGAACCAGGGAGTTAGAGGTTGCAGTGAGCCGAGATTGCGCCACTGCACTCCAGCCTGGCGAAAGAGTGAGACTCCATCTCAAAAAGTAAATAACAAAATAAAAATAAAAATAAATAAAAAATAAAGGCTGGACACAGTGGTTCACACCTGCAATCCCAGTACTTTGGGAGGCTGAGGCGGGCTGATCATGAGGTCAGGAGATCGAGACTATCCTGGCTAACACGGTGAAACCCCATCTCTACTAAAAATACAAAAACCCCATTTCTACTAAAAACACACAAAAAAATTAGCTGGGCATGGTGGCATGCACCTGTAGTCCCAGCTACTCAGAAGGCTTAGGCAGGAGAATTGCTTGAACCTGGGAGGCGGAGGTTGCAGTGAGCCGAGATCGTGCTACTGCACTCCAGCCTGGGGGACAGAGCAAGACTCCATCTCAAATAAATAAATAAATAAATAAATGAGTACCCATTGCTGTTATTACCAGTTGACTTTCAGCAGCACCAACAATAAAACCTTTGATAGAAACTCTTGGCTGGGCACAGTGGCTCAAGCCTATAATCCTAGCATTTTGGGAGGCCGAGGCAGGAGGATCACTTGAGCCCAGACTGGGCAATGTGGCAAAACCCCATCTCTATAAAAAATACAAAAACTAACTGGGTGTGGTGGTGGGCACCTGTAGTCCTAGCTACTAGGTAGCCTAAGGTGGGAGGATCACTTGAGCCCAGGAGTTCAAGGCTGTAGTGGGCTGTGATCAGACCACTGCACTCCAGCCTGGGTGACACAGTGAGACCCTGTCTCAAAAAGAAGGAAGGAAGGAAGGAAGGAAGGGAGGGAAGGAGGGAGGGAGGGAAGAGAGAGGAAGGGAGGCAGGCAGGCAGGGAGGGAGGGAGGGAAGAGAAGAGAGAGCAAGAAAGGAGGGAGGGAAGGAAGGAAAGAAGGAAGGGAGGGAAAAGAAGAAAGAGGAAGGAAGGAAGGAAGAAAAAAAAAAAGAAACTCTCCAGCTGCTAGTCTATACTTTATCTAGGAATGAGTATGCCATAACACCATTTGATGCCATGCTTAAAGGGCAAATGGCCAAATTAATTTCGGTGACAAACAGATCTTGTATAAAGCTACACTTTGGCTGAAAGACAGTATAGATTGCCAAGAGTCCGTCAAAGGAAAAGAATTAGTGGATCTGGGGCTGGTTCCAACGTTTGAGTGTTGTGTAATTTCATAAGGAAGGAGGGCCTCAAGCAAAATTGCAGCCCTTAGCAAGCCTGAAGGTCACTGCCACAAAGGTGGCCTGATGCCAGAGGAACAAAAGCAGGAGCCACTCAATTACTACTAAGGAAGAAGCCAAAGGGAGAAATAAGCTTATAAAATAACTGATCCAACATCCAGCTTTGAAAAATTATCTATGCATAACTCTTCCCCACTAAGAAGGCAGCAGGATCAGTTATCCTTTTCAATGAATAGTACTACTTTACCTTCCAGTAGAAATATCCTGCAATATATTTTCACTCCAGCACAAACATGTCACGAAAGAGAGAAAGGTGCATATGTCCTTTAGCTGATGCAAGCACATTTTTAATTCATCCCACCAAGATAAATCACTAACCATCTGAAACCCGCAAAAATGGACTAACGATCTCATACAGCATGACTATGAAAACCCACATCTGCTAACCACATTCCTAATAAGCAGCAGCTGGTGACAGTTTTGTAGCACTGTGACTTTTTAAAGGAAAATATTAGCAAGGACACACTAAATAGAAGTTTAGTTTCATTGAATCCACTTAGTTACGGAAAATCACCAGTGTTTTCTTTTTTCTTTTTTTTATTGACAATCATGGAAATTACATAATTTGTCATGAAATTCAAATAATATCTAAAAATAAAAGTCAGCCCAGCACGGTGGCTCACGCCTGTAATCCTAGCACTTTGGGAGGCCGAGGTGGGTGGATCATTTGAGGTCAGGGGTTCGAGACCAGCCTGGTCAACGTGGTGAAACCCTGTCTCCACTAAAAATACAAAAATTAGCCAGCCATGGTGGCAGGCACCTGTAATCCCAGCTACTTGGGAAGCTGAGGCAGGAGAATCGCTTGAACCCGGGAGGCGGAGGTTGCAGTGGGCCATGATCGTGCCACTGCACTCAAGCCTGGGTGACAAAGCGAGACTGTCTCAAAAAAAATAAAAAAATAAAAATTAAATTAAAAGTCTACTTTCCCCCTTCACCAGTTCTTTTTTTTTTTTTTTTTTTTTTTTTTTTTTTTTTTGAGATGGAGTCTCGCTGTGTCGCCCAGACTGGAGTGCAGCGGCCTGATCTCAGCTCACTGCAAGCTCCGCCTCCTGGGTTCATGCCATTCTCCTGTCTCAGCCTCCCGAGTAGCTGGGACTACAGGCACCTGCCCCCACGCCCGGCTAATTTTTTTATTTTTAGTAGAGACGGGGTTTCATCGTGTTAGCCAGGATGGTCTCGATCTCCTGACCTCGTGATGCGCCCGCCTTGGCCTCCCAAAGTGCTGGGATTACAGGCGTGAGCTACCGTGCCCGGCCTCTTTTTTTTTTTTTTTGAGATGAAGTTTCCCTCTTGTTGCCCAGACTGGAGTGCAATGGCACCATCTCGGCTCACTGCAACCTCCGCTTCCTGGGTTCAAGCAATTCTCCTGCCTTAGCCTCCCGAGTAGCTGAGATTACAAATGCCTGCCATCATGCCCAGCTAATTTTTGTATTTTTAGTAGAGACGGGGTTTTACCATGTTGGCCAGGCTGGTCTCGAATTCCTGACCTCAGGCGATACGGCTGCCTTGGCCTCCCACAGTGCTGGGATTACAGGTGTGAGCCACCACACCCAGCCTGGAGATTGAATCTTTAAAGAGGTAACTGAGTTAAAATGAGGTCACTGGGGTGGGCCCTAATCCAGTTTGACTGTTTTCCTTATAAGAAGAGATGAGGGCAGAGATACATGCATGGAGGGAAGACCATGGGAAGATGAAGGGAGAAGATGGTCATTTACAAGGCAAGGAGAGAGGCCTCAGAAGAAACCAATCCAGCCTGGCGTGGTGGCTCATGCCTGTAACCACAGCACATCAGGAGGCAGGAGGATCACTTGAGTCCAGGAGTTCGACACCAGCCTGGGCAATATAGCAAGACCTCGTCTCTACCAAAAAACAAAAAGCTAAAAAACAAGGCCAGGCACGATGGCTCACATCTGTAATCTCAGCATTTTGGGAGGCTGAGGCTGGCAGATCACTTGAGGTCAAGAGTTCAAGACCAGCCTGGCCAACATGGTAAAACTCCATCTCTACTAAAAATACAAAAATTAGCTGGGCATGGTGTTGCATGGTTGTAATCCCAGCTACTCAGGAGGCTGAGGTAGGAGAATCACTTGAACCTGGAAGGCGGAGGTTGCAGTGATCCAAGATTGCTCCACTGCACTCCAGCCTGGGCAACAGAGTGAGACTCTGTCTCAAAACAACCACCACCACCAAAAACAAACAAACAAACAAACAAACAAAAAATCCTGCTGACACCTTGATCTCAATCTCAGACCTTTAGCCTCCAGAACTATGAGAAAATAAATTTCTGGTCTGGCACAGTGGCTCACGCCTATAATCCCAGCACTTTGGGAGGCCAAGGCAGGTGGATTGCTTGAGTTCAGGAGTTCTAGACCAGCCTGGGCAACATAGTGAGACCCCATCTCTACAAAAAAATAGATCCTTGATTAAAAAAAAAAAAAAAAAAGAAAAAGGCCAGGTGCGGTGGCTCGTGCCTGTAATCCCAACACTTTGGGAGGCCGAGACGGGTGGATCACTTGAGATCAGGAGTTTGAGACCAGCCTGACCAACATGGTGAAACCCCATCTCTACTAAAAATACAAAAATTAGCTGGATGTGGTAGCACACACTTATTACCCCAGCTACTTGGGAGGCTGAGGCAGGAGAAGTGCTTGAACCCTAGAGGCAGAGGCTGCAGTGAGCTGAGATCGTGCCACTGCACTCCAGCCTGGGCATCAGAGTGAGACTCTATTCCAAAAAAAAAAAAGAAAGAAAAAGAAAAAATGACAGTTTGGGCTATTAAAAAAAAAAATTAGCCAGGTGTAGTGGCGCACACCTGTAGTTCTAGCTACTCAGGATGCTGAGGCCGGAGGATTGCTTGAGCCCAGGGGTTAAGGCTGCAATGAGTCAAGATTGAGCAACTGCAATCCAGCCTGGGCAACAGAGCCAGACCCTGTCTCCAAAAAAAAAAAAAGAAGTTATGTTGTTGAAGCCATCCCAATAGTGCTTTGTTATGGCAGCCCTAACATAGACCCCCCGTCACCTACACAACAGCCTGTTTTTTGCCTCCCTAACTTCCAGTCTCTTCTGCCCCTTACACAAATGGGCATTTTTACTGTCATTCCATTGAATGTGTGAGTGACTCACAGCTGTGTTTTCCACTGAATGAAAATTCTGGACCACAGACTGGAAGGCCCACCCCAACTGGTCTTATTTCTCACTACATGTTGGCTCAAGGACTCTGTATCCAAAACAACTTGTCTTTTCCACATACTTTCCTAAACTGCTTAGCTTCCTTCTGTGGAAACCACTCTATTGTGTGTGTGGTGTGTGTGTGTGTGTGTGTGTCTGTGTGTCAGGGTCTTGCTCTGTTCTCAGGCTGGAATGCAATGGTGTGGTCCCAGGTCACTGCAGCCTCAACCTCCCAGGCTCAAGCAAGTCTCCCACCTCAGCCTCTCGAGTAGCTAGGAAACACAGGCATGTGCCACCACATCTGGCTAATTTTAAAAAAATGTTTTCGTAGAGATGGGGTCTCACTGTGTTGCCCAGGCTGGTCTCAAGTTCAAGGAATCCTCCTGCCTTGGTCTCCCAAAGTGCTGGGGTTACAGGCATGAGCCACTGTACCTGACCTCATGTAGCATGACTGATCTACTTGCTTCTCTCCCCTTCTAGGCGGTATAGTTCTTGAGGGCTGAGGCTGTATTTTTCTTCTGTTTTTGGTGAGTTGCATATAGTAGCCACTCAATAAATGTATAGCTGTTACTAAATTCTATAACTTCCTAAAGACAATGAACTGACACAAAGCTAAGCCTGAATATCTAGATCTGTGCTGGTCAATATGAAGGCTATTAGCACATGTAGCTATTTAAATTAAAATTAAAAATTCTGGCCAGGCATGGTGGCTCACACCTGTAATCCCAGCACTTTGGGAGGCTGAGGCAGGCAGATCACCTGAGGTTAGGAGTTCCAGCCTGGCCAACATGGTGAAACCTTGTCTCTATAAAAAATATAAAAATTGTGCTCGCTTCAGCAGCACATATACTAAAATTGGAACGATACAGAGAAGATTAACGTGGCCCCTGAGCAAGGATGACACGCAAATTCGTGAAGCGTTCCATATTTTTTGCAAACCATCCAAAAGACCACCACCCGCCAGACAGTGGATGGCAAAGTGGTGTCTGAGACCAACGACACCAAAGTTCTGAGGCATTAAGCCAGCAGAAGCAGGGTACCCTTTGAGGAGCAGGAGGCCAATAAAAAGTTCAGAGTTAAAAAAATATATATATGTGTATATATATATACACATACACACACACACACACATATATATTATATATATGTGTGTATATATATGTGTGTGTGTGTATATATATGTGTGTGTGTGTGTGTGTGTGTGTGTGTATACATATATATATATATAAATTAGCCGGGCATGGTGGCGCATGCCTGTAGTCCCAGCTACTTGGGAGGCTGAGGCAGGAGAATCGCTTGAACCCAGGAGGTGGAGGTTGTAGTGAGCCAAGATGGTGCCACTGCGCTCCAGCCTGGGCGACAGAGTGAGACTCCGTCTCAAAAAATAAATAAATAAATAAAACAGAAATGTTTTCTATTTGTGCTATGCCGTAAGATAGTTACTAGGCACATGTGACTATTGAGCACTTGCAATGTTGCTAGTGTGACTAAGAACAGAATTTTTTTTTTTTGAGAAGGAGTCTTGCTCTGTTACCCAGGCAGGAGTGCAGTGGTGCGATTTCGGCTCACTGCAACCTCTGCCTCCCAGGTTCAAGCGATTCTCCTGCTTCAGCCTCCTGAGTAGCTGGGATTACAGGCACACACCACCATGCCTGGCTAATTTTTGTATTTTTAGTAGAGGCAGAGTTTCACCAAGTTGGTCAGGCTGGTCTTCAACTCCTGACCTCGTGATCCGCCCACCTCAGCCTCCCAAGGCACTGGGATTACAGGCATGAGCCACCTTATGCTGGCTTCGAACTCCTGACCTCATGATCCACCCGCCTCGGCCTCCCAAAATGCTGGGATTACACGCGTGGACCAACCGTGCCCAGCCTTACTTATTTATTTTTGATACAGGGGTCTCACTCTGTCACCCAGGTTGGAGTGCAGTGGCATGATCTCTGCTCACTACAACTTCCACCTCCCAGGCTCAAGTAATTCTCCCACCTCAGCCTCCCAAGTAGCTGAGATTATAGGCATGCGCCACTACACCCAGCTAATTTTTGTATTTTTAGTAGAGACGGGGTTTCATGGTGCCTAGGCTGGTCTCAAACTCCTGAGCTCAGGTGATTCATCCGGCTTGGCCTCCCAAAGTGCTGTGATTACAGGCATGAGCCACCACACTTGGCCTACTTTTCTATCATTACGGAAAGTTTATTGGACAGTGCTGATCTACGTCATAAAATACCTTGAAATACTAAAAGAAAAAGACAACACGGCTGGACACGGTGGCTCACGCCTGTAATCCCAGCACTTCGGGAGGCCGAGCTGGGCGGATCACGAAGTCAGGAGCTCGACACCATCCTGGCTAACACGGTGAAACCCCGTCTCTACTAAAAATACAAAAAATTAGCCAGGCATGGTGGCAGGCGCCTGTAGTCCCAGCTACTCAGGAGGCTGAGGCAGGAGAATGCCTTGAACCCGGGAGGCGGAGCTGGCAGTGAGCCAAGACTGCGCCACTGCACTCCAGCCTGGGTGACAGAGTGAGACTGTCTCAAAAAAAAAAAAAAAAAAAAAAAAAAAACAAACCAGAAAGAAAGAAAAAGACAACACATTAGGGGAAAAAAAGGAGAAAGGGTTATGAATATGTAATTCATGCAATTGGCCAAACAGCCAAACACATAAAGTGAGCAACCTCATTAGTAAACAGGGAAATGCAGAGTAAAATGAGATAGCGTTTTTCACCCATTGGATAGGCTAAAATTAGTCTGCCAATACATTGGTAAGGAATAAGGAAACAAATACTTTCAAACACTGCTGATGGGAAAACAGCCAGTACGAAGGCCAAATAAAAGTGAAAGAAAATGGACACAGTATGAGCCACACCCAGGAACTGGCCCAAGAAACACCCAGACATGAGCACCAGGAGACAATGTCCTAGATTGTACATTACTACACTCTATATGACTAACACAAAAGACTGCCCACATAACTCAATATTACAGCTAGATCAAGTGCTCAAACACCTTCCCTGTAGCCTACGAAACGGAAAATCCTTTGTGTATCATGCCTGCTAATCATCATGTTACAGGAAAGGGGTCACAATCCAGACCCCAAGAGAGGGTTCTTGGATCTTATGCAAGAAAGAATTCAGGGCGAGTTGGTAAAGTGAAAGCAAGTTTATTAAGCAAGTGAAGGAAAGCCAGAGCAGCCTCAAGGCTGGTTGCCCATTTTTATGGTTCTTTTCTTTTTTTTTTGGAGACACAGCCTCACTCTGCCGCCAGGCTGGAGTGCAGTGGTGCGATCTCGGCTCACTGCAACCTCTGCCTGCCCAGTTCAAGTGATTCTTCTGCCTCAGCCTCCCTAGTAGCTGGGACTATAGGTGTGTGCCACCATGCCCAGCTAATTTTTGTATTTTTTTTTAGTAGAGACGGGGTTTCACCAAGTTGGCCAGGTTGGTCTGGAACTCCTGACCTCAGGTGATCTGCCCACCACAGCCTTCCAGAGTGCTGATATTACAGGCATGAGCCACCGCACCCAGCCTTTTATGGTTATTTCTTGATGATATGCTAAGCAAGGAGTGGATTATTCATGCCTTCCCTGTTTAGACCATATACGGTAACTTCCTGACGTTGCCATGGCATTTGTAAACTGTCATGGCGCTGGTGGGAGTGTAGCAGTGAGGACGACCAGAGGTCACTCTTGCGGCCTTCTTGGTTTTGGTGGGTTTTAGCCAGCTTCTTTACTGCAACCTGTTTCATCAGCAAGGTCTTTATGACCTGTATCTTGTGCCGACCTTCTATCTCATTCAGTGACATAATGGCTTAACTGTCTGGGAATGCAGCCCAGTAGGTCTCAGCCTCATTTTACCTAGCTCCTATTCAAGATACATTTGCTTTGGTTCAAATGCTTCTGACAATCATATTTATGATTAGGGTCCTATAACTGAGATAGTGGGGGAATAAGCTGAAGAATGCCACCTTGGCCTCTAACAAATCAATGTGTGACTATGGGAAAAATTACCTCTTCCCTTCTTGATCTCCCATTTCCAAGACTGTAAAAATGAGAATGGCCGGGTGCGGTGGCTTACACATGAAATCCCAGCACCTTGGGAGGCCGAGGTGGGCAGATCACCAGGTCAGGGGATTGAGACCATCCTGGCCAACATGCTGAAACCCCGTCTCTACTAAAATACAAAAAATTAGCCGGGCGTGGTGGCGGGCACCTGCAGTCCCAGCTACTTGGGACTGAGGCAGGGGAATCGCTTGAATCTAGAAGGCGAATGTTGCAGTGAGCCGAGATCGCACCACTGCACTCCAGCCTGGTGACAGAGCAAGACTGTCTCAAAAAAAAAAAAAAAAGAAGAAAAAAAAAGGAAAAAAAATGAGACTGAGAGTCACGTTTCTTTTACAAACTCCTGCTTCATCTCCACCCAATAGGAATAACTTCATTTTTATCTACAGCATACATTGTGGTTCGGTATTAAGTACCATTTAAAGAAAGGTTGATGCTCAAAAGAAAGCCTAAAAACCCCCAAATTTGATGGTCTCTATCTTCCAATATTCCAAGATTTTAGTTCTTCTTAGTTGAATTTGCTATACTCTCCACGGTACATGTGAATTATCCATTCAGAGATTAGTTTACTAACCAGTACATGAGAAGAGTGAATTTTTAAAGCATTTGAGTCAGATTGGCAAAAAAGACCGTTCCTGGGCTGGTTTCAAATCAGAATTTTTCTGTAGAACCCAAGAATGAGCAGAGGTATGCAAAATGGCCAAAACAGAAACATAACGCCAAGAGGGAAACGTTTTAAATGTCTAGGTTACACAAACCCCCAAAGTAAAAACACCCTGAAACCCATGCACTAAAGCGTTCCCCTTTTTTAATACTGGTTTTCCTTCCCTTCCCTTCCCTTCCCCTCACATCCCCTCCCCTCCTCTCCCCTCTCCCACAGTCCCTTCCCCTCACATTCCCTCCCCTCCTTTCCCCTCCCTTCCCTTCCCCCAATTTCTCTAACTTGCCCTAGTCAGTTTCTGCTTCATTTGTATTCCAAGTTTTCTACTTCGGAAGAATTTCAAGGCCCAAAGCACTTACTTCCCATACCATTTAAGGAAGTACAAATCACTGGCTGGAAAAGTTGAAAAGGAATGCTTTCTACTTTCAGAACTTTTACTTCCTCATTCAGATGATCTGTGGGCTCTCTCTGTGAGAATTACATCCTCCACAACCCACAAGATTTTAGAATTTAAGTAAGTTAAGCCATAAACTAGATTCCAGTTGACAAGGATTCTCTGAATTTACAGCTCTACAACGAGTGAAAAGCAAGTGAGTTAATTTATTATTTTATTTTGAGATGGAGTCTCGCTCTGTGCGATCTTGGCTCACTGCAACCTCTGCTTCCCAGGTTCAAGCAGTTCTCCTGCCTCAGCCTCCCAAGTAGCTGGGATTACAGGCGTGTGCCACCATGCCTGGCTAAGTTTTGTATTTTTAGTAGAGATGGGGTTTTGCCATGTTGGCCAGGCTGGCTTGAACTCCTGAACCTCAAGTGATCTGCCTGCCTTGGCCTCCCGAAGTGCTGGGATTACAGGTGTGAGCCACTGCACCGGGCCACAAGTGAGTTACTATTTAAGGCATCCTAGCCTCCATCTGTTCACAAGTATTCAATGTAGACCAGCAACTTGAACTTGTCATTTCAACCACTTAAAACATTTCTTAGAAAGGACAGAATCTTCAGTAAACTAAAAAGGTCCCTAATAGTCCAGTCTAATCCAGACTGGAAAAATATACCTTACAGAAAAAAATGTATTCAACAAGAGGCAAGTTTTTTTTTACACAGGTGACCTAAAAAGTTGCAGGTATTTTGTTTTCTTTGAGAGAGGGTCTCAAAAAAATCTAGGCTGGAGTGCAGCGGCGTGCTCAGGGATCACTGCAGCCTCTTCCTCCTGGGCTCAAGCAATCCTCCCACCTCAGCCTCCTGAGAAGCTGGGACTACAGGTGCTTGCCACCACGCCTGGCTAATTTTTGTATGTTTTGTAGGGATGGAGTTTCACCATGTTGCCCAGGCTGGTCTCAAAGTCCTCAGTTCAAGCTATTTGCCAGTCTCAGCCTCCCAAAGTGCTGGGATTACAGCCATGGCGCCCAGCAGGTATTTGTTTAAATTACTCCTATCACTGTAAAACCTAACAGGTGGGGCAGAGGCAAAGACATCCATTATAAATCTTATCATATCTGTTCTTTCTTATCAAACCTAAAATAGGCTGTCCTTTATGTGATAAATTATTGGGCTCTGTTTATCTCTCTTATAACCTCTCTCTCTCTGTTAATTCTCCCCCCAAACATCTACCTTAAATCCTCATTTATTTTCCCTTTCCAGAATGGAGGGTGGGGCTAATCATAGCAAAATGTTTTTCACCAACCCTTCATTCAAGATGTTATCAGAACCCACACACTTCTCTGCCCACACTTCAGCCCTCCATCCCCAAAACAAACAAAAACCACACAAACTGGGTTTACGCAGGCATGCAACAGAATACATCCCGAGAAGGGAAAGAAATCTATCTGCTCAGTTTAGTTAACTAGAGTTCTTCACTTTCTAATTTAAAGATCACATTAAAACTGGCCAGTTGATAACACACGTGGGAATAACAATGTCAGAGCAGGTAGAAGAGAATGAAAAATGTGAAATACATGGTGGGCTCTCGGGTCCCCATCTCTACTCTTAATCCCTAACAAAATTCCTGCCCAGTGTTTCCTTACCCTTTTTTTTTTTTTTTTTTTTAAAGAGACAGGGTCTCACACTATGTTGCCCAGGCTGGAGTGCAGTGGCTATTCACCAGTATGATCATAGCACACTATGGTCTCAAGCTCCTGGGCTCCACTGAGCCTCTCGAGTAGCTGGGACTACTGATGTGTGCCCAGCTCCTGTATCTTTTTTTTCATATTGTATTTCTTTAGGGATAGGGTCTCCCTATGTTGCCCGGGTTGGTCTCTGGACTCAAGGATGCTCCCACCTTGGCCTCCTAAAATGCTGGGATTACAGGCATGAGCCACCATGCCTGGCCCTTCCATACCTTTTGAAACCAGCACATAACAGGTAAAAAGGCAGTTAATGGGACTGATAACCCAAGCTTTTTTTACTTTTAAATAAAATTAACGGCTGACTGTCAAAGGTCAAAGGCATCTATTTTTTAGATGGAGCACTCCCTTATAATGCTGGAGTTGAAATTCTTCCTTGAACTCTAAGGCTGATTATGGTTATTAGTGGTCAGGCTATCCTGGGTAAGTAATTACGGTCCTCTGCCCTCCAGGGCGAGGATGGGCAGATTCCTACGCAGTTCCATGGGCTGGGGGCTGGCAGGAAGTGAAGGCTATCAGCTCTCTGAAGCCTTAGGCATGTAATAGGGAACAGAACACAAATATCTTTTCTTCTGAGATTGCGGCCTACAGAATAAGCAGGACTCAATCAACATTAGATGAGTTTGTAGCTACTGAGCACATTATCCCCAATACAAATACCTCATTTGGAATTTCCATTCATTTTCATTCAATGAAGGGAAATGACTGTCCATTATTTTGGAAGAAAACATTTATAATGACTAGTCCTCAAGAATAACTTGTTTTATTACCATGATTTGTGAAAAGCAACAGGGTAGACAGTTCAAGGAAGGACACAGACAGTGCCCTGTTTTAGGTTCCAAATTTCTTCTTTTTAATGGGTGGTGGGAGCTGAGCAATGATGTCATCCAGAGGCCGTTCTACTGCCACGAGTGTTCTTTCATCCAAAAGATCCATGAAGAGTAGAGGCTGCAGAGGGATGATAATTATTCTATCAGGACTTAGGATCCAGGGCTAGTCCTGAAAGAACTGACTGTAGGTAGACACCATCTAAGCTAAAAGGTTAGCCTAGTTCAAGGCTCAAATGATTTAAATTTCTTGACAATCTTTCCTGCCCTGGGACTCAAAATAGTTGGAATGCATAAAAGCTTTTTTTTTTATTTTTTAGAGATCTTGCTATGTTGCCTAGGCAGGAGAGCAGTGGTCATTCATAGACATGATCAACGTGCACTGAAGCCCTGAACTCCTGGGCAATCATCCTGCCTCAGTCTCCTGAGTAGCTGGGACAATAGGTAGGTGTGCACGGCTGCGCCTGGCTCAAGATTGGGAGCCTTTTTTTTTTTTTTTTTTTTTTTTGAGACAGTCTCGCTCTGCCGCCCAGGCTGGAGTGCAGTGGCGCAATCTCGGCTCACGGCAAGCTCCGCCTCCCGGGTTCACGCCATTCTCCCGCCTCAGCCTCCCGGGTAGCTGGGACTACAGGTGCCCACCACCACGCCCGGCTAATTTTTTGTATTTTTAGTAGAGATGGGGTTTCACCGTGTTAGCCAGGATGGTCTCGATCTCCTGAACTCGTGATCCGCCCACCTTGGCCTCCCAAAGTGCTGGGATTACAGGCGTGAGCCACTGCGCCCGGCCAAGATTGGGAGCTTTTAACTAAGTTCACTCATAAAAGGTCTCAGCAGGATTTTTTTACATTTCTCTGGATAGAAAATCTATGCTTCTTATATCTCAAGAATCAATGTTAAGCAAGGACTTTAAAGCCTAAGTTCTTTTTTTTCTCAGACAGAATCTCGATGTTACCCAGCCTGGAGTGCAGTGGTGCAATCATACTCACCGCAGCCTTGAACTCCTGAGCACAAGCTATCCTCCCATCTCAGCCTCTTGAGCAGCTGGGACTACAGGCATGCTCCACCACACCTAGCTAATTTTTATATTTTTTTTTTTTTTGTAGAGACAGGGTCTCACTATGTTGCCCAGACTGGTCTTGAACTCCAGCCTCAACCTCCTAAAGTACTGAGATTACAGGCGTGAATCACCATACCCAGCCTAAGGCAACTGACAACTGGCAAGCTACAAATGCATCAAGAAGCTAATCACATTTGAGTCATTTGAGTAATCAGTAATTTACAGAACTCTCCTTTTTTTTTTTTTGTTAATAGTGATGGGGTTTCACCATGGTGCCCAGGCTGGTTTTGAATTCCTGGGCTGAGGAGATCCACCTGCCTTGGCCTCCCAAAGTGCTGGGATTACAGGTATGAGCTACCAAGCCCAGCCTGCTTGACATTTATCCTATGGAACACTCCAACAAGTAAAATTTAAAGCCAGCTCTCATGACAACAAAGACTCTACCCTCAGCGCCAACATTTCTCACTACTTACGCATTTCATTTTGGTTAAGTATGATGTGCCTGCCTCTAACCTACTAAGGCAAGAACAATAAAACATATACAAGGGACAGCCAGCCTCAAAAAGGTGACTTGTCTCCCACAAGCCAGGTTCTCTGCATGGAAACTGAAGGTGCTCTTATCTTCCGATTGTGGAGTTTATTACATTTTGGTATCACAAAGGAACCAACTATCCAGAATAACAACACAAGATGTTTTACCTTATATATCTTAGAAATTTTAAAAGCATGAGCTGTGCGCCTCCGGATGACATCTGATTCATTCGTGGGAGGAAATGGATTGTAGAGTAAGGTTTTGTCATTTGGAAGGGGCTAAAAAAACAAAGACACATTGTTTAAATGGTTACTTTTATTGGGCTTCTGCAGACCAAAGATCTGTAGTGCATTTTGAGCCCAACATCATCTTCTAACCATCATATATATTCAGTACCTCCCTGACATTCGTTAATTCGGGAAAACAGCTGTAGCCATAATACCTCTATTCAGAAAAACTAGGGGGGAAAAAAAGAAGAAAAGGAGAGAGAGGGAGAAAGAGCTGAAGCTACTCTTGCAGCCACACTGTAGAGGGTGGGTGTATGAGGCAAAGAGAGCTTGTTAACTCCATGCAGCAAGATCAAAGGGCCCTTCTGCGGCTTCTGGCCTGTCTCATCAGTATCACTTTGTCAGAATGGAACAAACTGGCAAGTGCAGGAGCTCAGCCCACACAGGGTCTGTGCTTTCTAGACTCTCCCCCAACCAGATCACAGACTGGACAAGTGACTGGAGTTCTCCCCAGGCGAAACCTCAACACAAACCACCTGTGCTGATGTCACTGACACCTCGAGGTGGCCTCTGGCCAAAGAAATGATATTTTGTCTCTGACTTCCTGGGAAATAGCTATGCCTACTGTAAGGAAGCGATGAACTTAAAGCCAATGCTTTGGAAAAAATGATCTGGGCTCAATTACAAAGAGGCAAGAGAGTGGGAGGGGCCCTTCCTGTATCACTCATCTTGCAGAAGGCACTTGTCAGCCAGCTCTGCTTCCCACACCCAGAGGTCGCAGGGCCCACGAGATGATTCCAGTGACACATCCCCGTGCACACCTCCTTTAGAGCCATCTGCTGCTTTCCCCCATGTTCCTTCCACCCCCACCTTCACAAACACACCAAAACACCGTGTGATGGTTGTAATCTAAGCCCAAAGTGCAGGACAGGCATGGCCACAATGCTCCTAGGAAACAAAGCACCTGCCCAGAAAAGCCATACAAATTCAGGGTGAATCAAAACAGCAGCTGGCAAAGAGGACAGAATCTAAAACTGAAGAAAATGCTCGTATCCCATGTAAATCACAGCCATGAAGAATTTTCCTAGCTGGGTTTTTCGAAGATGTTAAGACCAGTTCCTCAAGCCTGCAGACAGCGTTTTAGTAGCTTTAGCGAAGGGGCACAGAGGTCAAAACCTCAGCCTGTACCTCCTTTAATGAAACCAGGTTATTCAGATACCCCAGAGTTCAAAGTTGAAAGCAAGTTAGCCAAATCAATGATACTTCCGGATGAGGGTCACCTTCCGAATACTGGCCTAATCACTTTTCTGTGTAAGATTTATGTGCTTACTCGCAAAGTAGACAAATAGTCAAATCAGCAAAAGCCAGTATACAAAGGCCAGCCCCTTCCCCGAGAGCCTCCCGAAGAACTGTGGGAACACAAACCAGGGAATCTGTAAAACAAAAGCCCCTCTCCTCCAAGAAATGTACTAGCTACCTGTATTCTGATTTACTAGCTACCTTTATTCTGAGTCTCTGTCCTCTTACCTTATTGTACTTGTTGCTTTTAGAACTTTAAGATTCAGAAGAAGATTTGGGAGGTAGCAGTGAAGAACTCACCAATGACTTGTCAATGATGCAGAACATGTAGGCATCATGGAGAAGGATGTGCATCGGTCTCTTGGGATGAAAACTGATGTGTGTGATAGGAGTATCCCTTTGGAGCCAAAGGTGGTGAAAGCCCTGCTTCTGGACAGTCCGGCTCCAATCTGTATACTGTTTGTCTGGGATGCTGTACTCAAATACCTGAGGGAGGACATGACATAGAGAAATGCAGGCTGGTACTCAGAAAGACCAGAAGGGCATTCTCATCCCTAACCAGAAAGTATCTATACAAAGCTTCAACTGTATTATATTCATTCTATGCTCTCCCAACACTTTTTTTTTTTTTTGAGATGGAGTCTCACTCTGCCACACAGGCTGGAGTGTAGTGGCGTGATCTCCGCTCACTGCAAGCTCCGCCTCCCCGGTTCAAGCCGTTCTCCTGCCTCAGCCTCCCAAATAGCTGGGACTATAGGCGCCCACGAGTACGCCCGGCTAATTTTTTGTATTTTTAGTAGAGATGGGGTTTCACTGTGTTAGCCAGGATGGTCTTGATCTCCTGACCTCGTGATCTGCCCGCCTCAGCCTCCCAAAGTGCTGGGATTACAGGCGTGAGCCACCGCGCCCTGCCCATCTTTTCAGAGCTATTTTATGCACATAATACATAGCGTTCTGTATCTTGCTTTTGTTGCTCAGTGTTATATCACGGAGACTGACCCACATTAATACACATATATATCGGTCATGCCCATTCTGAAACACAGAATAGTCCACTCATTTTGTCCATGTATCATGATTTACTTATCCACTCTGCTTAATGGACATTAGCTTGTTTCATATCTTTGTCTACTACAAACAAAGCTGTCTCTGTATAAATGTCTTTTTGCACAGCTAGAAGCATATATATCTATATACAGATATATATATACATATATATATATATATATATATATATATAAAGAATGATTAGAACTGAAATTTCTAAGTCAAAGACCATGTGGACTTTAAAATTTTTAAGGTATTGCCAACATGTCCTCCAAAAGGGTTAGGATAATTTACACAATGTGTGAGAGTACTGTTTCCCTATACCTTCAGAACACTGTATATTATCAAGTCTTTGATCTTTGCTAATCTAACAGATATAAAAAACTTCCCATCAGTTTTACTTTCAGAAGCACTTAAGGGACTAAGTGCCAGTAAAAGGTGTCATGGGGGAAATTATCATTATGTGTGACAAAGGCAAAGATGTGTGGCTTCACTACTCTTTCAGTCTTTGGTCAAGGACTCAAATCTATAAAACTGAGAGATTTCACTTTTTGGACAGTGTGTGTGTGCATGTGTGAGTGTAAAAACTGACCATCAGCCGGGCGCGGTGGCTCAAGCCTGTAATCCCAGCACTTTGGGAGGCCGAGGCGGGCGGATCACAAGGTCAGGAGATCGAGACCATCCTGGCTAACATGGTGAAACTCCATCTCTACTAAAAATACAAAAAATTAGCCGGGCATGGTGGCGGGCGCCTGTAGTCCAGCTACTCGGGAGGCTGAGGCAGGAGGATGACATGAACCCGGAAGGCGGAGCTTGCAGTGATCGGAGATCGCACCACTGCACTCCAGCCTGGGCGACAGAGCGAGACTCTGTCTCAAAAAAAAAAAAAAAAAAACAAACTGACCATCAAAGCAGTAAGCATCATTTGCCTAGCACTCTACTTAAATGTGCTTCCTGGATTACATTTAATCTTCCCAACAGCTCAGTGAGGTAGATATTAACATCTCCAATTTTACAGATGAATTATTGATAACTTCCTAATATAATTATTGATAACTTCCTAATATATTCCGCAGCCCAGGTTTTTTTTTTTTTAAAGATCTCCTTATAATCACAATCTCCTTACAAATTGGTATAGAAAAAAGTAGATTAGGTTCTAATTTTGGCTGAGATTAGGTACCTGATCTTATTAGGGCTTGATTTCCTCATCGGCAAGCGTAAAGGTGAATGATACAATCTTTTAGTCACTTTCAACTCTCAAAATCTTATTCCATCCCATATCCAGTTTAATACCCAAGCCCATGTCATCTCTCCTCTAAAACAATCAGGAAAATGAGTACTTCAAAATTCCTCCTCCCTCTTGTGATTCTTTACTCTAGAATCTTAGTGCTTCTCCATTTAAATTGCATCCCATCAAACCAATGCATACTGCTGGCCTATGATGAGCCCAGACCGGCAAGGAAGCTTTACTTCACACAGGAGAAAACTACCTTATATCCTCCAACACCTTCAAAAAAAAGCTCCCCGCAACTGCCCAATATTCCAGCTTCTAGGTTACTATCCAGCAGGAAGGGAATAGAAAGCACTGGAATCTCCCTTACCTGCTGGTCCGAATGAGCGATGACAAGGTTGTTGGTATTGGGGGCAATAGCCATAGCAGTCACTGGGAAATTGTAAGCAGGCACCGTGCAGTGAAGCTGGGAACAAATAACAGACACAAGTGGCAACTCTAAGTGACACTTTTCCTCAGCAAAGATTGAATGGTCTAGGTCAGGGGTTTAAATACTGCTCCTCATAATTCAAAAGGGTTCTAGGGAAGTTCCAAAAATTTCAGGCATTTCCCCAACCAATGAACTTTCATTTCTTTTTCTTCTCTTTTTTTTTTTTTTGAGATGGAGTTTCGCTCTTGTCACCCAGGCTGGAGTGCAGTGGCGTGATAATCAGCTCACTGCAACCTCTGCCTCCCAGGTTCAAGTGATTCTCCTGCCTCAGCCTCCCAAGTAGCTGGGATTACAGGCGCCTACCACCACACCCGGCTAATTTTTTGTTTTTCTTTTTTTTTTTTTTTGAGATGGAGTTTCACTCTTTCTCCCAGGCTGGAGTGCAATGGCATGATCTTGACTCACTGCAACCTCCACCTTCCGGTTTCAAGTGATTCTCCTGCCTCAGCCTCCCGAGCAGCTGGGATTACAGGCACCCACCACCATGCCTGGCTAATTTTTGTATTTTTAGTAGAGACGGGGTTTCACCATGTTGGCCAGGCTGGTCTCAAACTCCTGACCTCAGGTGATCCACCCACCTTGGTCTCCCAAAGTGTTGGGATTATAGGCGTGAACCACTGCACCTGGCTTAATTTTTGTATTTTTAGTAGAAACGGGGTCTCACTATGTTGGCCGGGCTGGTTTTGAACTTCTGACCTCATGATCCACCCACCTCGGCCTCCCAAAGTGCTGGGATTACAGGCGTAAGCCACCGCACCAGTCCTCATTTTCTTAAAAAAATACCTATTGGTTGGCCGGGCGCAGTGGCTCATGCCTATAATCCCAGCACTTTGGGAGGCCAAGGCAGGCGGATCACGAGGTCAGGAGTTTGAGACCAGCCTGGCCAACATGGTGAAACCCCATCTCTACCAAAAATTAAAAAAATTAGCTGGGTGTGGTGGCGTGCACCTGTAATCCCAGCTACTCAGGAGGGTGAGGCAGGAGAATCACTTGAACCTAGGAGGCGGAGGTTGCAGTGAGCAGAGACTGCGCCACCACACTCCAGCCTGGGCAACAGTGCAAGACTCAATCTCAAAAAAAAAACAAAAGGCCTATTGGCTGGGCGCAGTGGCTCACACCTGTAACTACAGCACTTCGGAAGGGCCAGGGCGGGAGGAACGCTTGAGTCCAGGAGTTCAAGACCAGCCTGGGCAACACAGCAAAACCTCATCTCTACTAAAAAAAAAGATTAGCTAGGTGTGGTGGGACTCGCCTGTAGTCCCAGCTACTCAGGACACTGAGGTGGAAGGATCGCTTGAGCAGAGAGGTCAAGGCTGCAGTGAGCTGTGACTGTGCCACTGCACTCAGTCTGGGTGACAGAGTGAAACCCTGTCTCAAAAAAATAAAAAGCTTATTTAACCGCGTACAAAACTAACAGCGTTTGTGGAGAACTGAGAGTAAAGCCTTTCCCTCTGAGTAAATCCATCTGTACAAACTGCTTATAAATGTGTCATTGAATAGGGAGTCTACAGCTCTACACCAGGTTTAAAATAAATAAATGCCTAGGCATGGATTTTTATGTACAATTGCAAAGCATGTGCACGCTACACACAAACACTCTTTAAATGCCAGGCAAGGCTCAAAGACAAGTGCTCAGTACATGCTCCTACCATAATGCAACAAAGGTTACACTATGCAGTTAACAGGTAAACCCATTAAGTGTTGCAGTTTGATGTTATTCTATACACTTTTAATGCTTATTCCAAGTTTTGGGTAGTTCGAATCTGATTCTTATAATGAAGATGAGGACTTGTAAGGGATCACTAATGACTCAATTTATGACTGACAGCGTCATTACTGATTAGTGAAAAATGTTTTCCCAGTATTCCTTTTTCGAAGTTTTGATTATGTTTACCTTGAGATTACAAGGCAAGCCATGAAAGGAACTCTTATTATCTGCAACTATTTGTCTGTGTATATCAGAATTTTCCTCCCGAAAATACAGAAAGAACCTGGATGTGTTTACATCACCCACAGATCATTAATTTCAAATTTCCAGGTATGAATGGGTTTCACTGTTTCCATTAGCTGCTTTTAATGTTACACAGTATAGCTTCCGGGTTCCATAAAAATAAAACAGGATTCCAAACCTGGAAAAATTATTAGTTAAAAAGAAAAAAGTCTGGCCAGGCGCGGTGGCTCATGCCTGTAATCCTAGCACTTTGGGAGGCCGAGGTGGGCGGATTGCCTGAGCTCAGGAGTTCAAGGTCAGCCTGAGCAACACGGTGAAACCCTGTCTCTATTAAAATACAAAAATTAGCCAGGTGTGGAGGCACACACCTGTAATCCCAGCTACTCAGGAGGCTGAGACAGGAGAATCATTTGAACCCGGGAGGCTGAGGTTGCAGTGAGCCGAGATCGCGCCACTGCACTCTAGCCTGGGTGACAGAGTAAGACTTTGTCTCAAAAAAAAAAAAAAAAGAAAAGAAAAGAAAATAAAAAGAAAAAAGTCTAATAAATTTCCAGGTCATGCCAATCTGCCTTGAATCTTGTAACTGCAGGGTGAACTGGCTCCTGTACAATGATTCAAACTGCTGCCATGAAACCCTATGCTCACCTTTAGCTGTTTTACGTTGTAGACATGGACTCCAGCACTGGTACCTGATGCAGCTAGCCAATTCCCATCTGGACTGACTGCCAAAAGACACATGGCCTCCACTGTTCCTGTGAGGACAAAACAGTTACATCTCTGAATTCACACAGTGTCCACAGCCAGACCTGCCCTGGAGATGATGGCAAAAGCCAAGGAGACCATTAGAGTTTTAAATCACTGCCAGGATAATTTGCTGATCACTGTGCAAATTACTTCTAGATGTTAATGTTTCTACTTTTTTCATCTACTTATTTAACCATCCCGCCTGTAAAGAAGGTCCAGAGAGATAAAACAGAAGTTATTACTTCCTCAGGCCTAAGACACTGCTTACTACAGGAATAGAGAATGACGGCAGCATCTGCCACTAAAATATATACTTTAATTGTTTCAAACTCCTTTCCTACCAAATGGTTTTTTTTCTGTTTTTTGTTTTTTTTTTTTTGAGATGGAGTCTAGCTCTGTCACTCGGGCTGGAGTGCAGTGGCGGATCCGCTCACTCCAACCTCCAACTCCCAAATTCAAGTGATTCACCCGCCTCAGCCTCCTGACTAGCTGGGATTACAGGCACCCACCACCATGCCTGGCTAATTTTTGTATTTTTAGTAGAGATGGGGTTTCACCATGTTGGCTGGGCTGGTCTTGAACTCCTGACCTCAGATGATCCGCCCACCTTGGCCTCCCAAAGTGCTGGGATTACAGGCGTGAGCCACCGTGCCTGGCCTCTTTCTTTTTTCTTTTTTTAGACGGAGTCTCACTCTGTTGTCAGGCTGGAGTGCAGTGGTGCAATCTCGGCTCACTGCAACCTCTGCCTCTCGGGTTCAAGCCATTCTCCTGCCTCAGCCTCCCAAGTAGCTGGGACTACAGGCGTGCACCACCACACCCAGCTAATTTTTGTATATTTAGTAGAGATGGGGTTTCACCATTTTGGTCAGCATGGTCTCGATCTCTTGACCTTATGATCTGCCCACCTCGGCCTCCAAAAGTGCTGGGAGGTGTGAGCCACTGTGCCCGGCCCCTAAATTTTTTTTAAGCCAAAATTATGGACAGGCCAGGCGTGGTAGCTCACACCTGTAATCCCAGCACTTTGGGAGGCAGAGGTAGGTGGATTACCTGAGGTCAGGAGTTCAAGACCAGCCTGGCCAAGATGGTGAAACCCCATCTCTACTAAGAGTACAAAAAAAAAATAGCTGGGCGTGGTTGTGGGTGCCTGTAATCCCAGCTACTAGGGAGGCTGAGGCAGGAGAATCACTTGAACCTGGGAGGCAAAGGTTGCAGTGAGCCGAGATGGCACCAATGCACTCCAGCCTGGGCACAAGAAACTCTGTCTTTTGAAATTCTATCTCAAAAATAAATAAATTAATAATAAAAAAAAAAGTTACGGACAAACAGCAAGTTCAATAGACTTGAAGCATATCTTTAATTTATTGGATGCCTGCTGTGTATTTAGCACTAAGGGAGGATGGGCACGTCTGAGCCATCTTTGTCATCTAGAGACTTTAAACCAATCTGGCAACACGACAACTAGTGTGGGATAAAAATTGGACAGTGATGCTCTATGCCAAAATGCGTGCTGCATGTAACGCCCCCAAACGATAACATGGCTTTATAACAAGCATAACCCAGCTGCCAAAGGATGGGTGGGGATGAGGAAAAAAGGATGGGGAACAGTGCAAGCTAAGTGACGAGGAGTAGAATATGCAGGTTTGAGAGCTGTGAAGAAACCATTTTGACTACAAGGGGAAGTGAGATGAGAGAAGTGGAAAAAATAAAGTCATATACATAATGTAGAGTCGAATCTCAAGGAGAGCTAGATATAAGATAAATAGCCTAAGTTTTGTAATAAAAACATATATAGATAATAAATAGTTTGATTTATCTGACCCCTAACTTGTGGGTTTCTTCTCCTGTAGGCTTCTGGATCAGCTTATGAACAGTGAGAGTTGAAGATAAAAGAGTTGACTTTCACTAGGCATGGTGACTCACACCTGTAATCCTAGCACTTTGGGAGGCTGAGGCAGGAGGATTGCTTCAGCCCAGGAGTTTAAGACCAGGATGGGCAACATGGTGAAACCCTGTCTCTACAAAAATACAAAACTTAGCTGGGTGTGGTGGTATGCTCCTGTGTACTTGGGAGGCTGAGGTGGAAGGATTTTCTGAGCCTGGGGAGGGTGAGGCTGCAGTGAGCCATGATCGCACCACTGCACTCCAGCCTCGGCAACAGAGTGAGGCCATCTCAAAAAAAAAAAAAAAAAAAAAAAAAAAAAAGAGTTGACTTTCCAGGCTGATGGGAGTGTAAATGACAGTGAAGCAGCAGCTAAAATCCAGGACAAGGGAGAGGTGAAAGGCCCATAGGAAGTATCAAAACAACTACCAGCTTAATCTGGAAACTGAGTCCAAGTCCTTAACAGTTAGCCATAGCTAGCTACATAGCCACACTCATTCATTAATACTCACATTCTCAATGAAAACAGAAAAATTCTCAGGAACATTATATGAACACAGGTAATTAAACTGTATGTATAAGAATACTTTTGGGCCAGGCACAGTGGCTCATGCCTATAATCTCAGCTGGGAGGGCAGGATGGGAGGATCACTTGACCCCAGGAGTTCAAGACCAACTTTGTCAACATAATGAGACCCCGTCTCTACAAAAAAAATGAAAAAATTAGCTGGGCATAGTGGTGAGTGTCTATAGTCCCAGCTACTCAGGATGCTGAGATGGGAAGATAACTTGAGCCCAAGAGGTCGAGGTGGCAGCCATCTATGATTGTACCTTTTTATGAACAAACAACCAAAAAAGGCAACATGCCCACAAAATACTTATATACAAATACATATTAGAAAATACCAAAATATTAATGGTAGCTATTTCTGGGTGTCAGGATTGCAAATGACTTTAACTTTCTTCTTGTTCTGCTAACAAACTAAGGATGATGAAATTTCTCTGGCCCCAAATAAGGAATCAAAAACCCAGTGAGAAAAGAGTAGGTGTGAAGAACATTGCAGATCTCATCGAGAGTCTTCATCTGCCAGCTATCTCCTCCTACTTGAAACAGCAAACATGTGAGTGAGTGTATCTGCAGGGTAGGAGGAACATGAGGGAACCCCCGACATGGAGGCTTAAAAGCAAAAAAGTTACATCTTAGACACGACAAGTCTCCCCATGGCCAGTTACCAGATTCCCACCTGACTGAGGCTGGAAAGCATGCAGGTGCTTGAAGCTTCCTCCTGACAGCTGAACAATATGCAGAGCTCCTTGATTTGATGCTACAAAGAGCTTTGTTGAATCTTCAGAAAACAAAATCTGAAGGGCAGAGCGAAGGAATGCTGGCATTTTGGAAACCTTTGGGTGAACCAATAATAAAAGCCAGTGAGAGAAGGGAGACCTACAGCCCATCAGAAACAATCACAGCTAGGCTTAAGGTACATTAATGCTTCCTGTCTCTAAGTAAGCCAACTGACTCGGCACAGAACACTGGTTTCTCTCCAGTAATCTATACATCCCCCTTTCATCTCTTTACTAAATATTCACTTCTCTATCAAGGAAATAACTAAGTCGCACGTGAAACCACTAAACAGAAAAGCTTTAATTTTATTGCCTGTAGGGCATTACCCTATCCCTCTAAGAACATACCTCAAAATTTCAAAATGGAAATAAAGGCTGGGTGTGGGCCGGGCGCAGTG
This sequence comes from Homo sapiens, assembly GCF_000001405.40. NCBI lineage: Eukaryota > Metazoa > Chordata > Mammalia > Primates > Hominidae > Homo > Homo sapiens. Next base: position 69,156,742 of record NC_000016.10, on the reverse strand, counting down.
TCTCATGCCTGTGATCCCAGCACTTTGGGAGGCTGAGGGGGTGGATCACCTGAGGTCAGGAGTTCAGGACAGCCTGGCCAACGTGGTGAAACCCCATCTCTACTAAAAATACAAAAAGTAGCCAGGCCTGGTGGTGGGCACCTGTAATCCCAGCTACTCGGGAGGCTGAGGCAGGAGAATGGCTTGAACCCGAGAGGCAGAGATTGCGGTGAGCTGAGGTGGTGCCATTGCACTCCAGCCTGGGTGACAAGAGTGAAACTCGGTCAAAAAAAAAAAAAAGGCTGGGTGCGGTGGCTCACGCCTGTAATGCCAGCACCCAGCACTTTGGGAGGCTGAGGCGGGTGAATCACTTGAGGTCAGGAGTTCAGGACCAGCATGGCCAACGGGTGGTGAAACTCCATCTCTACTAAAAATACAAAAATCAGCCAGGTGTGGTGGTGGGTGCTTGTAATCCCAGGTACTCGGGAGACTGAAGCACAGGAATCGCTTGAACCCAAGAGGCGGAGGTTGCAGTGGGCCAAGACTGTGCCATTGCACTACAGCCTGGGTGACAAGAGCAAAACTCCGTCTCAAAAAAAAAAAAAAAAAGAAAGAAAGAAATAAAACACTGTTTCATAACAGCCTTCTCCAAATCTCCAAATAGTTTTTAACTGAGCAAGGATTCACATCCAGTTGATTTCCACTTCACACAAAAATGACATATTTAGGAAGTTTCCTCTTATGTGACCAGATATTGGACTATCACTTACCCTTTTGAGGCTTATGTTGTCATGTTCATAATTCAGCCGATAGAGAAAAAACCGAGAAACTGTAGAATAGGCTATCCAACTTCCACATGGGGAGATACAGCTACAGATAATGTTCTCAGGACCCTGGCAATATCAGGAATCAAGATGAATGTGCAATTAAACTTCACATAACAAGGTGCACTGGGACATGACGCCTCAAGCTCTTGCCACTCTGGACATACCCACAGATATCTACACATAATCTCGATCCTCGTGTGGTCTGCATTAATATGATTATTTCAGAGGCAGAGCACCTAAAAGGCATGGCTTTGATTTCCAAATCCAAGAATGGAGGTCTATTCTTATTTTGGCCCTTTGAATACTTCATAGATAGCCTCATACTAGACCCCAACTTCAGAAACCTGAGCAGGGAGGCATTTACTGAAGGAAAGCTCTGGAGGATAGGTGGTTTGAAGTACTTATTTTCTGTTTTGTGTACGGCGTTCTGCTTTAAAGACTTCTAAGAAATAGCAAATGAAGAACATTTGAAGGCCAGGTACAGTGGGTCATGCCTGTAATCCCAGCACTTTGGGAGGCTGAGGTGGAGGATTGCTTGAGCCCAGGAGTTCAAGACCTGTCTGGACAACATGGTGAAACCCTGACTCTACAAAAAATTAGCCGGGCATGGTGGTGCACACCTGTAGTCCCAGCTACCTGGGAGGGTGAAGTGGTAGGATCACCTGAGCCTGGGAGGTTGAGGCTGCAGTGAGCCGTGACCGTGCCACTGCTCTCCAGCCTGGATAACACAATGAGACCCTGCCTCAAAAAAGTAAGCAAACAAACAAAAAAACCAACCAACTAACCAAACAAAAAAGAATCTGGAGAATAAAGAAAAGTTGAATGTAACATGTATGTAGTTTTTAAAAACTCACAAAATGATTTTTTTTTCATTGTATACCCTTTTGTACTATTTGAGTTTTTAAAAATATGCACATGGCTGGGCGCGGTGGCTCACGCCTATAATCCCAGCACTTTGGGAGGCCAAGGCGGGCGGATCACCTGAGGTCGGGAGTTCAAGACCAGCCTGACCAACCCCATCTCTACTAAAAATACAAAAAATTAGCCGGGCGTGGTGGCGCATGCATGTAATCCCAGCTACTTGGGGGGCTAAAGCAGGAGAATCGCTTGAACCCAGGAGGCGGAGGTTTCGGTGAGCTGAGGTGGTGCCATTGCACTCCAGCTTGGGCAACAAGAGTGAAACTCCGTCTCAAAAATAAATAAATAAATAAATAAATAAATAAATAAATAAAAGCACATTATTTTCATAATAATATCAAAAGAAGAGAAACCTATTTCCTGTATACATCCATCTAATAAATCCTCAACGTCCTACTTATAATCACAGGAAACCCAGTCCTGGTGACACAGTCCTTCATTCAAATAGTTTTAGAATTTATACAATTTATGATGCAAACTAAGTAACCTCAAAATTCAGAATGGGAATTATGAGCCTAGAATTCAGGCTCTAGAATTCAGAGCCTAAACAAACTTCCTTACCTTTGTCTTTAGGTGCAGTAAATGATCTGCATTTTTAGAGAGTGGAAGAGTATCCCCATTCTTGCCTGAAACAAGAAACTTCCCTGAGATTTTTCTTATGAAAGAAAGAGTATTTGTACATTTTTCTTCTAAAAAGTTACTCCTTGGAAAAATGGAATCTCTATCAGTGGGAAATCAGAAAAATACAAGCTCACTGAGTAAGCTCACAATTTTTGAGGGGTATATGAAGAGAAAGCAGTGAGTACTTCTTTTGCTTCTATCCTCTGATACATCACTAATTCCCTGAAGCTCTAGTCCATAGCCAGGGACACAGGTGGAGTTTGTGTGGCCTCGATTTTAATCCACTGCAAATGAGAGGACTCAAACATTTCCTTAATAAGTCAAAAAGGCCACTAGGCTGTCACTCCAATAAGATCCATGTGATCTTCTTTTTCTACAGGATTATCATTACCCATCATTAAATCTTGTTGTTTTTCAACAGCCTGTTTTCACCTCAGTTAAGCTAGCGCAAACTACGATTCTTCAACCCTTACCTTGACTACACCCTGCAGCGCACCACCTAGAGCCATAAACTTTTAAGAGATGATCCAATATCCTGCTAAAGATTCTAATACTCTAAACAGCTTATTTGCTTTATCTAATGGGTGGGAAAACCATTAGTTAAAATGGACACAAAAGTCTACTTCAGTTTTTCTATAAGCAGAATTCCAACCGCAATTCTGATTTCTGGCTTCTCTCTCCAGTTTTCTTATTGAAAAAAACGTGCTCCCATCTTACCTGTTGCAACTGTGGATCCCAGTCGCCAAAGTTCTAAGTGATGAGCAAACTGGAAGAGGAGAAGCTGCCTCTTTTTAGAACAGGAGATGAGACATCGCTATATCCAAGAATCAAGAAGTTAAAAAAATAAGTCAGGGTCATCTACTGCCTTAGTACCAGATACAGTAGCACCACCTTAGCACATTTTTTACTGCTGAAATCCATTTCCTTGATAAATATTTCCTAAGTACTCCCATATGCCAGGCACTGCCCTGAGATCTATGAAGACGATGATGAATTAAAACATAGCTACTGCTCTCAACATGCTTCTAAAGGGGTGACACAGAATTAAATCAGCAATTAGACTTCAGTGTGCCAAGAATTTTAACACGGCTAAACACAGTATGTACTGAAAAATAAGGAGACAGGACATCTAACCTAGCTGTGTGGTGGTAAATACAGAAGCCCAGATGAGGTTCACTGGGAAAGACCAGTCAGGCGAAGGAGGCAGGGCAGAACATTCTGAGGAGGGTGATGGCATGTGACATAGCTCAAAGGTAAGAGTATTTGAGGGAACAAAAAGACCTTGAGAATGGCTAGCCTGGGTGGGGGTGCTACAAGCACGAGAGGTGCAAAAAGAAGCTGAAGGGCCAGGCCTGGATGGAGACAGGTTCTATAAGACACACTAAGGAAACTGTCTTTATGCTGAAGCCAACAGGGATAACCAGAGGCTTTGAAGCATGGAGTGATGAACAAAGGTGCTTTAAAACAGATCAATGGGCCTGGAGCAGTGGCTCATGCCTGTAATGCCAGCAATCGAGAGGCTGAGGTGCGAGGATTGCTTGAGACCAGGAGTTTGAGACTGGCCTGGGCAAGATAGTGAGATCTTGCCTCTATTAAAAAAAATAAAAAATAAAAAAATTAGCCGAGGCCGGGCACAGTGGCTCATGCCTGTAATCCCAGCACTTTGGGAGGCCAAGGCAGGTGGATCACCTGAGGTCAGGAGTTCAAGACCAGCCTGGCCAACATGGTGAAACCCTGTCTCTACTAAAAATACAAAAAAAATTACCTAGGCGTGGTGGCGGGTGCCTGTAATCCCAGCTACTAGGGAGGCTGAGGCAGGAGAATCGCTTGAACCCAGGAGACTGAGGTTGCAGTGAGCCGAGATTTCACTACTACACTCCAGCCTGGGCAACAAGAGCAAAGCTCTGTCTCAAAAAAAAAAAAAAAAAAAAAAGAAAAACAGAAATTAGCTGAGCCTGGTGGCGCATGCCTGCAGCTCCAGCAACTCGGGAGGCTGATGTGGGAGGACTGCTTGAGCTCAAGAAGCAGAGGTTACAGTGAGCCAAGATTACACCACTGCAGTGCAGCCTGGGTGACGGAGCAAGACCTTGTCTCAAAAAAACAAAAACAAATAAAATAAAATAAGATCAATGAAGAATAGGCTAGAATGACACAAATGCAAATAAAAGGACATGATTAAGAAGCTACTGTAAAGGAACCCAGATGAGAAAAGACACTGATCCAAACTAGGATGATGCCAGCGTAGACAAAGAGAAATGAATGACTCGATTCAAGAGATTATGAGGACTATGTTCAACCTCATCAAACCATATGCATTAAATATGTATGATTTTTAATATATCAAGTATGCCTCAATAGAGCTGTTGATCTATCTATCTATCTATCTATATCTATAACATATGTATAAAGATACTGATGAGTAGACTCAATGAGGTTTACTGCTTGAATGAATGGGGCAGCAGGTGTGGGGAGCAAGTTTTCTAGCTTGGGAAGATGGTACCATTTACCTAGAACACTGGAAGCCTGGGTTTTCCCGCTCCCACCCAGAATAGAGCCTACCCTGAAAGACAAACTAACAAAATTCCCATAACCCACAACTATTTGGAAAAGGGAAAAATTTCCCCAGAAACTGAACTAGGTGTGCTGCTGCATATCTCCTGCCCCCATAAATGTCTTTGCAGTGGCTTGCCTCAAAAACAGAAGGAATGAAGAAGGTAGCTACAGAAAGTCCTACAATATCTCCATGTCCCAGATGGTTAAAAAAAAAAAAAAGGCAGGGGCTGGGCACAGTGGCTCACGCCTGTAAGCCCAGCACTTTGGGAGGCCGAGGCGGGCGTATCACGAAGTCAGGAGATCAAGACCATCCTGGTTAACACAGTGAAACCCCACCTCTACTAAAAATAAAAAAATTAGCCGGGCGTGGTGGTGGGCACCTGTAGTCCCAGCCACTCGGAAGGCTGAGGCAGGAGAATGGCATGAACCTGGGAGGCGGAGCTTGCAGTGAGTGGAGTCGCACCACTGCACTCCAGCCTGGGCGACAGAGAGAGACTCAGTCTCAAAAAAAAAAAAAAAGAAAAAAAAAGGACCACAAAGCTGAGCGTGGTGGCTCACACTTGTAATACCAGCACTTTGGGAGGCTGAGGCGGGCAGATCACCTGAGGTTGGGAGTTCCGAGATCAGCCTGACCAACATGGAAAAACCCAGTCTCTACTAAAGATATAAAATTAGCTGAGCGCGGTGGCGCATGCCTGTAATCCCAGCTACTCGGGAGGCTGAGGCAGGAGAATCGCTTGAACCCGGGAGGTGGAGGTTGTGGTGAGCCGAGATCGCGCCATTGCACTCCAGCCTGGGCAACAAGAGCAAACTCTGTCTCAAAAAAAAAAAAAAAGTCCTACAAATTTGCCGAGCGTGAGCTGTGTTCAGAGCTTGTGGGACAGGGGGACACAGGGATGGGGAGATGAGGGGTTAGCAGGGGCTTGGAATGGACACTTACGTGGGGAAAGGTGATTTTTCGGAGAGCGGCATCGTAATTCTTTACTTCCACCTTCTCCATGAGAGGACGAAAGACTAAGTGGGTGTCAGTGCCTGGGAAAGCAGGGGAGAAGGTGTACAGAATTAGAAGTCATCCTCACGAGAACAGCCAGAACTGGGCAGGGTAAAGCAGCAGCCTCACCAGAGGGGGAACCCACCTCCAGATATCAGCGCTGTTGGGCTGTGGGCCACAGTGCGCACGTCATGAGTGTGATGCTGGAACGGTTTTGTCCGCACCCACTGCTTCTCACTGCTGTTAGATGTCACAGGGACCAGCTGAAAATGGAAGACTGTTCCCTCGGCTGTGCCCACCACGAAACTGTCTTCTTGCTGAGGAATTAAATCATGAGGGAGGTACACGTAAGCAAAACAAGGTCTGGTTGGAAAAATATTCCGAGGCTTTCTGTCTCAGCAGCTTAGGGGTAAACCTATGCCCAGAATCAGTAGGAAAGTTACAAGGGTCTTTTCCTTCCAGAAGCTAAGGATTCCATCAAAGGAGCAAGCTCAGACACTGGTAACAATGCGCCCCCTACTGACAAAATTAACGTCTACAGTACAGCAACGCTTCATATACCCAACATAGATCTCCTTAGAATAGCATTGAGAGAGAGAAAATACCTAGGACCTACTTGAGAAATTTAAATCCTTCGAAAGAACATAAGAGAAAACCTAACAAAGAAATTCATATCATGTTATTTAATACGAATATTTAACATGATCAAGTTATTATCACTAAAGAAATGTATTAAACCAATAAAAATACTGAAAATCCTTTATTTGGAACTAGAACAGGTGTTTCTTAATAACGTTTATTTCATTAAAAATATCCAAGAAACATCAGCCAGGCATGGTGGCTCACTCCTATAATCCCAGCACTTTGAGAAGCTGAGCTGGGTGGATCACTTGAGGCCAGGAGTTTGAGACCAGCCTGGCCAACATGGTGAACCCCGTCGCTACTAAAAATACAAAAATTAGCTGGGCGTGGTGGCGCATGCCTGTAATCCCAACTATTTGGACGGCTGAGGCACGAGAATCACTTGAACCTGGGAGGCAGAGGTTGCAGTACGCCAAGATCGCACCACTGCACTCCAGCCTGGGCAACAGGGCGAGACTCTGGCTTAAAAAAAGAAAAAAAAATGCAAGAAACACCAATAAAAAAGTTTCTTAAATAAACAAGGTGGGCAGAGCAGCACAAACCTGTAGTCCCAGCTACTCAGGAGACTGGGTAGGAGGATCACTTGAGCCCAGAAGTTGGAGACCAGTCTGCACAACATAGTGAGACCTCATCTTTTTTTGTTTGTTTGTTTGTATTTTTTGAGACGGAGTTTCGCTCTGTCACCCAGGCTGGAGGGCAGTGGCATGATCTCGGCTCACTGCAACCTCTGCCGTCCCGGGTTCAAGAGATTCTCCCACCTCAGGCTCCCAAGTAGCTGGGATTACAGGCACACACCACCACACCCGGCTAATTTTTGTTTTTGTTTTTTTTGAGACAGAGTTTCACTCTTGTCGCCCAGGCTGGAGTGCAATGGCGCGATCTCAGCTCACCACAACCCCTGCCTCCTTGGTTCAAGCCATTCTTCTGCCTCAGCCTCCTGAGTAGCTGGGATTACAGGCGTGCGCCACCATGCCTGGTTAATTTTTGTATTATTAGTAGAGATGGGGTTTCACCATGTTGTCCAGGCTGGTCTCAAACTCCTGACCTAGGGGATATACCCTCCTCGGCCTCCCAAAGTGCTGGGATTACAGGTGTGAGTCACCGTGCCCAGGCTTGTATTTATTTTTCAGTATAGACAGGGTTTTACCACGTTTGCCAGGCTGGTCTCAAACTCCTGACCTCAGGTGATCCGCCCGCCTCAGCCTCCCAAAGTCTCATCTTTAAAAAGAATGAAAGAAATAAACAAGAAAAAACAAAACAAAACAAAAAAACACAACTCACAACACAAAAAACCCAAACAAGAGTAGTAATGTGGCTAGATGTGATGGCTCACATCTGTAATCCCGCACTTTGGAAGGCAGGAGAATCACTTCAACCCAGGAATTTGAGACCAACCTGGGCAACATAGTGAGACTGCATCTCTACAAAAAATGTTAAAAACTTAGCCTGGTGGTGCATGCCTGTAGTCCCAGCCACTTGGGAGGCTGAGGTAGGATTGCTCGAGCCTGGGAGGCAGAGGCTGCAGTGAGCCAGGATTACACCACTGCACTCCACCTGGGTGACAGAGCAAGACCGTGTCTCAAAAAAAAAAAAAAAAAGTAATGAAGATATACATCCAAAAGAATTGAAGGCAGGAACTCAAACAGCTATACTAATACAGATTGAAGATTCCTAATCCAGGGCCAGGCGTGGTGGCTCAGGCCTGTAATCACAGCACCTTGGGAGGCTGAGGCGGGCGGATCACTTGAGGTCGGGGTTAGAGACCAGCCTGGCCAACATGATAAAACCCCGTCTCTATTAAAAATACAAAAATTAGGCCGGGCGCAGTGGCTCACATCTGTAATTCCAACACTTTGGGAAGCCGAGGCGGGCGGATCACTTGAAGTCAGGGGTTAGACACCAGCCTGGCCAACATAATGAAACCCCGTCTCTATTAAAAATACAAAAATTAGGCTGGGCACGGTGGCTCACGCCTGTAATTCCAGCACTTTGGGAGGCCGAGGCGGGCAGATCACAAGGTCAGGAGATCAAGACCATCCTGGCTAACACGGTGAAAACCCATCTCTACTGAAAAAAAAAATACAAAAAATTAGCCGGGTGTGGTGGCGGGCGCCTGTAGTCCCAGCTACTTGGGAAGCTGAGGCAGGAGAATGGGGCGTGAACCAGGGAGGCGGAGCTTGCAGTGAGCGGAGATCACGCCACTGCACTCCAGCCTAGGCGACAGAGCAAGATTCCGTCTCGAAAAACAAAACAAACAAACAAAACAACAAAACAAAAATTAGACAGGCGTGGTGGCATGAGCCTGTAGTCCCAGCTAAAAAGAAAAAAAAAGGATTCCTAATCCAAAATCCGAAACTTTTTGAGTGCTAACATGACACCACAAGTAGAAAACTTCACATCTGACCTCATCTGCTGGATCACAGTCAAAACTGTGTTTCATGCACAAAATGAATAAAATATTGTACAAAACTACCGTCAGGCTATGTGTATCAGGGACGTATGAAACATAAATGCATTTCTTGTATAGGCTGGGGTCCCATCCCCAAGATATCTCATTATGTATATGCAAATATTCCAAAATCCAAAAAAAAATCCAAAATCTGAAACACTTCTGGTTCCAAGCACAACCAGATCAGAGACACTCAACCTGTACTTGTACCTCAATGTTCAGAGTAGCATTATTATTTTTTGTTTGTTTGTTTGTTTGGAGACAGAGTCTTGCTCTGTCACCCAGGCTGGAGTGCAGCGGGGTGATCTCAGATCACTGCAACCTCCGCCTCCCTGGTTCAAGCGATTCTCCTGCCTCAGCCTCCCGAGTAGCTGGGACTACAGGCGCATACCGCCACGCCCAGCTAATTTTTTTGTATTTTAGTAGAGACAGAGTTTCACCATGTTGCCCAGGCTGGTCTGGAACTCCTGAGCTCAGCCAATCCACCCGCATCGGCCTCCCAAAGTGGTAGGTTTACAGGCGTGAGTCACCACGCCCGGCTTATTATTATTATTATTATTATTATTATTATTATTATTATTATTTTGAGCTGGAGTTGCACTCTGTTGACCAGGCTGGAGTGCAATGGCACGATCTCAGCTCACTGCAACGTCTATCTCCCGGGTTCAAGCAATTCTCCCGCCTCAGCCTCCCAAGTAGCTGGGATTACAGGCACGCAGCACCATGCAGGCTAATTTTTGTATTTTTTTTTTTTTTTTTTTGAGGCAGAGTCTCGCTCTGTCGCCCAGGCTGGAGTGCAGTGGCGCGATCGCACTCAATGCAAGCTCCGCCTCTCTGGTTCACGCCATTCTCCTGCCTCAGCCTCACGAGTAGCTGGGACTACAGGCGCCCGCCACCACACCCGGCTAATTTTTTGTATTTTTTTTTTTTAGTAGAGATGGGGTTTCACCATGTTAGCCGGGATGGTCTTGATCTCCTGACCTCGTGATCCACCCGCCTCGGCCTCCCAAAGTGCTAGGATTACAGGCGTGAGCCACCGCGCCCGGCTTAATTTTTGTATTTTTAGTAGAGACAGGGTTTCATCATACTGGCCAGGCTGGTCTCGAACTCCTGACCTCAACTGATCCACCCGCCTTGGTCTCCCAAAGTGCTGGGATTACAGGCGTGAGCCACCGCACCTGGCCTAGAGCAGCATTATTTACAACAGCCGAAAGATGGAAACAACCCAAACGTCCACTAATAGATGAATGGATAAACAGAACACACACACAAATATTATGCAGTCTTAGTAAGGAATGAAATACTGATAATGCTGCAAGATGGATGAACCTTGAGAACAATATGCTAAGTAAAATAAGCCAGATACAAAATAACAAATGTTATAAGCAAATTCATAGGAACAGAAAGTAGAATAGAGGTGACCAGAGGCTGAGAGAAGGGAGGAATGAGGAGGTAGTGTTTAATGAGTACAGGTTTCTGTTTGTGGTGATGAAAAAATTCTGAAAATGGATAGTGGTGATAGCTGTACAACAACGTGAATGAACTTTATTCCACTGAAATGTACACTTTTAAAATAGTTTAAAAGTAAATAATGTGGGGAGAATTACAAAACTAATGGTAAAAAGACTAAAGTTTGGAATATCTTTTTTTTTCTTTTTTTTTTTTTGAGACAGAGTCTCTGTTGCCCAGGCTGGAGCACAACGGCACAATCTCGGCTCACTGCAACCTCTGCCTCCCGGGTTGAACTGCTTGAAATATTTTACCAGTTCCCTCATTAAGGAATTACAGAAAATCGGACTTATTTCCATTTCATACTTGTATGAATCATGATTATAACTTTTTTCTGCCTAATCATCATTTAGTAACCTTTTTCACAGATAAGGAAACCAGAGCTCCAAAGGGTTTAAAGCCATGACAAACACGGCCATCTGGCTCCAAAGCCTGTGCTCTGGGAACACCACACTGCCTTAACCTTATGCCAACTCTCTTGCAGGGTCATGACTGTGTACCAGAAAGGAAAGCATTTTCCAAGGACAGCACATAAGGTGGCCCTGAGGAGCCTCTCCCTCTTCTCTAAAGACACTACTTAAAAACCATTAGCCTAAGACAAAAGTGGACATACCCAGCAGCTTAGGAACTCAAACACTCCCCCACCTCCAACGACACAGTTTACTTAATTTACAAAAAAAAAAAGAAAAAGAAAAAGAAAAAGCCAGGGGCGGTGGCTCATGCCTGTATTTTCAGCACTTTGGGAGGCCGAGGCTGGTGGATCACCTGAGGTCAGGAGTTCAAAACCAGCCATGGTAAAACCCAGTCTCTACTACAATTACAAAAATTAGCCTGGCATGGTGGCATGCACCTGTAATCCTAGCTACTTGGGAGGCTGAGTCAGGAGAATCGCTTGAACCCAGGAGACAGAGGTTGTAGTGAGCCGAGACTGCACCACTGCACTCCAGCCTGGGAGACAGAGTGAGAGACTGTCTCAAAAAAATTTTTTAAAAAGGGTAGTTTTCTCAAAGTCCCATCCAGAGAGAGATTTGGAAGACAAGGACTTCTCCTTTACTCTGTATTCTCTTTCTCTTAGGTGAAATCATTATTATTATTATTATTATTGTTATTTGAGATGGAGTCCTGCTTTTGTCGCCCAGGCTGGAGGGCAATGGCATGATCTCGGCTCACTGCAACCTCCGACTCCCGGGTTCAAGTGATTCTCCTGCCTCAGTCTCCCAAGTAGATGGGATTATAGGCGCCCACCACCACGCCCAGCTAATTTTTGCATTTTTAGTAGAGACAGGGTTTCACCATGTTGACCAGGCTCGTCTTGAACTCCTGACCTCAGGTGATCCGTCCGCCTTGGCCTCCCAAAGTGCTGGGACTACAGGCGTGAGTCACCATGCCCGGCCAATAATTAACTCTTAAGTATAATAATTACAACTGCTGTGGATTAAAACTCTATTTTTAAAGGGGAATTTATCCCACTCATTTCAACTTATACCACTATTATCACTTACGTGTGACATCTATGTTTTTCAGGGCCTTAACATACATCAAACTGTTCTAAAAAAACCTGTGATATGGAATAGGAACACTACACTAGAATATGGATGTCGGCATGTGGGATAGCACATCATTCTCAAACTAAGGAGATAAAGAATAAAGGAGCTGGTCAACAAATAAAGTCACTTTCCATGTCTCACTGCTAAAATACTCAAAGGTTTCTGAATGAGAATTCACGTTACCATTCCTCTACAATATTTACGTCATAGAAAATAATAGGCTGGGTGTGGTGGCTCACGCCTGCAATCTCAGCACTTTGGGAGGCCGAGGCAGGCAGATCACTTGAGGTCAGGAGTCAGACCACCCTGGCCATCATGGTGAAAGCCTAAACATATAAAAATTAGCTGGGCACAGAGGCGGGCGCCTGTAATCTCACCTACTTCGGAGGCTGAGGCAGGAGAAATTGCTCCCTGGAGGCAGAGGTTGCAGTGAGCCAAGATTGTGCCACTGCACTCCAGCCTGGGTGACAGAGCTAGACTCCGTCTCAAAAAAATAAAAAAAAAAAGAGAGAGAAAATAGGCCAGGCACAGTGGCTCACACCTGTAATCCCAGCACTTTGGGAGGCCGAGGTGGGTGGATCACCTGAGGTCAGGAGTTCGAGACTAGCCTGCCCAACATGGTGAAACCCCATCTCTACTAAAAATATAAAAATTAGCTGGGTGTGGTGACAGGGGCCTGTAATCCGAGCTACTGGGGAGGCTGAGGCAGAAGAATCGCTTGAACCTGGGAGGCAGAGGTTGCAATGAGCCTAGATCGCGCCATTGCACTCCAGCCTGGGCGACAAGAATGAAACTCCATCTCAAAAAAAGAAAAAAAAAGAACTACTACTAAATAAGACATTTTGGCCAGGTGCCGTGGTTCCTGCCTATAATCCCAGCACTTTGGGAGGCTGAGATGGGAGGATCCCCCAGCCCAGGAATTTAAGACCACCTTGGGTAATATAGGGAGACCCCATCTCTATTTTTTTAATTAAATTAAAAATAAATGCATAAATACAAAGGTATAAACATAGCGCTTCTCCAGATTCTTCTAGGCTGCTGTGCCCTATCTACAATCAAACAAGACGAACTGGAAGTGAGCAGTGTCTAAAGAAAATCTCCCTGCTAACTAATCTCTTGGAGTATCCTGTATTCTCTAACCAATTGTTAGGTACTATGGAAACAATGTGGGTTTTCAGATGCATTTTCCTAAACTCATCTTCCTCCAGTACAACATCAGGATCAGGAACCAGTGTTCATGGCACGTCACTAAGGCTGCTTTCTCAACTCACCCCACAAGGGTGTACATCAACCACTCTAAACAGGGACTGTACTCACGTCAGCTACAGCAATGGACTGCACGTCAGCATTAGCGATGAGATGGCTCTTCACAAGCGTCCCAGTGGCTGAGTCCCAGAACTGCACCTTCCCAGCAGAGTCCACACTTATGATAGTGCCATCGGACAAGAAGGCGACACCCCACACGATGCACTTCCGCTTAGACACGCCCATATACTGCCTGTCCACAATCATCTTATGAACAGCGCTGCCTGAAAAATCAGAAAAGCACACCTTCAAATGGTACTTATTTCTCTGTCTTCAAAATCTGCCTGCGGCCAAAGTGGAAGGACTGCTTGAGCCCTGGAGTTTAAGGCCAGCCTAGGCAACGAAGTGAGACCTCATCTCTACGAAACAACATAACAAACCCGCCTGCGGTAAGCATGATATGGTAGGTGAGCTGACTGAACAGTCAGCCTATAAATGGTAGTTCTGGTGAACCTGATCTCGGAACTCCAAAATGGTTACCTGAAGAGAAGGGGTGTTGGGAGAGCCTAACAGGAAAGGGATAGAAGGTGCAAGGGAGGGAGGAAGGGAGGGAAGAGAATGAGAACAGAAACCCCTTTGGTGGGGTGAAATGGAAAGAGACATTTGGGACATTCACTTAAAGCTGGTCAACTGCACACACACATTACACTCTGCTCTTTTCCAAAATCCCACAGGAAAGGGAGAGATCAGTGACAAAATTTGGGGAACTGGAAAGCAGACAAGTAGTGGCACTGACTTAGCAGAGCCCTGAAACTAAGTCCCAGGTCGGCAGAGAGGAAAGCCAAGAAGCCACCTGATTTATACTATGGAATCCTTGGACTCAGGAATTGGGGACCCCAGATATTCTAGAAAAGGAGTAAGTGGGGCTTCAAAGAGGGATCCGTTAACAGCTGGTAGACCCCTCAGATAGCCATGCCCTGACTAAGAAGGTGGGAAGCTCCCAAAATGCACGTCAGCAGAATACTGGAGACGTTGTCTGAGGAGGGCTATCAGGCAGAAGCAGTATATGAAAACCAGGATTAAGTGAACATTTCTCACTGAATGTTGAGAACACCATTCTTTTTTTTCCCCTTAGAATGCTGATAGCCAGGCCAATACTCACCAGGCAGGAGAATGAAAAACCATTTCTGAGGAACATAACTGACACAAAAGAAAAGATCTGAAGATTCTGGCTTCAGGGCTACCCCAAATAAGCAGTCCAGCCAGATCATTCTTCAGTGAAACCCAAGCTCAGTAAGCCACATGATGCAGTGATGAGATGATCACCAGACATGAGGAAAGCCTTTAACATGAAAGGCAGAGGCCAAACGGACTAACAGAAACAAATAAATGAATAACAGGGAAGAAACAGGCAGAGTGAAAAACACTTGACAATTATTAATAGCCTTAGAGAAGAGTTTCGGGGTGAGGGGAGGGGGGAGGGATAGCATTAGGAGATATACCTAACGCTAAATGACGAGTTAATGGGTGCAGCACACCAGCATGGCACATGTATACATATGTAACTAACCTGCACATTGTGCACATGTACCCTAAAACTTAAAGTATAATAATAATAAAATAAAATAAAATAAAAAAAGAAAGAGAAGAGTTTCTGTATAATGAAACATAAAGAGAATGCTGTAAAAAAGAAGATTCACGAAAAAAAAGAACTCTGGAAATGTCAAAAATGAAAAACTCAATAGAGGATTCAAAGATAAAAAAGACAAACTCTCCCAGAAAGCATAGTAAAAAGACAAAGAAATGAAAAATAAGAGTAAAAGAATTTCCCCCCAGAACTGAAGGACGTGGGTATTGGATTAGAAGAACCTACCAGGTGTCCAGAACAATTAATTGATCCACATACCAAGAAACCTAATTATTACATTTCATAACAGTAAGGATAAAACATCCTAAAAGCTCCTGGGGGAAAAAAAAATAAAACAGGTCCTACACAAAGGGATAACTCTCAGAATGGCAGCTTACTTGCTAATAATACGAGGAGCTGGAAGACAGCGGAGCCAGGGCTTCAGAATTCTAAGGGAAAAGAATTTCCAACCTAGAATTCTTTCTCATGCACTCTTACTCAGGATCCACCAAAGGGTAAACCAAGAAAGTGAATAACACAGAAATGGGAGATCCTATCCGATAGAGAAGCAAAGGAGATCCCGAGAACAATGGAAAAATCAATCAGAGTTTCAGATCTCACAGCTGTGCAGCAGGCCCAGAGTGGCTAAGCCAGATGGGAGTGGGTCAGAAGGCACCGGGAGGGACTTATTCACAAAGATAAAAGTGGAGAAAGAAAATCAGATGGACTTGAACCTAATTTATGCAACTGGAAAAATGTGGGAATGTATCAGTAAGACAGAGAGACAGAGACACTATTAAACAATAAGTATACCGGAAAAGAAAGAAAATTTACTATGTGAGTAGTATATACATAGTCATAATAATGAAAACATCAATTACTAATTTGAACAAAGTTATAATATAACCATACTGGGAGGATCGGGAGGAAGTGTGGATGCCTGTGGCAGACGGTAGAAAAAGAGGGGCAAGTTGCAGAAGTCAGTAAAAAATGGTCTAAAGCTGAAAAATCAAAATGTAGCATAAAAAGCATGCTAGGATCTGCAGTGATAGATACCAAAAGAATCAGCTAAGGGTCACAAGTGGTTGCCTCGAGGAGAGTGAGAGAGATATAGAAGGACTCCCTCTTTTTTGTAATAAGCTTAAGGGATTTTTTTTTTTTGAGACGCAGTTTCACTCTTGTTGTCAGGCTGGAGTGCAATGGGGCGATTCTCCTGCCTCAGCTTCCTGAGTTGATGGGAATACAGGCATGCACCACCACCCCGGCTAATTTTGTATTTTTAGTAGAGACAGGGTTTCTCCATGTTGGTCAGGCTGGTCTTGAACTCCCGACCTCAGGTGATCCACCCACCTCGGCCTCCCAAAGTGCTGGGATTACAGGCATGAGCCACCGCGCCCAGCCAACCTGTTTTATCTCTGCATCTCAGACGGAAATACAGACATGTCCACCTAACAAGTTGAGATCAACCCTATCAATGAAGGATTCTATGAAGCCAATTTTCCAGGCCAAGAACAGAAAATATCATGGTTCTCTGCTTTTCTGATCTCATGTTTCACCAATTATGCTACAAAAATCTTATGTTCCTCAATGACAGAAGCCCATTTTTACCAAGGACTGGGATCTATAAATAGGTAATTCTACTGTTTATAGTACACGAATGTACTAGTTCAGAGTATTTTATTGTGAATTCTTATTACGATGAATGAAAAATACTATATCTTACTGAAGATCCAAGATTCCCCTAAAAGCAGTGGTAGTAATCCAAGAAAGGAGTAAAATTAATTGTGGACATCTCAGAAGATTAATGACATGTTAGGCCATAAAGGTCATGAAACCATGACAAAGGCTCAAGCTTTTGAAAACTCAGAAATGTGAATCTGACAAAACCCACACCCCAAATGAACTGAAAAAAACAATCACCTGATTTGACATCAAACACACTAATGTAGTCTATGGAACCAGCTGCAATGTGGGTACCAGAGGGATGCCAGCTGAGACTCAGGATGCGACCTTGGGAGTTGGACAACAAAAAAAGAAAGTGACATACACATAAATATACGAAGAGTAACTGAGCTCTCTTCCCACAACTATCTCTAGAGTGTTCTACAATCTTAGCTCTCTCATCTATAGTACTCCTTGAAGCACCATTTTATTTATTTATTTATTTATTTATTTATTTATTTATTTATTTATTTTTGAGACGGAGTCTCCTCTGTCGCCCAGGCTGGAGTGCCGCAGTGGGATCTCGGCTCACTGCAACCTCCGCCTCCCAGGTTCAAGTGATTCTCCTGCCTCAGCCTCCCTAGTAGCTGAGATTACAGGCACCTGCCACCATGTCTGGCTAATTTTTGTATTTTTAGTGGAGATGGGGTTTCACCATGTTGGCCACGCTGGTTTCGAACTCCTGACCTCAAGTGATCCACCCGCCTCAGCCTCCCAAAGTACTGGGATTACAGGTGTAAGCCATCGTGCCCAGCTGAGACACCTATTTTCTATTTCATACTTGACAAAATGTATGAGATTTTTAAAAAGCATTGTATTACCTTTGTAATTGAGAAAGAACACCCAGGCCGGGTGCAGTTGCTCATGTCTGTAATCCCACCACTTCAGGAGGCCGAGGTGGGTGGATCACGAGGTCAGGAGGTCAAGACCAGCCTGGCCAACATGGTGAAACCCCGTCTCTACTAAAAACACAAAAACTAGCCGGGCATGGTGGCACGCACCTGTAGTCCCAGCTACTAGGGAGGCTGAGGCAGGAGAATTGCTTGAACCCAGGAGGCAGAGGTTACATTGAGCCAAAATCACGCCACAGCACTTCAGCCTGGGCGACAAAGCAAGACTCCATCTCAGGAAAAAAAAAAAAAAAAAAAAAAAAAGAGCACCCAAGATATATTAAAAACGAAGCAAGAATCTGATTAGCAGAGGATAAGTATTACTAATGGACACAGAGGACATTTGCTATTCTAGAAGATGGGTCACCAAACTGTGGCCCACAGGCCAAATCAGGCCCACTGCTTGTTTTTGTAAATAAAGTTTTTACTGGAGCACAGCCTGCCCATTAGTTTCAGTATCGTCTATGGCTGCTTTTGCACTACACTGACAGAGTTGGCAGACAATGTAGGTTTGGCAAAGCCTAAAATGTTTACTATCTGGTCCTTTACAGAAACAGTCTGCCAACCCCTGTTCTAAAGGGTCAATGCCAATTCAGCCCAGGTGGAGCCCAAGGATGGGCAACTGTTTATAAACTCCCTCATTCAACTTGAATGCACCAGAAGGATTAAGAACCACAGTTCCTTGGCCAGGGCAAGTGGCTCAGGCCTGTAATCCCAGCACTTGAGGCCAAGGCAGGTGGATCACTTGAGTAAGACCAAGAGTTCGAGACCAGCCTGGCCAACATGGTGAAATCCTGTCTCTACTAAAAATACGAAAATTAGCAGGGCACGATGGCACGTGCCTGGAATCCCAGTCACTTGGGAGGCTGAGGCACCAGAATCACTTGAAGCCGGGAGGCGGAGATTACAGTGAGCCGAGATCATGCCACCGCCACTGCCAGCATGGATGACAGAGTGACACTCTGCCTCCAGAAAAAAAAAAAAAAAGAAAGAAAAGAACCATAGTTCCTAATGACAAAATTGTAGTTCAAGACTTCATGTACGCTTGTTAAAACATCACAAAAGTAAGTGATAACTAACAAATTGACTTCCACAGAAACACTAGCTTTCCAATTTTGGATTTCTGGTTTTCTATATTATTACTTAACCAAGCAGTCACAACTATGCTATACAATGGGTAAAGCCTGGGCTGGGGATGGCTTCTAGCACATACCCTCCCTGTACCCAGTAGAGATAAAATATTACCTGGATTCATGGGAAAATATCCCATCCCCAGTGGCACAGAAACTTAATTTCTTGTTAAGGCTATTTACCGCCCCATGAAAAATGACGCTTACTTTTCTGCCGATCAAAATTTCTTTCAAACTGGATTTTGTCTGGGGTAATTTGAAATAGTTTCACAGATCCATCTTCACAACCAACCTATTTGAGAAAGAGGTAGTAAACAGAAAAAATCAATAGTAAACATTTTATAGGACTAAACACACACACACACCCCCCAACACACACTCTCTCTATTCTCTCTTCCTCCTTAAAGCTATCAGTTGCCGTGAAAAAGAAAAATCATTTGTGAGAGAAAGTACTAGTTATCAAGAAACTAATAGTGTATTCTCAGTAGCCTTCATATCCTAGACAGAAAACAGACTGATATTAAGAGTTCTAATTAGTGGCCCCATTCCTCTGTATGACATGGATTAGAAGTAGGATTTCATAGAATACTTCTGCTAGAGACCCTTGGCCTAAATAAAAGACCTACTAACATTATAACCTAAATGGAAACACCTTCAGATATCGTGCAAATTAGTGCAGATCAAAAATAATCAGACTCATCACAGAATTAAAGATCTGGAAGCACCCACTCTAATGGTAATTATGGGAAGGGGCTCAGTGTGTGGTCATATTTTTGAGAAACACTGGGCTGAAACACAAGTGCACAGGTTAACTTGCTGAAGGGACTCTCAGAACTCTTCATGTACCGATGTGCATTGTGAATTTACAGCAGGATTAAATATGCTGTATTTGTGAAATGAAATTTACCATAAAACACAAAACAAACCAAAACAAAAAAACCTCTACATCTCCAAATTCCACAGAACACAGTTTGGGAAATGTTGAACTGATGTAATCCTCTCATTTCATAAATGAATCAACAAGGTCCAGACTAGTAGCAAAAAGAATGCTGGGGATTTTTAAAATCTTCACTATCAATTCCAATCTTATAGTTGGGGTTGCCACATGCCATAATATATCGTTACTCTCCTATGAGCACAGGGAAGAAAGTCTGAGCAGGCACGAGAGAAATTTTGGTTTGAATTACCAATAGTTGCTTACTAACCAAAAGTTGAGAGCCACTGGGGCTGGCAGCCATGCTCCAAATAGGTCCTCCAAAGGCATCCATAGCATACTTGATGTTTAACGCCTGTAAATCATACTCCATAATCTCGCCATTGAGCCCAGCACTAAAGAGTCGC
The DNA here is from genome assembly GCF_000001405.40 of Homo sapiens. Classification (NCBI taxonomy): domain Eukaryota; kingdom Metazoa; phylum Chordata; class Mammalia; order Primates; family Hominidae; genus Homo; species Homo sapiens. Next base: position 69,136,751 of record NC_000016.10, on the reverse strand, counting down.
TGTCCTTCTGCCCAGCACAAAGCTTCTGTAGCCCGAGACTCATGACCTGGGAAAAACTGCAGAAACACCATAACTTCTCAACATTACCACAAATTCATCAGGTACCGGTACTGAGTGGTCACAGGCAACATGGTAAAAACAACTTCCCCATAAATAACTAGTGTGGGGTTTTGTGCTATCAGATCATGCCTAATGACATTTTCATTTTTTCAGCTCAAATTCTAATTACTTTTATACAGTTAAATTTGTTTCTTTTACTAGGACTAGTTCGGCAAAACATTTTCAGCAGAAAAGGTTTGAACTGCATTCCAGCCTGGACGACAGAGTGAGACACTGTCTCTACAAAAAATATAAAAAGTAGCCGGGTGTGGTGGCACACACTTATAGTCCCAGCTACTACGGAGGCTGACGGGGGAGGATTGTTTGAGCCTGGGAGGCGGAGGCTGCAGTGAGCCTTGGCCTCCCAAAGTCCTGGGATTATAGGCGTGAGCCACTGCACCCAACCCAAAAGTTTTCGTAGCTATCAAGGCATTTTATGCTTAGACCTGCTTGACGAAAAAGGAACTAAGTAGGTATAATTTTTCCTATTTCAACTTGAAAAGGCCAAGATATACATGGGTTAAGTAGGTTGCCAAAAGTGCCAAAGTCAATTGCATGAGGCAAATGAAGGTCTCCTTACTCCTAGCTCATATGCTCATATTCTTTCACTTTTTTGTTTTTTGGAGACAGAGTTTCGCTCTTATTGCCCAGGCTGCAGTGCAATGGCGCCATCTCAGCTCACTGCAACCTCCGACTCCCGGGTTCAAGCGATTCCCCTGCCTTAGCATCCTGAGTAGCTGGGATTACAGGCATGTGCCACCACGTCCCGCTATTTTTTTTTGTATTTTTAGTAGAGACGGGGTTTCTCCATGTTGGTCAGGCTGGTCTCGAATTCCCGACCTCAGGTGATCTGCCCACCTTGGCCTCCCAAACTGCTGGGATTACAGCCATGAGTGAGCCACCGCATCAGGCCCACTTTTATTTATTTATTTTTTTTGACACAGGGTCTCATTTTGTCACCCAGACTGGAGTGCAGTGGCACGATCTTGGCTCAATGTAGCCTCAACCTCCTGAGCTCAAGCGATCCTTCCGCCTCAACCCTCCAAGTAGCTGGAACTATGGGCATACAACACCACACCTATCTAATTTATTTATTTATTTTTTTAGGGATGGGGTCTCACTATGTTGCCCAGGGTGGTCTTACACTCCTGGGCTCAAGTGATCCACCTGCCCTGGCTTCCCAAAGCGCTGGGTTTACAGGTGTGAGCCACTCTGCCCTGCCTCTTTTCACTTTAACGTACTAATTTTTTCTTGCTCTGAGAGTCACTGACAGAGCTAAGCAATCGTATCTAGTAGGAAAGGGAATATAGGGAAAGCAGGAAACCAGCCTGAGTTAATTAATTGTTGAAGAATAAAGAAAACAGATGAAGGAGAAAAGAAAATAAGGAACACTAGGTAAGGAATGGTTGACTTATCCATTCAAGAAACATTAAGCAGTGGCTTTGTAGGAGGCGCTTGATAAATGGTGGGAATGCAGATGTGAGTATCACTGACATGGTTCCTATCCTCATAAAATTGGAAGTTCAGCATGGAAGAAAGACATTAAACAAACACACAAATTATATAGTTATAACTGTTACAAATGACAAACAGAAAAATCATAATATGGCCATGACTGTTAAAAAAAAAAAAAAAGAAGAAGAACAAGACCAAGAAAAAGATAATCAGTCTGGTATGAGGGCTCACACCTGTAATCCCAGCACTTTGGGAGGCTGAGGTGGGCAGATCACTTGAGGTCAGGAGTTCGAGACCAGGCTGGCCAACATGGTGAAACCTCGTCTCTATGAAAATAAAAAAATTAGCGAGGCATGGTGGCACACCTGTAATCCCAGCGACTTGGAAGGCTGAGGCAGGAGAGGGAGGCAGAGGTTGCAGTGAGCCAAGATCACGCCACTGCACTCCAGCCTGGGTGACAGAGCAAGACTCCGTCTCCAAAAAAAAAAAAAAAAAGAAAAAGAAAAAAAAAGAAAATCACAGGATGCAATAAGCACACGCCAGCGCATGTTCTTCATACCACAGAATGTAACCCATTTGTGGTGGTCCTGTAGTTTTTACCTTTTGATTAGTTCTTCAGGGGTGAGCTCAGTAAATCATCCCTTTCCACATTTCCTAAACCCACCTCTCAGGGAAGGCAATTCTCTGAATTGCCTTCCCTGAAGGCAATTCAATGAAGGTTCTATGCCTGTGTTTCGGTTTATCATATTTATTTTACAGGTTGGAAACTGTACACTTATCTTTCTCCCACTGGTCTTTGAGCTCCGTAAAGTTAGGGCCTCTGACATTTGTCTTAGTGCCCAGTATTTGCCACTCATTCACCGAGAAACATTTACAGAATGCCTAAATTCCAGGTACCAGGCTGCTGGGCACTGAATTCACTCATTTGCCCATCTACTCATTTATATCACAGCACCCAGTACATAACAGTCATTCAACATGAACTAAGATGTTGCACCCGAAGAAAATCACTAGTCAGTGCCCTTGGAGGGGAGAAGAAAAAGGACTAATAGACCTCTGCATACACCCAAAGGACATTTTACCTAATTTTAAATCTCCTTTACTCCCAAATGTAGACATGTAGGTCTACATTCTCTCAGACAGATGAACTTTGGAATCCATCTTCCCACATCACCAAAAAGTTTCTGATATTAAAACGTGTTATCATTTTTTCTGAATTGACAATGAAACAGTACTGATACTCCCTGCAGGAAATTTTGCTTACCAAAGCTGCAATGGTGTTGAGACTGATATACCAACAATTTCCCTTCCTGTGTCCAAAAGATCCAGCAAACCTCAGTTTCCAATGACAGGCAGTGAGATGTCACATTTCTAGGTAGGACCCTTCTAATCAACATTACACAGATTGAAACTGAGCTTCTCTTATCAGTTAGGAGATCTCAGAAGTTTGGTAGTTCTAAGCAACTTCAGAGGGGCTAGGAAGTCACTCAATCAGTTTGATTATAAAAGACATACAAGCTTCTTGAACTTCAGAAGAAATTAACATCAAAACACCATATCAGACTCCCAAATGACTTACTTTCTCCTGAAAGTAGTTTGCTGACAAGTTATAAATTTCCACAGTGCCATCTGTTCGTGAAACAGCCAATCTGTTTGACTGGTTATTGTAAGCCACACAGCGGATTCCTGATGGAACATAATTAAAGAAACGTACTCGATGGACCTTAAATTCACCCATTCCTAGGGGGCGAAAAGAGAGTCATTATTGCTATATGTTAACTGCAGTATGTCACATATAGTATTCAGTTCCTTAATATCACTGTTCTGGCTGGAAGGCTCCAACAACATCTCCCTGAAGTTCATTTCCAAATGGCTGCTAACAATGCCCCCCACAAGAATTACTCAATCTTCAAAAGCTCAGAATGGCTTGAATAATAAGGAGGCTTCAGCAAAAAATCAAAAAGGGTCCTACTCCATAGCTCCAGAGTTCCTATCTCGGGGCGCCTAGGAATCCGCATTTTAGCAAGCATCTCTCCTCAACTCTATTGCTAAGTTTGCAAACAACAGACCTAAACTGAGGTAGTGACAGTGAGGCTGATGGGGCAGGCAGAACCGAGCTCCTCTTGAGGAAGAAACGACAGGGTTTGACTTAATCTGGCTGCCTGGTCTGACGTCTGTCACTTACCCTACCCCGTCCCCCCGACGCCCGCCAACATATATACTGGCCGAGAGTAGAGACCAGGTCTTGTTCGCCCCTCACTGGCCTAGCTTCAAGGTTAGGAACCCGCAGACAGAGCAAGCGCGTTCGGTCGGGCCGGGGCGTCTGAGGCGCGCGCGGTCTTCGCCTCCCCTTCCCTCTCCCCGAGTCTACAGAGTAGCCCCCACCCCGCCTCGGGACAAGGAGACCCTCGGGACAAGGAGCTCAGCCGGACGCCGACCCTGGGCCGGCCACCTTGTAAGACCCCCCCAGCTCTCGCAGCCGCTTCCCACGCCCCTTCCCCAACTCACCAGCGGCCCCACGCTCCCCTTCCCGGTGCTCGCCTCTCTCCGCCCCGGCCCCACGTGCGCGCGCGCTCTCAGGCTCTGCCCCGGAAGTGCTCCTGGCGCATAGTCGGAAGTGCGCAGGCAGTGCTCGCGGCGGCGGCGACGGCGGCGGGAGGTTCGGTTGTCGCCCGTTGGCCGCGCGGCGCCGCGCTCGGCGGCCGCCATTGCAGGTCAGGCCGCGGGCGGGGGGCACGGGAGGCTGCGGGGAGCGAGGGCCGAGCCGGGATTGGGGGCGAGGGCGCGAGGGAGCGGGAAGCTAGGGAGCCGGGGCCGGGCGGGGCGCGCGGCTCGGAGAGAAGAATGGCGAGCCGAGGGGCGGGGAGCGCGGGCGGGGGAGGGGTGGCCGGGAAGGGGGAGGGCGGCGGGAGGGCGGCGCGGAGGTGGGGGCAAGCCCGGAGGGGCCTCCGGGGTGGGAGGGCCAGGAGTGTGGGGGAAGGGAGCGGTGTGGAGACGGAAGGCGGAGGGAAGGAAGGGAGCGAGCGGGGCGGAGCGGGAGAAGGGCGGAAAGGGTGGCCGAGCGCGGGCGGAGGACGGAGAAGGGGGCGGCGAGGGCCGGAATCTCGAGGTACGTGCGGGAAGGGGCTCTTCCCGGGGTTGGGAGGGAGCCCAGCCCGCTATGCTTGCGGGAGCGGAGTAGAACTGGAACCTAGGAAGTAGCGGGAAGAGCAGAAAGGGGAGTTCGGGGTGGGGGTTAGGACCGTGAGGTTTTGTTCCAGGTAACATTTGTAATCGTGGAGGGGGGAGGCTTCTGGGAGAGGTAATTGGAAGGGTGGTTGGAGAGTCATTCCAGGTTCTTTTGTGGGAGGGAAGCCGAGAGACGAGTGGGGTGGGGTCCTGGAGGAGTGGAGTACTTGAGAACCGGGAACAATTTGGAGAACGAGGGTGGTAGAGAAAGGACGTTTAAAGAGTAATCTTTGGGAAGAGGGTGAACGGTTTGGAAGACCACTCCAGTGGGTGGTGTGGAGGAAGGCGGTTTAAAGAATAGTTTCCCTGGGAGGCAGGAAAAGGGGTTAAAACAGCTTGTAATTTGGAGGGGGGTGGAGAAGAGGGGGGAAGCGGATTGAGAAGTCCCAGAAAGTGGGTGGGACTAGAAATAGGAAGTGTTTGTAGCTCTAGCAGAAAGGGTGGGAGGGGGCCGAGAGGGAGTGGGTGGAGAAGATGGGGGTGGGTGGGAGGAAGAGCACAGAGGGAGACTCTACGCCGGGCTAGAAAGGAAAGGGTTTGGGGGAGTACAGGGGGCCGTACCATTAAGAGGAGGACAGGCTAAGATGGGGCTGCAGAGTAGCAGAAGATGGAGAAAACTGCAGTAACTCAGATCGACTGAAGCCATCTTTTCCACCCATTGCTACAAATACCAGTAATTGATTCCCTCCAACGTGGGAATCCTAAAATGTGATGGGAAGTATCACGTGTATGCATAGCATCCACACACGTTTTTGAACACACTTCACTAATGTAAAGTTTGGAAGCATTCAATTCCACCAACCCTCCATAAGCCCCTTTTTGGAGGGGAGCAAGATTCTCATTTGGAAACAGGATTTTAGACTTAGTAACATAAGCCTTTCAAGAGACAAGATCCCCTTCAAAAGTATAGACCTGTCCCCTTCAGTTACAAAACCACGATAACACTACAAATAAAAATAATCTGTATTCGGTTGTATGTAAAACGTTCTGAGTTGTTCACTTGGTAGAAAGGCACATAGAGACATAGTCATCATATTTAGAGAAATTACCTTCCAGAACTTAATCCCTGAAGCAGTTTGGTGAACCACAACTGCCATGTTTGAATTCTACTGTTATGAAAACTTGATTTTATTCTGATGACCTGCTGCTTTCGTAGAATGCTTTAGTCCGTTATAAACATTAATATGCTAACACAGTGTAGTATTAAGACATTCTATTTGATGAATACTAAGAAAATGCCACCTTTCTCTGGGAAATCGATAGCTTGACCCTGAAGGCTTACCATGTGTCAGACAATGTGCTAAAAGCTTTACATTCATTACTCGTTCTTGCAACAGCCTTTCAAAATAGGTGTTTATGCCCAGTGTATTGTTAGGAAAACACGTGAGGTTAAACTACCCACTGTCACATATGGGATAGGTGGCAAAATCACAGAATCCAGGTCTGTATGACAAGTGAGTGCTTCACTATATTCGTAAACAAAGTATCCACCCTGGGATCAAAAAACAAAAGCTCAATAAATGCCAACTGTTGGCCTAGCAAAAAATAGAAAATTGTGAATATTTACACTCTGAAATAATTGATTTCACCCCAGTTTAGAAAAGAATGTTTAAGGGTTGAGAATTTAAAGGCTTGGTTTCCTGTTTGAAAAAAAAACAAAATTTCTAAAACGTTGTTTAGCTTTATTAAAATTTAGTTATTTGTATTGAGGTTAAACCGTTGAGTCAAAGCCTCTTTTTTGCTATAAGCCATATGTTCGGTTTAATTGGATACATATCACACTTTCTTCTGCCACATTTTATTTTGAAGGATTATGAGGATCATTGCTCAGGCTGTTCTGTTCTCTGTAAGACAGTAATCTTTTAACAATTTAATATTTAACAATTCAGAGACCAGAGGGTAAGAATTAAATTCTGTGGAAGATTAAAATGAATACTTGACAAAGAATGTCCTCTATTCTCTTGACTTTCACATTCAGGAGCAGAGGGTAAAGCTTTGCGTCCTAGAGGTGGCATTGAGTAGATTTTTCTAAAAGTTTCAAAAACTGAAACATCTCAATTGGGTATGATAAAAAGCAAGCTGCTTCTTTGTTTTTAGCTGCCTACCCCACAGATATAATACTTTGGTGGCAAGTTACAAGGTCTTTCCATAGGTTACTTTGCCATTTTGTAAGAGATGCTGTGAGAACGAGGCTAATATTTGTAAAGCAAGGGAAGTTATCATACAGAGGTGCTTTACAGGAGGGGGCTGTGTGAGGAGAACTGCAAGAGGGGCCAGATTGTGGAGGGGTTAGGGTTCATATCCCAGCTCTCCACTTAAGTAGCTGTGTGACCAGTTAACATTTAGCTCCTCTAAGCCTGTTTCCTCATTTGTGAAATGGGAGTGAGAAGACCTTGCTAAAAGCATAGGGTGTCAGGGTGAAATAAGAGGATACAGATAAGTGAACGAGGCTAGCTTGTGAGAAATGAAGCCTTTTGTATTATAAAAATAATGTTCTGCCTGGACTTTACTTTTCTTCCTTTTTTTTTTTTTTTTTTTTTGTGACGGAGTCTCGCTCTGTTGCCTAGGCTGGAGTGCAGTGGCGTGATGTCGGCTCACTGCAACCTCTGCCTCCTGGGTTCACGCCATTCTCCTGCCTCAGCCTCCTGAGTAGCTAGGACTACAGGCACCTGCCACCACGCCCGGCTAATTTTTTGTATTTTTACTGGAGAGGGGGTTTCACTGTGTTATCCAGGATGATCTCGATCTCCTGACCTCGTGATCTGCCCGCCTCGGCCTCCCAAAGTGCTGGGATTACAGGTGTGAGCCACCGCACCCGGCCTCTGCCTGGGCTTTTCTTAAGAAATCATGGTGGTGCTTTGATTTGCCAGTTTTTTTTTTGTTTTGTTTCAGTTTGTCTGTTTTTTGAGATGGAATCTTGCTCTGTCACCCAGGCTAGAGTGCAGTGGCACAGTCTCGGCTCACTGTAACTACCGCCTCCCAGGATCAAGCGATTTTCCTGCCTCAGCCTCCTGAGTAGCTGGGATTACAGGTGAGCGCCACCATGCCTGGCTAATTTTTGTATTTTTCGTAGAAACTGGGTTTCACCATGTTGGTCAAGCTGATTTCGAACTCATGACTTCATGATCTACCCGCCTTGGGCTCCCAAAGTGCTGGGATTATAGACGTGAGCCACCGTGCCTGGCGGGTTTTTTATAATAATAGTTACTAATTTCAAAAGAGAGAGAGAAGCCAAATGCTGGTTAAATAAGGTATATTCTAGAGTGGTCTGATTACAGCCAAAGCTTTTTAGTTTTGGGTAGGGTTCCCATTGTGGGTCAGGATTGATTCTTTGAATGCTGGTGCCTTTTTGAGGGGAAAAAAGTTTCCTTTACTGAGATAAAGTCGTTTGACTAACTTAGGAATACAGAATTTATGTATTGTTTAGTTCATTTAGCTGCGTGAAGGCCCATAAAGATCAAGTAGAAAACTTTTTTCCCTCCTCATGAGATTGGGGACAGGATACATAATTTATTGCAGGGAAAGGTTTGGTTTTCTTTATACCTTCTTATCTTTCCAAGGCTACACATGAGTTGTGGCCTGTGAGTCTGATACCACACTGTAATATAATGAATTTAAATCTTTTTGAAAAGCTACATCACAGAAGTCTCTCCCTGGCTCTGCAGTTAACCTTGTCAACCTAGAATTATTGTTCCTAACGAAAGACATGTTAGTCCTAGCCAAATCTGGGGTTGAACTCTGCTCTTAAGAGATAGTTAGCCGGGCGCTGTGGTTCACGCCTGTAATCCTGGCACTTTGGGAGGCCGAGGCGGGTGGATCATGAGGTCAGGAGTTCAAGACCAGCCTGACTAATAGGGTGAAACCCCATCTCTACTAAAAATACAAAAATCAGCAAGGCGCGGTGGCAGGTGCCTGTAATTCCAGTTACTCGGGAGGCTGAGGCAGGAGAATCCCCTGATCCTGGGCAGCGGAGGTTGCAGTGAGCCGAGATTGCGCCACTGCACTCCAGCCTGAGTGACAGAGTGAGACTCTGTCTCAAAAAAAGAAGAAAGAGAAATTTGGCCGGGCACGGTGGTTCACGCCTGTAATCCCAACACTTTGGAAGGCCAAGGTGGGCAGATCACTTGAGGTCAGGAGTTCGAGACTAGCCTGGCCAAGATGGTGAAACCCTGTCTCTACTAAAAATACAAAAAGTTGCCGGGTGTGGTGGCGGGCGCCTGTAGTCCCAGCTACTTGGGAGGCTGAGGCAGGAGAATCACTTGAACCTGGGAGACAGAGGTTGCAATGAGCTGAGATCGAGCCACTGCACTCCAGCCTGGGCAACAGAGGGAGACACTGTCTCACAAAAAAAAAAAAAAAAAAAAAAAAGTTGCCGGGAGAGCTCTTCCACTGACTCTCTTTTAGTTTCTTGACTTCATGTATAGCGTATTCATCAAATCGTGCCTTCAGATGCTCTTGATAGAGCTGCAATTTCTAAACAAGCCCCATCTTAGAACAAACAACTAGAAATTGCTCTAGTCGTCTTTCAGTGTTGCTGGAATGAATTGAGACTGAAGACTTAGACATATTCTTCTTATACAGATAATTTCCATTGTTATGCTTGTGATTTCTAATAGGGATTTATTTGTATTGTACTTCTTCCCCACCTCTTTTTTCTACTCACTCTGTCTACTCTCAAGGGGATGGGGGCACATTGGGTTGCATGTTCTCATATGCTTTTTTTTTTTTTTGAGACGGAGTTTTGCTCTTTGTTGCCCAGGCTGGAGTGTGGTGGCGCAATCTCAGCTCACTGCAGCCTCCGCCTCCCAGGTTCAAGCAATTCTCCTGTCTCAGCCTCCCGAGTAGCTGGGATTACAGGCACCCGCCACCACGCGCGGCTAATTTTTGTATTTTTGGTAGAGATGGGGTTTCACTATGTTGGCCTCAAACTCCTGACTTCAGGTTATCTGCCCACCTTGGCCTCCCAAAGTGCTGAGATTACAGGCATGAGCCACCGCGCCCGGCCTCATACACTTTTTAATCAATTCTACACTGAATGAAATATATACTCCCTGCCACCTCCATCAGGTGTGTCCTCAGGGGAGTACTCAGGAATCCCTACCTACTGTGCCCTAGAAACAGTTGTGTGGAGTAGAATCTCAAGGAGCAAGAAAAGAAATAACAGAATTCAGGTGTTACAGGATATTTTAAGGTGCTAAAGTAGAATTTTAAAATTCACTAAAGGATGCCCTCCTCTACGTTCCTGACTAGTAGTAAATACACCCACGTGCGTATAAATTACCTAACTGTAGCCAGAGCAGTCTGTAAGTTCCTGTGAACTAAACTCTTAGAAGCTGGGCTCGAACTTCATTTCTACATACATCTGCAGCATCCCAATAGTTCTAGGATAAGACAAGTTTTTACCAGCCTGACTGAGCATGGTGGTAAGATGCTGAGGCCTGTGGGCCACAGAACTATTTGCAGGAGCATTGCTAGATGTCTGGTAATGCCATAGATGTACACAGGCAGAGCCTCCTGCATCAGTGTGTAAAGGTGTGCATTGTTATTGAGGCATGGGGGATTGGTATGCAAGTACAGCTGTGCCATCCCAGCAACCAAATGTGTTTTCGACACCATTGTTCTGAATTCCTGTTCAGAACAGGAGACTGTCCAGGAAATGGAGAATGCACTGAAAATATTTCGGCATTTTTCTCAAGCACATGGTCACAGTGCTTAACGATTGATTTTGGTTGTCAGGAAGTAGGCTCTGTCTCCTTCCCTGCCTTGATCTTCCTAGAATATACCGTGTACCTATGTGAACACCTTATTGCTTCTCTAAAACCACCTGTATTTTACTGTCACTTGTACCCATCCAGGAAAATATACTACATCATCTTCAAAAGCATATTTGCAAGAGCCCCTTCTCTGTGTGCATTATTGAGCCTTTTTTTGATTCGTGGCTAAAATGTACCATTCCTTAAATTGTCAAAATTATGGGTCAGAATGCTGATTTTCTTATCTCACTGTCTCAAAAAACTTAGTTCATCTCAATAGAACTTGGGGTCTTTAAAGCACCTCAGCAGATGTTATATTTGGTCTTTGCAATAGTTTCATAGGACATAATCTAGGTGTCATAGTCACAAAGTGACTTGTTCTTGACTACACAGTAAAGAGGTCCACACTTACAGGCAGGAGAGCTAAATTTAGGCCTTCTGATTTTAAATTGTTATCCTTCTTCAAGAAACCTTATAAAAGGATTTTTAAAGTGCTTTTAGTTCTGTTGAGAGTAGTGGTGGGGCCTCTTTTGGAAATGTTTGGGTTCTGAGCTTGGGTATTACCCCTTTTCCAGTGGTCCCACAATCTGTGCTGGTGCAGAAGGTCTGACTCAATTCAAGGATGCTCTCTTGATTCCATATTGCCCTTCTGACCAGCTATTGCATATACTCCATGCCTGCCTGATGCCTTGATTCTTTTTCGTTCTCATTAATACTTTTTTTCCTTTGGGAAGGCAGAATTGTGTAGTGATTATGAGTGTAGATAGTCAGATGGCCCAGATTTCTACTCTGTCACATAGCAGCTGTGTGTGTCCAACATACAAGCAAGTGACTTCATCTGTGTGTGCCTCAGTAGCCTGATCTGCAAAATAGGAATAAATACCTATATCATAGACTTGTGATGATGGTTGAATGAGAAACCACCAATATATATGCACAGTAAAAATTCCACAGTAAAAATTCAAAACATGTTAGCTGCTACTTATATTTGAATTTAAAAAGTCTAGTGAGTTGGCCGGGCGCAATGACTCAAGCCTGTAATCTCAGTACTTTTGGAGGGCAACGCGGGCGTATCACCTGAGGTTGGGAGTTCGAGACCAGCCTGACCAACATGGAGAAGCCCCGTCTCTATTAAAAATACAAAATTAGCCGGGCATGGTGGCACATGCCTATAATCCTAGCTACTCGGGAGGCTGAGGCATGAGAATTGCTTGAATTCGGGAGGTGGAGGTTGCGGTGAGCCGAGATCGCGCCATTGCACTCCAGCCTGGGCAACAGGAGCGAAACTCTGTCTCAAAAAAAGTCTAGTGAGTTGACCAATTTCATGTTCCCAAAGTGTTTGGTGCTCTAGGAGTAGAGTCATACTATAAGGCTGCAGATCCAAAAGGAAGATTAACATACCAGTAAAGAAATCTCAAGCTTGCACAGTGTCTCACGCCTGTAATCCCACCACTTTGGGAGGCTGATGTGGGAGGATCCCTGGAGCTCAGGAGTTTGGAACCAACCTGGGCAACATAGTAAGACCTGTCTCTTAAAGAAATCGGCTGGGGGTGGTGGCTCACTCCTGTAAACACAGTACTTTGGGAGGCTGAGGCGGGTGGATCACCTCAGGTCAGAAGTTCGAGACCAGCCTGGCGTGGTGGCGGGCGCCTGTAATCCCAGCTACTCAGGAGGCTGAGGCAAGAGAATCACTTGAAGCTGGAAGGTGAAGGTTGTGGTGAGCCGAGATCATGCCACTGCACTCCAGCCTGGGCAACAGAGTGAGAGTCCATCTCAAAAAAACAAAAAAAAAATCTGTTTAACATTTTAATCGGGTGTTTGCTAAGCTTGAGCACAATTATAATACCTATTAACTTTCCATACTACAGGTGGTAAACATTGAACTAATAACCTTCCACTAAACTGCATAATACATTGACAGTACTTAGCCAGAAGCTGTAGTTTTATCCCCGATCCTATCAGCCCCCCATGAATCTATGCATCACAGAAAGTGAAGCCAATTGTCTTTAGGCAAAAATGTCCAGTTCTTACAAAGTACTCCAAGTTTGCCACCAGGTGGTGCTGCTGTTGTATAAAATGAAAGCATATTATCCTTTTTTTTTTTTTCCCCTTTGAGACAGAGTCTTGCTCTTCTGTGTAGACTGGAGTGCAGTGGTGTGATCTCAGCTCACTGCAACCTTTATCTCCCAGGTTCCACTGAGTCTCATGCCTCAGCCTCCCAAGTAGCTGGAACTGCAGGCGTGCGCCACCACACCCAGCTAATTTTTTGTTTTTTTTTTTTTTTTTTTTTTAGTAGAGATGGGGTTTCATCATGTTGGCCAGGCTGGTCTCAAACTCCTGACCTCAGGTGATCCACCCACTTTGGTCTCCCAAAGTTCTGGAATTGCAGGCGTGAGCTACTGCTCCCGGCCAAAGTCTGTTATCTAATTATCTAAGATATTTTCATATCTAAGTGAAAGGTGGTGAAAGCTTTTGATAAGAATCACATCAGAAGTCAGCTTACCATTCACTAAAGATGTTGGAGGACTTTCTCAGTTCCCTTGGATTTATTGATTGATTGATTGATTTTTTGAGACAGTCTCACTCTGTCGCCCAGGGTGGAGCAATCTTGGCTCACCGTAACCTTTGCCTCCCAGGGTTCAAGTGATTCTCTTACCTCAGCCTGCCGAATAGCTGGGATTATGGGTGCCTGCCACCACACCCAGCTAATTTTTGTATTTTTAGTAGAGACTGGGTTTCACCGTGTTGGCCAGGGTGGTCTCGAACTCCTGACATCAAGTGACCCACCGCCTCAGCCTCCCAAAGTGCTGGGAACACAGGCCTGAGACACCGCGCCTGGCCCCCTTGGCTTTATTTTTAAAGGGAGACCCTTTGAACCTTGATAACCAAGGAGGTAGACTTGAAGCTTACATCATTACCAAAGAAAAAAGTAAAATCTTAAGAAACTCCATAGGCTTTTTTAAGAAACATGCAGAGTAGGAAATAGACTACCCTAGGCTGGGCACAGTGCCTCACATCTGTAATCCCAACACTTTGAGAAGCTGAGGTAGGAGGATCACTTAAGCCCGGGCAGTAAAGGCCTCAGTGAGCTATGATTTTGCTCACTCCATCTTGGGCAGCAGAGTGAGACCCTGTCTCAAAAGAAGAAAAAAGTAAGAGGCCGGGTGCAGTGGCTCAAGCCTATAATCCCAGCACTTTGAGAGGCCAAGGTGGGCGGATCATGAGGTCAAGAGATCAAGGCCGGGTGTGGTGGCTAATGCCTGTAATCCCAGCACTTTGGGAGGCTGAGGTGGGTGGATCACCTGAGGTCAGGAGTTTGAGACCAGCCTGGCTAACATGGTGAAACCCCATCTCTACTAAAAATAACAAAAATTAAGCCAGGTGCGGTGGTTCACGCCTGTAATCCCAGCACTTTGGGAGGCCAAAGTGGGTGGCCAACCTGAAGTCAGGAGTTCGAGACCAGCCTGGCCAACATGAAGAAACCTCGTCTCTACTAAAAATACAAAAATTAGCCAGGCATGGTGGTTGTGTGCCTGTAATCCCAGCTGCTCGGGAGGCTGAAGCACGAGAATCACTTGAACCTGGAAGGCAGAGGTTGCAGTGACCTGAGATCATGCCACTGCACTCCAGCCTGGGTGACACAGTGAGACTCCCTCCCAAAAAAAAAAAAAAAAAAATTAGCTGGGTATGGTGACATGCACCTGTAATCCCAGCTACTCAAGAGGCTGAGGCAGGAGAATCACTTGAACCCGGGAAGCAGAGGTTGCAGTGAGCCGAGATGGCGCCACTGCGCTCCAGATTTGGTGACAAAGTGAAACTTGGTCTCAAGAAAAAGAAAAAAAAAAAAAAAAGAATATCCTTAAGAAAGGCACATCAGCATAGTGAGCAAGAGTATGGTCTTTGCAATGTATGTCTTCGGTTCATATCATCTTTTCCTTAGTAGCTATGTGATCTTAATTAGTTTTGCACATACAGTTGACCATTGGTGATTTTAAGCAACCCTATCTCATATGTACAATATTGGTAAAAGAACAATTCCCACTTAGGGCATTGTTAGAGGAACAAGATAAAATGTGTCTAAAGGACTTAGAAAAGTACCTAGCACACAGTAAGTAATAAATATTAGTTGTCGGCCAGGCATGGTGGCTCACACCTGTAATCCCAGCACTTTGGGAGGCTGAGGCGGGTGAATCACGAGGTCAGGAGTTCAAGACCAGCCTGGCCAACATGGTGAAACCCCATCTCTAGGGCCGGGCGCGGTGGCTCACACCTGTAATCCCAGCACTTTGGGAGGCCAAGGTGGGTGGATCACGAGGTCAGGAGATCGAGACCATCCTGGCTAACATGGTGAAACCCCATCTCTACTAAAAATACAAAAAAAATTAGCCGGCCGTGGTGGCGGGCACCTGTAGTCCCAGCTACTCGGGAGGCTGAGGCAGGAGAATGGCATGAACCCCGGAGGCGGAGCTTGCAGTGAGCTGAGATCGTGCCATTGCACTCCAACCTGGGTGACAGAGTGAGACTCCGTCTCAAAAAAAAAAAAAACCCCATCTCTACTAAAAATACAAAAAGTTAGCTGGCCATAGTGGTGGGTGCCTGTATTCCCAGCTACTCGGGAGGCTGAGGCAGGAGAATCGATTGAACCCGGGAGGTGGAGGTTGCATTAGGTGTCATTATTAGTTGTTGTTGTTATTACCCTAAATCTCTTTTTTTCTCTCTACAGCTTGTTTTCACTTGCTTTTTAAAGACAGAAAGCTCATGGTGCAAATTGTTATTTCCAGGTAAGTACATTTTGAGATTTTAAAATTTGGCTTGAAATGATGAGGGCTATAGAGGTGTGCCATGTGTCTGGAAGAATCAGGGTCCTTAGGTGCATCTTGTACAAATCCTTGCATTCTGATCTCTAGTTCCATGCCTAGCACTGCCCAATTTCCCAAGAACTTGACATCCAACAAAGAGGTCCTTTGGGCCTCAAATGGTGGTGTGAGGACACTATTCATCCTTCACCCCTCAAAAATATTGTAACCGCCAGCCCTTTGCTTGCAGTGCGAGGGCTGGAGGCCTGGCAGAATGGGTGCTGATGGAGCTACAGGGGGAGATCGAGGCTCGCTACAGCACTGGATTAGCTGGAAACCTCCTGGGAGACCTACATTACACCACTGAGGTGAGGGGGCTTTTCTTTCCCTGCCTAATGCCTCAGGAAAGCAAGCTACACCAAGGTGGTGCTCCCAGGACCCAGAGTGAGGACTGCCTCAGGTTTGTTATTCAAGGCCTAGCTAATCTGCGATGCTCTCTGCTTGTTCTCCCCCTACCTCTGCAGTAGCAGGGAAATTTAATTTTGGGGAATCTGGAAAGCTCACATTTCTGAAAGTGGAAATTCTCCTATGTGGGGCTAGAAAGTAAAAAGGGCACATGGGTGGGTGGTCCAGTGTGGCTGCTCAACAATGGCAGAGCCAGACCAGGGATTGGAGGTGCCAGCATAGCCTGCCAAGAGCAGCTTTAGGAGGCGCCTGAGTGTTATGGCCTTGCCCCGGAACCTCAGGAATCTCGTTCTTGTTCTGCCAAAGGGAATCCCTGTGCTGATCGTGGGGCATCATATCCTGTATGGGAAAATCATCCACCTGGAGAAACCTTTTGCAGTCCTTGTCAAACACACTCCTGGGGATCAGGACTGTGATGAGCTTGGCCGCGAGACTGGCACCCGGTACCTGGTGACAGCACTCATCAAAGACAAGATCCTTTTCAAAACCCGCCCCAAGCCCATTATCACCAGCGTCCCCAAGAAAGTATGAAAGAACCTCGGATTTTCCCTAGAGAGCGGCCAACTCCTTGGACTCGTGCTCCGCTGCCACCTCGAGGACGGCTCGACGGTTCCCTGGGACCACAGGGGGGTCCTGTTCTGAACACAGGCCACCCACTGGGTGTGAACTCGGATCCCTTCCTTATGGCGGCCGGTTCTCTTGGTGGAAATCTGACCCCATTTCCAAGGAACCCATCTCCTTTTCCAGCTTCATCAGGCTCATTGGCTTCAAATCCAGCACCTTTCCCGGCTGGTGCTCGTGACCCAAGTATGGCTTCTTTTCCAAGAGGGATGAATCCCACTGGCACAGGTGCAGTTTCTTTCCCAAGGCCTGGTGGCCTCTTGGGGCCAGGCCCAGGCCCAGGCCCCACCCTAAACCCTAGGACAGGGGCTCTGCCAGGCCCAGGGCCTCTGTCTAACCCCAGGTTAGGGGGTCTCCCAGGACCAGGTCCTATGTCCAACCCAAGGGCAGGTGGTCTCCTGGGAGCAGGTCCTGACCCCAGAGGTGGTGGTCCCATGGGCCCTGGATCTGGACCTAACCTGAGAGCCGGTGTTCTGTTAACCTCTGGGAATGGTCCTCCCAATCCTAGGCCAGTTGGCCTGGGCCCAGGACCAAACCCCAATCTGAGATCAGGCTTTTTAGGGACAAACCCTGCCCCCAGGTCAGGTGTGTTTCCAGGCCCAGGCCTTGGGCCCAACCCAAGACCAAGTGGCCTGGGCCCAGGCCCTAATCTAGATGCCAGAGCAGGTGGCCTCTTGGGCACAGGATCTGGTCTTAACTTAAGAATGGCTGGACCTCAAGGCCTCGATCTTGCCCCCATTCTAAGAGCAGCAGGTCTTTTAGGAGCAAATTCAGCTTCTTTCTCACAGGCTTCTGGAAACATGGGCACAAGCCCATCCTCCATGGCAAGAGTACCTGGCCCCATGGGCCCAAACTCGGGTCCTAGCTCTCGGGGAATTGGCCTTCCAGGGCCAAATCCATCTCCCATGTCAAGGGCTCCTGGCCCCATAGGCCCTAATTCAGCTCATTTCTCAAGGCCAGTTGGCCCCATGGGGGTAAATGCCAATCCCTTTCCCAGGGGAGCAGGTTCATCTGCCTTTTCTCAGTCTTCTGGCACATTGGCATCAAACCCAGCTACCTTCCAAAGGTCCGCTGGCCTCCAGGGCTCAAATCCAACCATTTTCCCAAGAGCCTCTGGGCCACTTGGCCCCAACCCAGCTAACTTCCCAAGGGCCACTGGCCTGCAGGGTCCAAGTCCAACTACCTTCCCAAGGTCTACTGGCCCATTAGGCCCTGGTCAAGTTACTTTCCCCAGGCCAGCTGCCGGGCATCTGGGCCCTTCTCCAGCTGGCCCTGTGGGTATCAACCCAGCTCCTTTCACAAGGCCAACTGGGACCCTGGGTCTCAACCCAGCTTCCTTTCCAAGGATGAATGGCCCTGCAGGCAAGAGTTTCGTCCCATTTCCTAGAGTGGGGAGCCTCCCTGGCACAAACCCAGCTGCTTTCCCCAGACCAGGGGGTCCAATGGCTGCAATGTACCCAAATGGAATGTTGCCCCCTTAAACACCATTTTCCCTCCAGGACCACCTTGGTTTCTAGGCACTGTGGTTCTTGGCAGGGGCTGTCTTAGGTAAAAGGGTAGTTGTGGAGCTACAGTCTGAAGAACATAGCTTGGGCTCAAGTTCAAATGAGCCATCTTTTTCCTTTGCGTTTTTCTTGACTGAAGGTGAGATGTTATTTGTGGCATGTGAACTGTGGCAGGTGGGAATAATCCTGCCCTTGAGAGAAAGGATCTCCAGCCTCCCAGAAGCCTGCTGTGCTTTCGTCCCACAGCTTTCTGCCCATTGTTTCTTACTAGTTTCTTGAATTGTTCTTGTGGACTTTTCCTCAGGGATACATTGGCCTGCAGGTCCCAGTTCACATGTAGTCCCCTGCTCACCATTGGAGAATCAGCTCACTGCTCTCTAGAAACGTGGCGTTGGTGAACGGACCATGCTTCCGTAGCTCTGACCTGGGCAGCTTGGACCTGGTCATCCTCTACTGCCATACCTTTCCCTGGGGGCTTGAACACAGAACAGGGAGATGGACAACCACTTCAAAGAAAGACCCACCGAATGCAGTTTCTGCTTGACTGACTGGGCCTGCAGCTCCCTTCTCCTGGGACTTAGAGGTGGCCAGATTTAAGGCCCCTCTACTCATCCAACTCCCTCTTCACTGGTACTCCCAATCAATCAAAGAACCTCAAAATTTAAACTGATGTGGATGGGAATATGGGAATTAGGGTGGGGGTGGGGGATGAAGGGAAGAAATCACTGTGCTTTGTTCGGCCTGGTGTGCAAGGATGGTTGGTGGTTTTCCTGCATTGTATCTTTTCTTACTGTTTCTTTAATAAATGGGATGAGAGGGCTGCTGGTGTCACTGTGTTTTGTTACCTGTTTCATAGGGAAGGAAGTTTCCTCTGCTTTTCATTGTTTCAGCTTGGCTACAGTCTTACATCATGTCGGCTAAAATGCTTTTGCTCCAAGAGGAAGCAAGCTTTGGTTTTTAGTCTTAGCAAGGGCCCATTCATCTGCCAGTTAGTTATTTCACCAAAGACCCTCTACACTAAAAGTTAAGCCCCCATGGGTGTAGTTACCAGGATGGACATATTGCCCAGGTCTTGAGTCCCACCTGACTAAACTTTCTATTTTAAGTCCCTCTTTGGAAACTGGAATAAAGAGCTAGCTTTCATTAAATACAAAGTAGTAGTTTCGAGATAACCGGCATATGTGAGAATCTTTATTTTGACAAATAAGTGCAGTATAAAAAACTTGACCTGAAAATTAAAAAAAAAAAAAAAAGCAGGTAAAAATAAATATGTTTACAAATTATTGTAGAAACAATACAAAAGAGGATTTGAATTCTCAATGAGGAAAAACCAAAATGCGTCCAATTGTATAAAGGCTCTTCCCTTGCAAGAAACGGGGATAAAGCTGAAGACCCAGTTTGGTTTTGCTGCTGAAAAATGTACAAAATAACTTAGAAAAACCAGTCGAGGTCAAACGTTGTGAGCCCACTACCTGTACCTGCCTGTTTTTGATTTGAGGAAAGTTGACGACCACAGTGCAAGGCAGAGCTGATGGTAGGACAGCCAGGAGAGCCTGTCATCCTACATTAATCTTCAAGTAAATGCTGAAGAAAAACAAGCCCTTAGCGAAGTCTGAACTCTGCACTTGGCTGACCGGATTTCCTCCATTCTAATGCTCAAAATAGTTTAACTTCTTGGCCAGCAGAACGATTGCCTGGATCAGCTGCCTTAGCAAATGCCTGCTGCCTTCCAGCCTTCATGGGTTGGGTCTGATGTCAACCAGCAGTCTTACCAGAAACTCGAGGTCTGTGTGATGTGGCAACTGTTAGCTACACCTGGAAAACCCTTGAGTTCGTGGGAGATGAAGGAAAGCACCAGGGTTTGCCCATCTGTGGCTCAGAGCACACCTTGCGTCTTTGTAGGAAGCACTTGGTACACTAGAGGCTTGCCCTCTTGTCTGCTGTCCACCTTAGTGCTGGTTCTGCACGGGTTAGCTGGCCCCTCTGAGAAAGGACATTTGGAGGGCAAGCAAGCAACCCTTAAGTCAAAGGCTTAGTCAGGATCCCAGGTTTTAAACTCAAAACGCTGAGAACAGCCTGGATTGCAAGTCACTGGAAAATGGCTTCCCCTCATTCCCCAAAAGCAGCAGAGGGAAAACAGCCAAAAACAGCCTCAGGAGGCATGAGAGAGAAAGCAAGAACCTTAGGATGTAGGAACCAGTTTCATCTCCTAGTTTGGTTTCTGGAAAGAAGCAGGCAAATGCAGTGACTGTCACAACTTGGCTGTAAGAATTCCCTGGAGAAGCCACTGAGGAGAATGGATGGTCTCAAAGATAACCATTTTGGATTTGAGAGTTCACTTTGGGAACACTGAAAAGCTTTCCATTGGAGATGATTGTCAAGAACAGTAGCCTGAAAGTCACACATGCTAACCCGGCTGCCAAGGAATCCGTCCAAGCAGCTCCAAGATTGTAGCCAATTTGATCAGAGGCTCCTCATAGTTCCCATATGTGCTGAGAACACGCTTGCCTCCTGCTGAAGCTTCTATAAGAGCCGGGGCTCCGCCCCAATTGCCACCTTGAAAACCTTACCTATGATGATGAGGGTAGAAGAGGTGACTGCAGTGATACCTCAAAAAATGTGGCTTTGAAGAAAGTGAAGTGGGGAGTGTGTCTTAGCCTCAGATCAGAGCTGAATTTGAGAGGAATTCAAGAGTATACAGGTTAAAATACCCAAGACTTCACTTCTTTTCTGAACATGTTGGGGCTTAATCTTTTTATCTCCCCAGCAGAGATCACAGACAAGCTAAGAACCCATCTAGACGTCTGAGCAGTTTCCAGGTGGAACACCCAAGGCCTCTGTGTAGCTTATGGCCTCCTTTAGCACCACCACAATCTCTTTGTTCCTCCTGGCAAACTTTCCTTTTTAATGTGCACTTTTAAAAGCAGTTCAGTGCTAACTCCCTGCTGGTTTGGCTCATCCCTGGAATGTTGATGTGGAGTGGGGTATCTCACATAAAGCACCATTCCTGGACCCTGTTTTCTGATGCCCAAAGATCAGGCTTCTGGGCCTTGTATCTCAGGCGCAATCTTATTGCATTGATGACTACTTAGGGGTGGGGTGGGGGTGACATACACTAACCGGCCCAGCTCGCTCAGTAGAAATTCTCCTGCCACCTCTGGTTGTGTTCAGATGGGCTGGGAGAACCTCCTTCCGCAGGTTGCCGTCACTCAGGTACCTATCACAAGTTGCCACTGAATGGGACTTAACTTGGTTTAGCACAACTTCTGAGTGCCCTCTGGAGCCCAGGAGGAGGCTACTGCCTATGTGCAGATGCAAGCAGACAGGCAGTCTGAAAACACAGAATCCCCTGCAGCCCTGCATCTGGGGGATCAGTGTTGCCTCCTCTAAACAGAGCTGTCAGGCCATACTACATCACCGTTCTTTGCATTTTAGATTTGTCCTTTGGACCATTAAGAGACTAAAACACAGCACTCCCTCCTCCCTCCCACCCTGTCTTTTCTCTTCCATTCCCCTTCCCTCCCTTACCCATTGCACTTTACCCGCTCTGCTTGGGGGCCATGTCACACCTCAGCAAAAGCCAAGCTGTACTGCTCCGGCTTCTTCCCACATCGCCGGGCGATGATGGCCAGATATAGCATGAGGAGGGCCACCCAGTAGCAGCCATACAGTATAGCCCCAGAGACAAGGAAGGCTAGCTCTGTCTCACTGAACAGGTCCTGGCAATAAGCTGTGTAGGCCAGCCCTCCCAGGAGAACTGCCACCCAGATGGACACAGGAATGAGGCCAATGAAGTTCACCACAATGGTTTTTCGGCCAGAGGTGCCCCAGCCAGATTTGTTGATGGTAGCAATGGCAAAGATCTTGGCCGGCAGAAGGCTGGACATATAGAGGAGGGAGTAGAGGGACATGAAGATCATCTCTGCATTGCCCCGAAGGAAGCAGGCGTAGGTGGCCTTGATAATGCCCACCAGCTGCACCGTCAGCAGGAAGAGGAGAATGTTCCAGATGCGGCCCCGGTAGAAAAGCTGTATAACCGTGGCAATGAGGAAGAAGGGGAAGAAACCCGTGACCACTGACTCGTAGGTCATCCAGAGGTGGTGCTTATGGAACCACAGAGAGTTGTAGAGCCACTCCCGGAAGTAAGACTTGCTCCAGCGGGTTTGCTGGTTGAGCCACCGGAGGTACTTAGTGGGGGTCTCTGTGAGGCACTTGGAGCGCGCGGTATACTTAGTTCGGTAGCCAAGGCTCAGGACTCGGTTGGTGAGGTGCCGGTCATCCCCGAAGCTGCACTTGCTGCCTAGGAACTTCTGATGGTACCAGTCCTCCAGGAACTGCTGGAGGAGGCTGTTGCGGTACATGCCCAAGGGCCCACTAATACACTGCACACAGCCAAAGTAGGACTGGCAGGCCCGCTCCACGTTGAAGGCCATCCAGTACCGCACGCTGCTCAGGAAGGAAATCCATGAGTCGTACTTGTTGAGGATCTGCAAGGGAATAGAGATGCTGGGCCTCCTAAGGTTGCACGTCCGGAGGACAGACATCAGAGACCACGAGGCCTCCTTACCATGGCTTCTGTGGCCCGCTGCTTAGATTCCTGGCCATCGGTTCCTTTGGAGCTGGGAAACCTGAGGCTCAGAGGAGCCAACCACACACAATCCCTGTCCCCAGCACCAGCTCTACCTCCCTACTGTGTCATCTTATCTGCAGAGATTTTCCCCACTAAGTGGCTCTAGCAGTCAAAGCCACCTTCGGTCTCAGGAGGCAGCCTGTGGTGGTGGCAGAGAAGGGGGCTTGGGAAGAATGCAAAACACCACCACAACCACCTGTCCTGAGATTTCTGTGGTTGGAAAGTTGTAGGGGACCTGGGATGCTGCTTCAGTATCTCTGGCAGATTGGGGCCCTTATTCTTACCGTATTGACCAGAGCTCTTCAGCCCATCTCCTAAGAGCAAGGGCTGCTCAAGGATCTGACTTTGGAGCTACTTGCTGTACCACCGGCCAAAAAGGAAGTA
The DNA here is from genome assembly GCF_000001405.40 of Homo sapiens. Lineage (NCBI taxonomy): Eukaryota > Metazoa > Chordata > Mammalia > Primates > Hominidae > Homo > Homo sapiens. Next base: position 69,113,815 of record NC_000016.10, on the reverse strand, counting down.
CCTTCTAGGATGTATGGCCTCAAAATACTGTGCCCCTCCTGCAGTATAGACTCTGCTCCATACCTGTTTAAGTGACTTCCCCTCATGTGGAAGAAGAGCAAGAAAGGGGTTGGGCAGTGAGGGGGGCGAGCTCTTTGGTGTCAGTGAAAACTGCCAGCGAGGAACCTCCCCCCAATACTAGGAAGTCAAGACACCCATTTCCCAGGCATATCCAATTGGATTAGGAAAAAGAGTCCAGACCCCTCCCCACAGATATCCCTGGTCTCATCTTACCTGGACATCTCCCCCGACTCCCCCTACTTGGGGATCCTCCTCCAGGACTCGAAGCATCTCGATGGTGCAGGCTGGATCCAGCACAGTGTCAGAGTCGCACACCTGCAGAGGGAGTGCGTCGTCAGCCCATTCTGACCTCAGACCTGCACACCCTGTCCCCCACCCCACTGCCAGGCTGCTCACTGCCTGAGAGACATGACCCCTTCACACATGACTCACTTCCAGCCTCTAGCTAAGAGATCTGCGCTACCAGAAGGTGCCAGAGGTAAAATGAAAGCTAGTAAAAGTGTACAGCTACCAGACTTGACAGCCACTAGGCTGAGAGGGAGAAACCCTGAAGACAGTAGGTGCCAGGCGTGGAGAGAGACATGCTTAGCACTGGACGCAAAAAATTGCTCTGGGGTCCTTCGGCAGAAGGGAAACGTCACTGAAATCAGATGGCAGGCACAGTAGGGTAGCCCAGGACTAACAGGCTGCATATGGCCTTAAGTGACCCCACAGAATTAACCACAGGGGTCCCCGTGTCAGCCTCTGACCCCTTGGACAACCTGCAGCCCACTGGTGGTTACCAGACTACCTACTTGCAGGCACCTCTATGAGACCAGTAATAAGGCTGCTGGCCTCTGCGCCCTCAACAGACTCCCTTGGCCGAGCCTCTCGGACCAGGGCACGGTATGGCTGAGGGCTCCCCCTGGAGGCTGCTCTGAATAGGCATGGAAGCTGCAGCAGCTGCCTCCAGGCAGACCCCAGGGCCAACTCTGCCCAGCTCTTGGGAGGCTTATGGCCTGATTCTAACAGGTGGTCTCATTATGAGTTGAACCCAGGCCACTAGTTGCCCTAGTGGCTGACTCCTTTTCTGGTTTCTAAAAAATTAGTGAAGTGGTACACAAATCCAGTGAGCATTGGCCAGGAGAACTGGTTTACAGACCTGATTTACTCTGTGGTCACTGTTAGGAGAGCAACAAAGAGATCCACAGATAAACCAAAACCCTGTTCTGTAGAAGCCTAAGATCCTTGTATTAAAGTTGCTGAGTAAGATTCCTGCAGGAAAGGAGGCTGCCTCTGACACCACAACCCCACCCAGCTTTCTCTATGTTGGAAGACAGGGTGGCCACAGATAAGCAGTAGAAGGCTAAGGGGGAATCAGAACAGCATCAGCACCAGGCTGAGTCCCTCATATGTGCTTCTTCCCACCTCCCCACCAGGCATATCCTTACATCCTGGTCCATGCCTGGGAAGGGCCCAGGAAGCCTCAGGCCAGACTAGCAGAGCCTCCTCCACTTACAGGCCAAGACTCCCAGCACTGCTGCTGTTCTGCTGGTCTCACTGCTCCTCCCTGCCCCTGCCCTAGCCCATTCTTTATATGCTGCTTTGCTTCCTTCAGTCCAGGGATGTCTTGGATGTCTTTCTAACTGAGCAAGGTTAGGGAAAGAAGAGCTCTCGTGCTGCCTGGGTTTCCCCACTGGCTCGGGCAGAGTTCTGCCTAGGAGGGAGAGATACCTCCGCAGCAGGCGGTTAGAAGACAGGCTGAGATCCAGCAAGCGCTCACTGGCTCTGGCCCAGGGCAACCTTATGCAGTGATCCCAGGGCTGTAAAGAGACAGCTCAGGTGTGTGAGCCTGTTTGCTGATCCACCAGAACCCAGATGGCCAGGAAAGGGAGATGGCAGGGTGGGGTGGGGGTGAGATCCTGTGCTTGAAGGGAATAGATGACAAAGTCACTGTGGCTTGAGCCTGTGCCAGGGCTCAAGGGCTTTTCCCTAAGCATTTGGGTCCCCAGGAAAGTTTCACAAGGTCCCACGACCCCAGGTGAACTGCAGTCAAAACAGCCTGCTAAGCTCTCCTAACTCCCTCCATGACTGAGGAGGTCCTGGGCCTAGGAAGCCAGAAAAAGATAAACATATCAACCCTCATGCAGAGACAACTGTCAAAAAAGCCAGACACGCAATCTGAGTGAGCTAATTTTAGGTGTGTACACCAGAGAAAAATCGTATTAGGGGACTCAAAATGCTGTCAGCAGACTGAGTTGGTACACAGGTGGGCTGGCAGGACAGCCACTGCACCTTCAAGCACTGATCAAGTGATGGGCAGCACCCTGCTCTGGCAGGCGTGGAGGTCAGAGAACAGAGTCAGGAAGAGAGGCAGCATGGATGCCATCAAGAATCCTGGCCTAGGCCAGGTGCGGTGGCTCACGCCTGTAATCCTAGCACTTTGGGAGGCCAAGGTGGGTGGGTCAGCTGAGGTCAGGAGTTCAAGACCAGCCTGACCAACATGGAGAAACCCTGTCCCTAACTAAAACTACAAAAAGTAGCTGGGTGTTGTGGTGCACACCTGTAATCCCAGCTACTCTGTCTCAAAAAAAAAAAAAAAAAAAAAAAAAAAAAAAATCCTGGCCTAGAAATCCAGGGTCCTAGGGTTTCTACTTTGTACTGAAAGATGTGGTCTTTAATCTTTTCAACTCTTGAGTTTTTTTTATTTGAAGATGGAAACCATATCAACCTAGTACAATTTCCAGGCTTATGTCAGTGATTGCTTTGACCAAAGCTGGGCAGGGTTTAATCAGGGTCCCGCCCCTGCCGATGCTCCTACAAAATGAAGCTAGTCATTCGCACCTGTGTCTCTCACCGCCCAGACATGACTTTGACACTAGGAAGAATGGGACTTTTTGGCCATAACTAGAATATTTTGAGTGTTTTTGAGGATGGTTTCTTTTGCTCTTCACCACGCTTTCTTATGAAGAGGTTCAGCCCCACGTTGCCATTGCTGAGGCAGTGCTGCATCACAGGTAAGAGAAGACTTGAGACAGACGGCCTGGGCGCAAATCCTGGCTCTGCACCCTACTAGCAATGGGACATTAGGCAAGTTACTTAGCTTCTCTGTGCTTTGCTTTCACCTTCTATGAGTGGAGATAATAGCACTTCTCCCTGGGAGTGTTAAGAGGATTAAAAGGGCTAACATGGAGCTGGGTGCGGTGGTGTATGTGCCTGTAATCGCAGTTACTAGGGAGGATGAGGTGGGAGGACTGCCCAAGGCCAGGAGTTTGAGGCTATAGTGCGTATTGATCATGCCTTTAAATAGCCGTTGCACTCCAGCCTGGGCAACATAGTGAGACCCTTTGTCTTTAAAAAATAATAATAATAAGGCCGGGTGTGGTGGCTCACGCCTTATTCCCCAGGAGCCATTCTCCTGCCTCAGCCTCCCGAGTAGCTGGGACTACAGGCGCCTGCCACCATGCCCGGCTAATTTTTTATATTTTTAGTAGAGATGGGGTTTCACCGTGTTAGCCAGGATGGTCTGGATCTCCTGACCTTGTGATCCACCCGCCTCGGCCCCCCAAAGTGTTGGGATTACAGGCGTGAGCCACCGCGCCCGGCCACCTTGTTGCCTTCTTAAGTGCACAGGTGTGTGCACAACCCAAGGGACCTAGACCAGACCTCAGATTCTTGGCGGAGAGTTTGCCAGGCTGTCCAGACTTATCCCCATGTACACACGCTCCTAGGGAGGCGCCCTTACCTGGATGTAGTCCACCGAATCGCCGAGGGCCTTGAAGGCCGTGTACATGACCTCGCGCTTGCCTCCCCACTTCTGCATGATGCACGAGAAGGTGCTGGCCCGCACCACATCCCGCACACGGTCCATGCCCTCCTGCAGGCTGGCCTCCGTCTCACCCTCGCCTGCCTCATGGAAGTTGCTGCGCCACACAAAGAAGCCGGCCTGCTCGGTGCCGCCCAGCACCTCGTGGAAGATGTCCAGCATGTAGGCGTCCTCCTGGCGGTTGCCATCCACCACCATGACCACCTTGAGGTCAGGGAAGGAGATGCGCTGGGCCGAGCGCAGGCACTTGCGCAAGTAGTCAGGGTCCTCCTGGTATGCGGCAATGCACAGTGCCACCGAGCCCCGCCGCGGGGAGGGCAGCTTCAGGGCCTGGCCGGCACGTCGCATGCGCCGGTGCTCCAGGAAGGCAAAAAGGCTCTGAATGAGCAGGTGCAGGCCCAGGATGGCGCCGTACAGGCCGAAGGACAGGTAGTGCTTTTCCGTGTGGATGAACTGGTAGCCCGTCACATAGGCTGCCAGGATGCCACCCAGCACTGCCAGGGCAAACAGGCTGGTGCCCACCACACGCAGGGCTGTCGTCAGCTGCACCGGCATCTGGCGAGAGAAGGCAGGAGATGAAGGGTCAGGCAGGAGGCAGCATTTCCAGTCCGTGGGAGCATGGGTGTTCTCTGTTACTAGTGGACATGACCCACTGATCAAAACCGTTACCGCTTACTGAGCATAAGACTTGGTAGACTCAGAAGCCAGACTACTGGGGTTCAGATCCCAGCTCTGCCACTTGATGTCTGTGCCCCCTTACGTCATCTGTAAAATGTGGGTTGCAGGACTAACCTCAAGGCATCTTTGAGGGTTAAATGGGCGACACATACAAAGCCCTTAGTGTAGCACTGGGGTAGACAAGCCAAGGCCCAGAGGGTCACGTGACATCTGGCTGGTGGGTGGCAGAACTGGGCTCTACCTGGCCCAAAGCGCTGAAGAGGTAAGCTTCAAGGGGGTGAGCCTGAGGCAGCTCTGGGCACCTGAGGGCCAGGGAGGCAGCCAGTGGCCTAAGAGCTTCCCCCTACCCTGCACCCACTCCTGGAGGGGATATTCACCAGTAAAGTGCAGCCACCAGTAAGACCCAAGAAGAAAGTGCAGGAGCAAAAGAAACAGCAAACAAAGGGGCATTGGGAAAAAGCAGCAGCTTCCCTTTCTCAAGACAGTTATTAGAGAAACTTTCCCTGTGTCCTCCACTTTCTCACCTTTTACTTGAGAGGCAGGAAAGAAAGGGAAAGCAGGGGGAGAGGCAGACCAGGAAATGCAAGCTGGGGAGTGGACAGCCTCCTAGAGCCCAGGGCTGAAGAAAGCACAGGGAACTGCAGCCACCACTGCAGCAGCCTCCACAGTGGCTGCCTGGGCATCCCATCCGCTTGGTCCTAGTGCCCGTGCAGCATGCGTCTCTGTGCGTGTCCCCCTGCCCAGCCACTCCTGGAAACAATGCCCGGTTTCCATTTGCAACTAAGTCAGGGCTCCTAACATCTCCCCTGTTGGAAACAGCTGTATTTTATAACAGCCCAGGACTTGGCACTAGAGAATTGGGTTTAAGACAGCACTTCTGCCTCCTGGCTGCCTGACCTTGCCCCAGTTCTCTGAGACTTGGTCTCCCCATAGCACAATGGGAGTTCTAATGGATTCCTGCCTCATGTCTCAGGTAAGTCATTTCCCTAAAAATGGAAACACTTCCGGCCCCGAAGAGCTACCCTAGTGGTGAGGGTGACTGTGGTTTCCTCCAGAGCAGGTGGGGAGGGGGATGTGAGGGAGGGGAAAGAAAAGGTGGCAAGGATGGCTGCCGGCCTTCCCATTCTGACCCACACTATCTCCTCTCTGCCACCTGCCTGATCTAGAGAACCCCATGTTCACTGAGGTCTACAGACAATGATGCCTCGCTTCCAAGCTTGCTCCAACTCTTAGGTCTCAGGAAACGGAGCCCCCAAAACAAACACACTTTCCTGTCGGGACGCCTCTCACGTAGAAGGGACGAAGAACACGCAGTCAC